>NC_000007.14:41755393-42058423 GCF_000001405.40 Homo sapiens | reverse complement strand
ATGTATCCTTTTAAAAAATTATTGATGAATAATACAGAGAAAGTTGCACAAAATGTACACATGTAGCTCAGTAAATGATGATGAATGATCATGGAGTGAAAACTTCTAACTTAACAGTTCTAGAAATAGAACATCCCCACACCTCATAAGCCCTTCTTCCATACTCTCCACCCACCTGAAAGTCAACATTATCCTGACTATCCTAACACTGAAGTTGACTTTTGCCTGTTAAAGAACTTTATATAAATGGGATCATACATTATATTCTTTTGTGCCAGTTTTCTTCTTTTTTTAGTTAATTTTAATTTTTTTCTGATGAACTTCCCATTTTATTTATCACATATTTTTTATTTTTAAAGCTTTTTTATTACATATTTTTTATTTCAATAGCTTTTGGGGTACAAGTGGTTTTTGGTTACATGGATGAAGTGTATAGTGGTGAAGTCTAAGATTTTAGTGCACCTGTGACACCAGTAGTGTACATTGTACCCAATATGTAGTTTTTTTATCCTTTATTCCCCTCCGCTGACCCCTCGCCCCCTGCTGCCTTTCAGTCTCTAAAGTTCATTATACCACTCTGTATGCCTTTGCATACCCATAGCTCAGCTCCCAGTTATAAGTGAGAACATATGGTATTTGGTTTTCCATTCTTGAGTTACTTCACCTAGAATAATGGCCTCTAGCTCCATCCGAGTAGTTTCAAAAGAAATTATTTCATTATTTTTATGGGTGCTGGGCTTCTTCTATCCATCATTATGTTTGTGAGATTTTTTATGTTGTAGTTTGTTCATTTTCATAGCTGTTTACTGTTTCATTGTATGCATTATTTGTCCATTCTACTGTTGATAGATATTAGGTTGTTTCCAATTTTTAAGTGGATGACTAATGCTGCTATGACTCTTTGAGTACATGTGGCACATATGCACACGTGATTGTCTCATATATTCCAAAGAAAAGGATTGCTGGAATATATGGTAAGAATTTGTGCAAGTACCCAATGCCTGATTGTTTTCCAAAGAGGTAGTTCTAGCTTGCGCTCATATTGAGAGTTCCTGTTGGCCTAAATCCTCATCAACACTTGTCACTGTCAGACTTCTTAATTTTAGCCACTCTAGTGGGTGTTTAATGATAACTCATTTTGGTTTTAATTTGCACTGCACTATAAATGATGTTTATGGAGAGTTAGTTAAAAGATAATAGAAAAACCTTATCATACTAAGAAATAAAGTATAATTCAAAATACATGATTTTTATTTTTAATATGTAAGAAGTGCATAATGCCTGAGAAAATGCTGGAAGTAATTATGTTAAAATGTTGACATTGGTTAGCTTGGATAGAGTGAATGGCTATTTCTTTTCTTAAATAACCACTTGTCTTTTTCATTCATGGAATATTAAGTCCTTTTATACTCAGAATAAGAGACTTTTTTTTTTTTTTTTTGAGACGGAGTTTCGCTCTTATTGCCCTGGCTGGAGTGCAATGGCGTGATCTCAGCTCACCACAACCTCCGCCTCCTGGGTTCAAGCGATTCTGCAGCCTCAGCCTTGCAAGTAGCTGGGATTACAGGCATACACCACCATGCCCGGCTAATTTTTTATTTATTTATTTATTTATTTATTTATTTTTGTATTTTTAGTAGAGACGGGGTTTCTCCATGTTGGTCACACTGGTCTCAAACTCTCCACCTCAGGTGATCCACCCGACTCAGCCTCCCAAAGTGCTGGGATTATAGGCACGAGCCACTATGCCCGGCCAATAAACTTATTTACAAAAATCTCTTGAAGTAATGTTTCATCATTAAAACAAATATTTCTTTTCCCTTCTCTGTCTTTAAAAAAATCAGCCTTAGCCTTTAAATTCTCCATGTAAGAAAATATTCATCACCTTAGCATTAATGCATACGTTAAGCAATATTCTAGCCCTCACCTTTAGTGGCCACTTTCATTCAAATCATATTTACTTTTTGTGCTGGTTCATTGTCCATATTTTTCATGACCCACATGCTTTTGGGAGCCTCCTGTGAATGCTTTTTAGCTGTGCCACCACTCATTAGGTCACATCTACTCATACACACTTCTTTTGAGTGTAGCCTTTTGCCTCATTTGACTGTAGGCTCTTTCAGAGAAGAGACCATGCAACCATGTATCATGCTCCTTGAAATCTCTCCCAAGTGCAGAAATCATAGCGGATTCTTAGGGAATGGATTTTCAATAAAATGTTATATTAGTCCATTTTCATGCTGCTGATAAAGACATGCCCGAGACTGGGCAATTTACAAAAGAAAGAAGTTTAATGGACTTACAGTTCCACGTGGCTGGGGAGGCCTCACAATCATGGTGGAAGATGAAAGGCACTTCTCACATGGTGGCAGACAAGAGGAGAGAGCCCGTGCAGGGAAACTCCCCTCTATAAAACCATCAGATCTCATGAGACCCATTCAACATCAGGAGAACAGACCCGCCTCCATGATTCAACCACCTCCCACATGTTCCCCCCAACAACACATGGGAATTCAAGATGAGATTTGGGTAGAGACACAGCCAAATGATATCAAATGTATATCCAATGAAGAGATCATTGAAATGTTCATCTGTGTGGTTATACATGTAGTTTTTAAAAATTAAAATCCAAATGGTAAATTTGTAAAAAGCATATGCCAATTAAGAATTCATGGAAAAATATTTCATAGCTACAAAGATGATGAAAATAGGATTGGAAATGGAACCATTTTATCAACTAGGGGCCTGGGGGCTGATGGAGTGGGTATGTACAGAGGTGTGGGTAGGGTTAAGGGGACAAACAAGTAATAGTAAAGCCCCTAATACAGTCAAAGTTGGAATGAAAAAGTGATTCAGTGAGGGCTGGAGCAGCAGAGGAGGGCTCGCCCACCAGGAACAGTGGCCTTGGGGGAGCAATGCCATACCACAGAGCCACAGCTAGCAGAGAGGGAGGAGGGGACTTGTTTTCCCTTCCTGCCATCTCCTGCCTTGCTTCCCTTAAGTGGAAACCGGAGGGAAGGCGAGCCAGCTGATTCAGACCTTAAAGACGAGACTCCCCACACAGGCTGTGGCCTTGGGGAGGAGGAAGAGCAGATGGAAAGTAACCACCATAACCATCTGCACCTCTCAGGGTCACGTGGTGTTTCTAGGGCAGAGGTTATCTGAAAGCTTACCTTGCATAGAGGGAAAAAAAAGTATAGGATTGTGCAGATTTATGACAGTGTCTACTGTTTTACTCTTGAACATTTTAGATATTTGTTTTCTTTAGTGTATGGAAAGGAAGAAAAACATATATGTGTATATATATGTGTATATATACATATATGTGTATATATGTATATATACATATATATGTATACATATATGTGTGTGTATATATATATGTATACATATATGTGTATATGTATATAGGTATACATATATATATTTGAGGCAAGGTCTCACTCTCTTGCCCAGGCTGGAGTGCAGTGGTGCACTCATGGCCCACTGCAGCCTCAACCTCCCAGGCTCAAGTGATCCTCCTGCCTCAGCCTCCCGAGTAGCTGGGACTGGGACTGTAGGAGTGTGCCACCATGCCAGTCTAATTTTTTTATTTTTATTTTTCTAGAGATGAGGTCTCCCCATGTTGCTCAGATTGATCTTGAACTCCTAGGCTTGAGTGATCCTTCTGCTTCAGCCTCCCAAAGTGCTGATATTAAAGGCAGGAGCCACTGCACTGGGACAAAAGCAAATTTTTTCTTACAAATTTTGATTTATTAAAATGGTATTTATTGAATAATTAATTAATTGGTTAAAAATGCATTAAAAAGAACAACTACCCTCTGTTCTCTATCAGACCACTGCTTGAATATGAAGAAGGATGTCTACTTGTTATATTTAAAAAAACAAAAAATAAGCTTATGTAAAAAACCAACATATTTCAGTCTTCCAGTAGTTGGAGCAGTCATGCAGAGATGCAGGAGATATGTGTACATTTCCAGTATCCCAAGCAATGTGCGAGCAAATTGTAATAATCTGGCATGTAAACCTTGTTTAATGCTCTCATAATGGGTAATGCAAGTGATTAAATACTGTGATTTTAATCTTGGCATTTTAGTAACCTAGTAAGATAGATGAAAAGGCAGTAATGAATTAGATTATATAATAATATTTCATTCTAACTCAGAAGTCCAGTTATTCTCTGCAACATGTTTTAAGTTTCTCATGGTGTACTGTTAAAAATGCTCTGATAAGAATCTTCTACTCTTTCATTGTAATCTATTTTCATGACCATATAAAAAATATTCTGAAATCAAGTTACCTACACCAACAAACAGTTTCCACTGGGCAATACGGAAACAAAATGCCAGTGACTCATTAGGTCTCCAATGTCTTGGAAGACAGAGGGGTAGAAACAGCATAAAGGGCCTTATCCCTGAGAGGACACAGAGGCATTGCATACAGGAGCCAAGACACAGGGATAATGGGGCGAGGCACATCTTCCCAGCTGTGCCCTGTAGTCCCAACAACACTCTACAGTTTGGGAATCTCTGGTGCCCAGACAGCAGTTTGTCAGATTTAGTTTGGAGGGCCACAGGCATATTTCTATACTCTTTTGCTGCAACATAAATAGCATGGAATGTCTGTTCTTGGACCAGTTCTGAATTTCAGTGTTTTTCTCAGAATGTTTGTTTGTTGTTCTTTCCTCCCTGGTTTGTGTCTCCCTCCAATGACTGAGCCACAGACAGTCCCAGGACAGAGAGAAGGTGGACTGCCACAAAGACCGAAAGCGGTGATCCTCAGTTCATTTCTGTGTGTATCTACTAAAAATGTGCATCAAGCAGACACCACAGTTTTTTTCCTGGCACTACTTTTAATCTTCAAATGAAGATTTTTAACAAGCTCGACAAATATTTACCAGGCCAAGTTGATGATAGTTTGTAGGAAAATATATGTCATTTCTATGGGAAATTTTGTGGCCGCCTTCTCCATACCTCCCCTGTCCTCTTCCTTCAGTGGAATTCAGCCCTCCTCTGGTCATAATCCTGAGTGCCCCTCACATAGCAGTGAACACACGTCTGCCTGATAAATTTAAGGAGCTTAACCTTCTCTCCCAGATTTGCTTTCCAGTTAAAAACACAATAATTGGGCCGGGAGCCATGGCTCACGCCTGTAATCCCAGCACTTTGGGAGGCCGAGGCGGGCGGATCATCTGAGATCAGGAGTTCAAGACTGGCCTAATCAACATGGTGAAACCTTGTCTCTACTAAAAAGACAAAAACTTAGCTGGGCATGGTGGCACATGCCTGTAATCCCAGCTACTCGGGAGGCTGAGACAGGAGAATCGCTTGAACCCTGGAGGGCGGAGGTTGCAGTGAGCCGAGATTGCGCCACTGCACTCCAGCCCGGGCAACAAGAGTGAAACTCTGTCTCGAAAACAAAAAACAAAGCCACAATAACTGACAAATGATCTAGCTGCCAAGAATTTGAAGATGGCTCCGTTAGGTAAGGTTAAAAACACCTTTATTTAAAGACTATTTACATGTCAGGAGGCTGTTTGGCTATGGTAGTTGAAGTTTGGATGCTCAGCTTTGTTTGCTTAGAAACTCATTTTTGTCACACTTTAGCATTAGAGAAATATGCTAACCCAGCTCACGAGAGCCTAATGTGGAAACAATTAATAAGTGACCACATTTTAATGAGAAACTGAATACCAGCCACTGCTCCGCTAGGGAACAAATCGCCATTTGGACTTTTTTTTTTCTGAGTTTAGAATCAGAAGAAAAGAAGTGTTGTTGGCTGGTTCTACAAGAATATCAACAACCACAGCACTTAGGCACTGTGTTCCTACCTTTACACACAGGATTTCAGCCCTCACGGCAGCTCCTGGAGGGAGCTGTGATTGTTCCAATTTTGTGTATAAGGAAACTGATGCTTGAGTGAGGGAATAAGTGAAGAAACCTTCAAATCCCATTCCTTCAAAGCCCTTGCATTTAATTACTGACTTCATTTTCTTAACCACCTCATGTGACTTTATGATTTTACTAAGGGAGGTCCTGGAAAATCCAAGGAGGTGCCTCCAAGGTGCTGTCAGGGAGAGGAGCAAAGCCGACTGGTGTGATCAGATTTGCTATGGAAAGGGGATTCTTCCACACAAAAAACCTGGACACAGATGTTTATAGCAGCTTTATTCATAATTGCCAAAACTTCGAAATAACCAAGTTTTCCTTCAGTAAGTGAAAGAGTAAATAAGCTATTCCATACAATGGAATATTATTCAGTGCTAAAAGGAAATGAACTTTGAAAAAATATGGAGGAAACTTAAATGCATATTACGAAGTAAAAGAGGCCAATCTGGAAAGTCTACATACTGCCTGACATTCTGGAAAAGGCAAAACTATGGCGAGGGCAAAAAGATGAGTGGTTTCCTGGGGTTGGGGGCTGGGAGAAGGAAGAAGGGAAGAATTGGTGAAAGAGGATTTTTAAGGCAGTGAGACTGCTCTGTATGATACTGTAACGGTAGATACATTTGCCCAAACCCGTAGAAAGGATAACACCAAGAGTGAACCCTAAACTATGGACTTTGGGTGACGATGATGTGTGAGTGTAGGCTCATCACTCGTAACAAATGCACCACTCTGGTAGAAGATGTTGATAATGACAGGAGGCTATTTATATGTAGAGGCTGGGGGTGGGGGTTATATGGGAAATCTCTGTACTACAGCTCAATTTTGCTATGAATTTAAATTGCTCTAAACAAAGTCTGCTAACAAAAAGAATGTCTTAATATTTCAATATTTGAAATCACACAGTATGTTGCATTTGCTACCCCTACTATGCATGTATATATGTTTATATGTGTGCATATATCTGTGTACATATACACATGTGTATATAAATATGTTTGTGTATATGTGTATTATGGGTGGAATATGTTAGCACAGTATGTGATGTATATGTCACATATGATTTTACATATGGATGTATGTGTATATTTGTATATATGTGTGTGTGTGTATGTGTTGAGCATTCAGTATATACTAGGCTCAGTACATGAGACTTTACTCTTGTCAACTTCCTAAGACTCCCACGAGGTTATCTTCCCCATTGGACCTTTAAGGAAGAGGAGAAGGTGAGTATCAAGGCTGAGGTCCACGCACATTGAGTCCCACTGCTTGGATACATCTGTATCTAGAATTCCTGATGACCCCCTTATGACTGCCTGATGCACCTGTATCTTTATCTTCAAATCCTGGAGGAACCCTCCTTTCCACTGTTGCTTCTCAGCAGTATGTAAAAGGACCGTAGAGCCCAGTGCTCCTGCCAGAGAAGATATGACCAGGTCTTGGAGCCTCACTCGTGGGAAGCTGGTTTAGTAGGTACCTTCAGTGTCCTGGTGGGAAAGGCTTGAATCCAAGTGAAGCAGTGACAGGGACATCAGACTTGATAGACTTTTGTGAGGAGAAAACAGCTTCCTAGGCTTTCTTTGGGATTGATGACCACCCTAGCCTGGCCGCTATAATTTTTGTGTTTTTCTAGATGCTGATTGGTTTTCCTGTGCATAATTCTCCAAAATAGAATTTGGACCTCTAGGGATATTCTTACCACTCTTCTCAACTCTGGAATTTTGGAGAAATAATAGGTTTCAATCTTTGGGTAAATCAAGAAAAGCCAGTAAGAAATGTCACTGCCCACCCTGATGTTTAGTTCATGTTGCTCAGACCAAGTTATTCCTGGATTGCAAAAGCTGGCCCAGGAGGCGTCATCTCATGGCTTTCTTGAAACAGCTCTTCTGCATTCGGTGGCACCAGTCCCTCAGTGGAAATCTATAAACAAGTCTGTGTTTAGAATCAGATTGGAAGGATTGCTTGTCCTTTCTTGTGAAGAATAAATGAATGAATTAGAGCATCCCCTGTACCTTCTAAGGTAGCAAACACATCTAAATACGGTGTAAGATTTAACCAATGGCGGACACGTCTAAATGGAGCTTAGGGGCTGAGTTAACAAAGAACAGAAAGCCAACTTGTTTTGTAGTAAAGAGCTAAAATAGGAAAGACTAATAGGTTATGTTGATTTCTATTTAAACAAGCCATTTTACTAATTTCTGATTGGGTGTGAAAGCCTCAAGCTGTTTTGAAAAGAAATAGCTATTTGCTGGTGGTGATTTCTTACTCTTCCCATGTGTAAATTTAGAAAACTTTGGATTTTTATTTTGCTTTCCCAAAGTAGCATCTAAGTAACAAATAAAAAGCCTCATTTTTTTTTTAGTTCAAAATGAAAAAAGAGTCAGAAGGAGAAAGTGAGAAAATCCACCCCCACCACCATATTTCAACTTCTTTCATTTTCTACTGAGAGAAAATTCATTATCTGATCTCTGATTTCATTTATTTCAGTGTCTGCGCTGTGCACTTAGTGGAGCTGGCTTTTACCAAGATTATATTCTGACAGGGTGATGGGGGCCGGGCTGTGCGTGAGCATTTGCTTTGCAAGGAGAAAATGTGTTTCCCCCTCCCTTTCATTTCACTCCTAAAGCCAGTGGTGGAAGAGGAATTTGCTGTTCTCAGTTGATCTCTCTCTATCAGGGCCTCCCCTTCCTATGGCCGCACCCTCTGTGAATGAGGAAAAGCGGGGAGCACAACTGTTTAACCTGTCAGAGCCAGTTCCCTGATTATCCATGCCAAATGTTTTCCGTTAGAGAAGGAACTTGGTGGTCCAGGAGGTTATGCAGACTGGCCATTCTAGAAGTGGCTGTCTCAGGGTGTGGCTGTGGCTATGGGGCAGCAGGTGTGAGGGGATTTTGAGGAATCTCTCTCCAGAAGCAGATCAGGATATCGTGGTAGCAAGGTGTGTTTTAGAATTTATTTTTATTAACCAAAAGCCTACATTCTACCTTAGCTCATTATAACCGACGCAAGGGCTTGATTGAAAATGCATTCTTCCCCAACTTTCTAACCCGGGAGCACTTAGTTGCTACTGCTCACTGAACGTGGCTCATCGGGATGCCTCATGGAAAAGGGCTTGAGCAGAAAGCTGATTCCAGGTGCTGCTGCACAAAGGGGAGGAGTTGCCTTCCAAGCACTCACACCTGGATCCATAAAAGTCATTTTACTTACCACTGCGAGGCCCTGGGAAGTTAAACAGACATGTGCCTGGATCTTTAGAGTGACCGATTTCCCATTTCTAAGCAGACTTTTGCAATGGGTCTTCTTCCTTACGGACAGCTCTGCCATGTGCATGATCAGGCTTCCAGACCAGACAAATTTGGGATTGTATTCTTTCATTCTGTTCTGTTCTGTTCTTTTCTTTCCCTTTCTTTTTTCTTTTCTTTTCTTTCTTATTTTTATGCAACACCATGCTAGTAAGAGGTAAGTTTTAAATGGTAACATTAATATTTGGGTCAAGTGGAAAATACAATTGTAGCAACCACTTTAAGCCCAGTTGCCTGTTATTTAGAATTTCTTCTCATGGAAGAAGCCATAGGTTGACCTTTATTTTACTATTTTGGAGTGCAATGAAGTTTCTCAGAGATCAATTTATTTTCCCAAACAATTGCATAGCGATGCTCTGCCTGCATTATATCATGCTGATTTTAAAATAATAGTACTAATATGTATTTGCCTGCAGTTTTTTCCACAAGGCTCCTTTGAATTCACTTAAAATCTTACTTATTTTCTTTCAGAGACAGCCTCTGCCTGTGGAGATATTTGTCTCATGCATACCCCTTGTATCTGGTTTTCTTTGTACCCAGGACTTCCGCCTTATCTAGTAGCCCTACGTATCCGGACCTGCCCTTCATTAGGATCTCCCCACACCGGAACCCCACTGCTGCTTCCGAGTCTCCCTTCAGCCCTCCACATCCCTACATTAATCCCTACATGGACTATATCCGCTCCTTGCACAGCAGCCCATCGCTCTCCATGATCTCAGCAACCCGTGGGCTGAGCCCTACAGATGGTAAGTCCAGGATGGATTCTGCTTCTGGAGATCATGCAGCCTCCTCCCCGCTCCTCACTCGGGACGTGTATAAAGTAGACCTGATGTTTAGTGAGTGTTTCCCATGTGCCAGGCGCTGTGCTCTGTGCCTTACATGCATGATTGCGTTTCAGTTTTGTAACACCTCATTGGCAGTGGTGTTATTATCTCCATTTTCATGTCAGAATAGCAGCGTGCAGTGGGGTTTACTTGCAACGCAGTCAATCCCATGGCTAGTAAGGGGCAGAGGTGGAATTCATTGAAAATGTTTCTGATTCCCAAATCCCTGCTGGTAACTAGGGTTCTGTTCTGCTGCTTCACATATGATTAGACTGGTCCTGTAGCCATTCACACACGTGCATGTGTAACATGAGTGTTTTACTCACCTTCTGATGAACACTTTTCTGTTCTGTGTGTCTGAGCACATTTATACAGATGCGTCTGTTAGAGGAGGGCTTCCCAAACTCTAGTGTGTCTATGAATCACCTGGGGAGCCTGATAAAACGTGATTCTGCATCAGGTGGGATCAGGTGGGGCCTGAGATTCTGTGCTCCTCAAAAGCCGATGATGTCAGTGCTGTTGGTGCCTGGACCACACTCTGAGTGGCAAGGTCTTAGAAAACATCATGGTCCAGGGCTGTTGCCTGTGCTTTCTATTCTTGACCATGCCACATGAAAATCCGAAGAAGTATGTACTGGGAAAGGAAATGAGCTTAGACTTTCTTATACTTGTTGCTCATTTTAGGCTCTTAAGGATCGAATTCCTGTTGGTTCTGTTAGTCCCCCCATTACTTTCCACATGACTCTTCTTAATTGGAGCTGTGTATTCTCCTGGTGTCAACTTATAAACTGGTCCTTTGATTCAGGAAAAGTATTTTCCATATCACGCACACATAGGAATTCACTTGCCCAATAATCACTGGAATCTGAATCAAGGTCCAGAATTGCATCACCTATTAATTACAGGTAGCAGGCTCTGAATTCTTTGCAAGAGATCGCAAATCACCACTGCCTGTTCCACATCAGAGAAACACCAGGCATTTCATTTCACTGAGCAGTGCTTGATGCGACTTCCATGCCCTATCCACATTCTCTAGGTAGACGCCTTCCTGAGGCTGGGTGTGCATGGTGAGAAGCTGCATGAAGTGTCTCAGGAAACATCCACTCACTTGGGTTTTCAGAAATAGCTTTCCTTCAGTAACAGCCACTTTTTTCTTTTTTGATTCAGTGCATTGAATTTACTGGTTAATAATAGTAATACAGGTAGCTAAAGAATAAGTTTTGCCCTTTGGGCAGGATTAACATTTTATTTTATTTTGAGAAAGGGTCTCACTTTGTTCCCCAGGCTGGAGTGCCTTGGTGCAATCTCAGCTCACTGTACCCCAGACCTGCTGGGTTCAAGTCATCTTCCTGTCTCAGCCCCCTAAGTAGCTGGGACCACTGGTGTGCACCACCACGCCTAGCTAATTTTTATATTTTTTGTAGAGACAGCGTTTCGCCATGTTGCCCATGCTGGTCTCAAACTCCTGAGCTCAAGCGATCTACCCACCTCTACCTCCCAAAGTGCTGGGATTACAGGCATGAGCCACTGTGCCTGGCCAAGATTCACATTTTAAAAATAAAAATCAAATATGAATTAGATTTTCTGCTTCAGATTTTATTTTGCACTTGAAGAACTGGAGAATCATCTCCTTCAAGTCCTTGGGAGTTGGTGGAAATGACTAACAAGGAGAATAGACTGAGGGAGAGAGGGAGGCTAGCTGACAATGGACTTGGAATTATGCCTGGCCTGCAGAAATTTATTCGGGCTAGTGGAAAGTCATACCACGAGTTAAACTACTGAAAGCACTCTTATCATCTGCTTTGTGTAGCATTTGATGACGAGTATATATATCACATTCTTTGACTGGTTCATTTGCCTTCCTTTTCTTGCCTCTCAAGAATCCAGTTAATATAATCAAATAAAGTAACATGATAAATATTTCCCTTGTGGCCTAAAGTTTTTTTCCTTAAATCTCTATCTTTACCATGTATCATGGATAAAAAGTATATGAAACAAATATAAAATACCCACAAACCTATCACTAGAGTGCTGGTATTTCTAGATAATAATCGTAAAACTTTTATTGATTGAATGCTATGTGCTAAGTGTGCTACATACATAATTTAATTTTTGCTCCTGACGACCTCATGGAGCCAGTTTAAATCCAGATCTCTATGAGTCTGGAGGCCACCCTCAGAACTGCTACAATGTCTTGCTGCTTTTGCACGAAAATTGGCAGGTGGAAACCGACTATTATCCTGTTAGAAAGCTGAGTCTTGGCAGTAAATTGCTCCAGATTGATAGGTATATTTTCTTTTTGATTTTGTAATGAAGAAAAGGAAAAGAGAGCTTTTAAATTATGGAATGTAAAATTGTAGCTTATCATTCAGTTGTGTTATTAAAGCTGTGCTGCCTTTTTTCATACTGGTAAACCCTGACTTTTCATGTGAGTGAGAGTTAACTCAGACACTCTTGTCAGAAAGCTTAGAAAAGTATTTTAAGTATGTCTGGAAAGATATCATAGTCTTCTAAGTTGTCTACTATTGTAAGAAATGCAAACATACAGTGATTTGATATAAAAATGATTTTATTTGGGGGGCAAATGTGGTTATGTACATATATACATTTTAATCATTCTGATTTGTTGATAATTTCTTAGACCAACAACAAAAACTTAGTAATGCATTTCACTTTTTTCTATTCCTTTCCTTCAGTTTTATTTTCAAATAAAAGATGTTTCATGGAAGTAAGAGCACAATTTGAGTTAAAGGAGCTTTACTCTAATAAGCCATAAAAGGAATTGCTGATGTGGGTTGTGTAATGGACTCTGAGATGCCTCAAGAGAAACTTCTAGTTGACCTTCTTTCGCTAGTAACCATACATCTCTTGTCTCCTCCTAGCGCCCCATGCAGGAGTCAGCCCAGCAGAATACTATCATCAGATGGCCCTGCTAACTGGCCAGCGCAGCCCCTATGCAGACATTATTCCCTCAGCTGCCACCGCCGGCACGGGGGCCATCCACATGGAATATCTTCATGCTATGGATAGTAAGTGACGGGGCTGGTTTCTAGAGTCTTGGGAAATGGCAAAGGCAACTTTATGAAACAGAGAAGAAGATACAAAGATTAGGTGATTGTGTAACTTTTTGATCTGGAGGAGAAAGTGGAACCACCACTATCTGGTGCTCTGGTTCCCTTCGTTTTCTAGAAGCTTCCACAGATTTGGACATCCTGAGACCCCCTGTTTAGCTCAAGGATACCAGTGAACTGACAGATGCAGGCAATTGTAATTGACAGCGATATATAAATATTAGCTGGTTAAAAAAAATCCCAGCCCAGGTGACATAGCGAGATCTATCTCTACAAAAAATTAAAAATTAGCTGGGTGTAGTGGCATGTACCTGTAGTCCCTGCTACTCAGGAGGCTGAGGCTGAAGGATCACTTGAGCCCAGGAGGTCGGTGTTGCAGTGAGTCTTGGTCACGCCACTGCACTCCAGCCTGGGTGACAGAGTGAGACCCTGTCTCCCCAAACCAAAAAAATTTTTTCCTGTCGTGATTGTCTTGATAACAAAATAAGGGGGAATGGATTTGATATATGGATGGACTTTGCCTCCCCACTCCTTGGTTTCATGGATTTTATGCTTTAAAAATTAATTTTAAAAAATACCTGTTTTAACAGGTTTTACATTTTTGCCTTAAATGATTGTTTGCCCCATATGTTTTCTTTACATTAAAAAAATTGTATTCCACTAAGACAGTTTGTAGCTGCTGAATATATGAAAGGATCAGAATAGTTATCAAGTTATCAATAGTTGCCAAATAGCTTATTTGGAAAAAATAAAAACTTTTTCCAAATCAGAAGGGACTACTTTTAGTACCTAGCAGTGGAATAAGGTGAGATTACTTGATGCATGTTGTATCACTTATTTTGGGGTCCCTTAGGTGTGTAATGATTTTTGTGGGTCACTTATGTAGACGCATAGACAAGTAAGCCTATAATTACCTCTCATCAGAGCATTCCAGAGCGCTCATCTCTTCAGATCCTTTAAGGACACATCCGTTTGCAAGGCGCTCTGAAGTGATCCTAAAGCATCATCCAAGTCATACATCAGCAAAAGCCACTACCTTTGAATAGGACAACAGTATGACTTTGAGTAGGGCCTTTGCTTAGCGTTTTGTTTGTTTTTCCTAGTAGCAGCAATTAACTTACACTTTTCCATTTACAATCTATTTGGATTCTTCTGTGACAGAGGGCGAGCATATGTCCTCTAGTTATTTAGTCCTGAGTCTCGGACTAGAAAGAAGGTGATTATTTCATACAGGGGTAAAAACTCTACAGCCTTAGTCTGCTTACCATCAAGAGCTACCTTTGTGTGTTTCATTGGAACACAAGATTCTGTTGGTTTCCACTGGGAAGCTCATTACTACATGGAAAGTAAAAGAAATGTGTTACGTCTTCTTCAGGCGTTCTGTTGTTTGGCTTTTTAGCATAGAGAGCTTACATTTCAGATTCATCATAACCACATTTCAATTAGCGATTGTTGAAAAAAAAGTTGTGTTATTATGCAAATCAGTTATTTAAAATCTGCAAATAAAGAATTAAAATAAGAGAGAATCCTTGGAAGGTCAGCCCGCATTACTTTCCCTATTTGATGAGAATGTGTTTAGTCAGGCAGTGGCGGTTTTTATCTAAATAAAGGATGAAGCTACCCTTTTACTTTGTAAAAACTAATTAAAGGAATTTTAATTTGCCTGAGTATATGGTAAATTGATTGTCATTAAGTAGGAATTTAGATGTCCTATCATTCATCACATAAAAATAAACCTCTTTTTTCTTTGTCAGAATTTCTTATTAGAATAGGGAAACAAAATAATTAACAGAAAGCCAGATCGGAGATATCTGTGTTAGAACAATAAGAATTCTCTGGCTTATATTTAAGAAGGAAGTGGTATGATCAGTGAAGAACTGGGCTACTTCTCTTTTGGCTGTTCTGAAAATGCTTACCTTGTATTTTAGCAGCTCCCTTCAACAGAGTATCCCAAATCACTGTCCCCAAATGCTGACTTTCTCTTCTTTTGCTTGTTTATTAAGGAGTTGGGAAGAACATATTAAAGGGCTGGAAAGTTCTTAAGGCACTATATTCTTTTCCTCTAAAGTAATTGAAGTAGCATTTATTAATAGTTATTTAGTTAGAATATAAGAAGATTGCCCAGAAATTTCCACCATAGGAGATTTTTTCCAACAAAGAAGCGAAACATTAATCCTAAATTTTTATAGTGGTTGTCCATCTGCAGTGGTAGATCGAAACCTGGGATCTATCTGGTCACTCTTCATCCCTTGTTACAGATATTTAGGACTTCTTAATTAACACAACCCTCAATAAACTGGGTTCAGGTAAGCACCTGACTTTTAAATAGTGGGCACGTCTAGGTTTCAGCAAGATGTAGGACAGAGTGTTTATATGTAGCTTGTTAGGATAAACTAGTCTGTTTATGGTCCCAATTCTACCTCTCAGTGTTGGAGTGACCTTAAAAGATGAGAACAAATACTCCCTATAAGGAACATTCTAGAGATGAGGGCCCCTGAAGACCACTATTTATATTGGTGGAAATAGACTTAAATAAGAGCCAGTCTTGGAGGGAAAAACACAGAGAGGAAAGGTTCCAGCCAGGCTATGAGCAAGCCAAAGGGTTTCATGGAAAGGGTGAAAAGGTCTTGAGAGGCCCCTCACCCTCTTTGGAGGATGTGAGAGTGATCTAAGGCTCCTAGGGTTTGAGAGCATCAAATGGGCTTCTTCCTTTTGCATCACAATTAGTGATCTAAAACATTAGAGATTTTCTAGGGATATATCCACGTCCTGTCTAGCATGTGCTGTCACTTCTAACTTTGCCAGTGATCACTGAGTACCATTGAGAAGGGCAATTATTGTCCAGGATTATATGGAAGTTGATAACAAATCTGGTTTGTCACTTGGAAGTGACATGTATTTCCTCATTGAAAAACTTCCATGATGAAATTAGCCTCTCATGGTGAGTAAATGTGAAGGAGTTGTGTTTAATAAGGCAGATGCCATTATAAAAGTAAGATGCTGATTTAAATGCCTTAAAAATATGCACAGGTGGGCGCAGTGGCTCACCCCTGTAATCCCAGCACTTTGGGAGGCCGAGACTGGCGGATCACAAGGTCAAGAGATCGAGACCATCCTGGCCAACACAGTGAAACCCCCGTCTCTGCTAAAAATAAAAAAAAATTATCCGGGCGTGGTGGTGTGTGTCTGTAGTCCCAGCTACTCGGGAGGCTAAGGCAGAAGAATCGCTTGAACTCGGGAGACAGAGTTGCAGTGAGCCGAGATCGTGCCACTGCACTCCAGCCTGGCAACAGAGCAAGACCACATCTCAAAAAAAAAAAAAAAAAAAGGAAATCGTTGGGATTGCTATTTTGTGCTAACATGCTCTAAATCAGGCTGGTAATGAAACTATTCTAAATGAAGGAACTCGTTTTAGTTGTGCCTGAAAGAAAAATTTGAGTAGGTACCACATTTATCATTCAAGTTGGTTTTTAAGTTTTATACGTGGATGGCACTAACTTAGTAAATTTCAGTTTGTGGATTTTTTTTCATTATTTCTATAGTATTGACAATGAAGTCATTCATATTTATCTATCCCATTTAATTAAATGATCTCTAAGCATGTTGGATTGTTATCTTGTATCAAGAACCATCTTTATTGAATAAAATATTCCCAAAGAATTTTCTGGAGACCAAGAGCCTGGACATTTTTTTTTAAATAAAGAAAGATTACCTGCTACTTCAGTTGTTCTGGGTACCGCAAAATTGCCATTTTCCTATAAACTGGTATACTCATTCTATGAGGTGTTAGAAACTCTTCATTTTACTTAAAACTAATCATGTTTTGTTTGCCTCCTACGTGGTGAGATTATGTTCTCATTCGTTCATTAAACTTTAGTTTGATGACTCTGTAATGTAAATATGACCTTCAAAAAGGCAGAATGGACCTGTGGGCCACATTCATCTCTGTGTCTTGAAGCTCACATCTCTAATATCTACCAAATTTGAATGCAAATTGGCATTTAATTTTGAACTCTTCAGGAAGAAACCATTGTATTAAGTTGGCATGCATTTAAGTTTGAGTTACTCACCTCCGGATTTGGACTCCAGGTTAAGACTCCATCAGTGGAATCTTCTTGAAGGTTAAAAATTCTAATAAATTTATTACCCCTTATTGGGTCTGACTAGAGAAACAAGGTCCAGAGAAGAGCTAAAATGCCCTATAGGTTCATTGTACCTCGTTATCATGCTCGTAAGGGTTTCTCCTCTGCCTTGGAAAATCTGTAAACAAGCAACATCCCCACCTTTTAAATGTTTCTTGGGATTTATCCTCTTATATGGGGAATGTAAGGCAGAGGTCCTCAACCTCGGTGACATTTGGGCCAGATAATTCTTTATTGTGGGGAGGGTGACCCTGAACATTATAGGGTGTTCTGCAGCATTCTTAGACTCTACCCTCTAGATTCCAGTAGCATCTGCTGAGTCCCGAAAACCAGAATGTCTTCAGATGTTGTCAGGTGTCCCTTGGGGGGCAAAATTGCTCTCAGTTGAGAAGCACTGATTCAGGGTAATTATGTAGAAGTTGTTTTAGTAATGCTTTAAGTATACCATAGAGCAGGTAACTCTAGAAATCACTGGGCACTGAGGGCATAACTGAGCTGAATTTTTAATCTTAGGATACTTTAATTCATTTCCTTCCTTTGGCTCATGACTTAAAATGGTGTGTGTTGGGGTGGGGAGGGTGGTATGTTGCCATTGTGGGAACCACTGTCTTTGTCGCTTGTGGTGAATTAATGATGGGAATATCTAAGCAGCCGTCAGATTCATAAATCACCAGAAATGAAAGGGATAACACATAAAAATCTCTCCCTTTTGTTTAGCAATTTATCATTTTCCCTGCACATTAATAAACAGAGCTCCCCCGAGGTAAGCCCCTGGAAGACAAATATTTCTCCCTAGTTTCCTCAACTGTAGCTAGTAGATCACATGGGGGAGGAGAGGTGCTTGTCACCGCAAGTTGCCAGCTTCTTATCCTTCACTTCTTCCACGTAGGCAAGTAGCAATAAATAGCTGGTATAGAGTCCAACTGCAGGTAATTAGGTTCTTTTTTGTTTATATAACAGGCACCAGATTCTCCAGCCCCAGGCTGTCAGCCAGGCCGAGCCGAAAACGTACACTGTCCATATCACCACTCTCCGATCATAGCTTTGACCTTCAGACCATGATAAGGACGTCTCCCAACTCCTTGGTCACGATTCTCAATAATTCCCGTAGCAGCTCTTCAGCAAGTGGCTCCTATGGTCACTTATCTGCAAGTGCAATCAGGTATGTATTTTCCTGAATCCATTATGTGTTTTTTAAATGTAATGTCAGCACTTGTTTGCACCTGTAGTGATGCATTTTCAGTACCAACTGCCTATGAGGAAGAATAAAAGTGCATGATGCTGTGCCTATACCAAGAGGCAGGTCAAATATCACAATGAATTGCAAAACCAGTTATTGGGCCCCAGATTATTTTGTGTTTGCAGACATTAGTCAATAGCCCCTATATAGAAATAGCAGTTATTGAGTTATGATGAAATCCACTTCGTAGAGACAGTAAGTAGGGCAAATCTTTTTATCCAGCCTTTTCCTTGTAATAATGTTCTCTAGAGGAAAACTGACTTCATACCTGGTTGTATGACACATGTACAGAACATGAACAAAAATAAAAAGACCAGTCATGGCAGAAGTCTTGTCCTACAACTCTGAAGAGAAAGGAGTCCATGGGAGGGAGAGAGAAACAGCAGGACTTTTCGTCTGATGGAAAATAAGTGCAGATGACATTGGAAAGCATAGATATCAGAGGAAATCTGGCAAAAGAATATTTCTTTGTTTTTCCATTAAGTATTTTTAGCTTAATCTGAAAGATCCCTATTTTGACCATACACCTTTGTTAACCGTGGATAGTTCCTTGCTTGACAGAAAGTGTTTTGACACTTCCTTCCATGAAGCACCTCATGTCTGTTTTTGCATGTGAAGGTACAAGCACAGACTTTTGTAAACATGATTAACATAAAATATTTCTTACTGCTAATGATCAACTTGGACTGATGTCAGTAAGTAGGGAATAAAAGTAAGCCAACATATGAATTTTAGGTGAATTACCTGATCATTTATTGTTTGAACTAAGCCAGCTCACAAATGGTTGAGACATAGAATTAGATAGTACTCTAATTAATTAATTTAGCAATCCTGGTTATAAACTTTAAACTCTCATTTCCCCTAAATTTTTTGCCAATAATTTAAGAATTCAGTTACTAGCAATCTTTTTGAATTGTAGTTTTGTTAATTGTGAATAATTCCTTGCTTGAAAAGTACATACTAACGGATGTTTTCACTAGCCTTTGTTTTAATAAGTGAGGTTTTGTTTGTTTCTATGAATGAGCGGTAGCGTTAGTTGTTCATTGATAGGTCTTCCATGGTAGATTACAATTAGGGAAACTTCATCAGTTCAGAAAAAAAAGTGTTTGCAGTAGCAAGATACCCACATTTAGTAAAAATAATGAATACTGTTGTCTTTCCCTAATGTTCTCCATTACAGTTTTAATTCTTGTTCAATTATCAGCAATGTTCTTCAGTAGGCAAGTTAATATTTAAATGTGGTAAATCCTAATTTTAATATGATGTCATTTTCCGCTGCTTTTCTTTGTTCTTTTCATATGGTCACTGAAGTGTGGAAACGTGGATAGCTGCAAGCAACTGTGATAGCAGTCAGTGCACAGGGAGGGGTCCTGGGGCACTTTCCAGATTAACCACTGTAGTTACAAATATAGGCTTTAGAGTTGGATATGTCTATGGTCAGATTCCAGCTTTGCCACCAACCAGCTATACAAACCTAACTTACCTCTCAGCTCTTTGAAGTTTAGTCTTCACATCTGTAAACTACAGATAAGACACCCTCTATACAGGAAGAATGCACATTTTACTAAAGCTGGTGTGGATCTGCAATGGCAGGATGAGATTCCTACCTGGGGTGAAGTTTCAGGGGGAGCTGAGCTGGGATGGTTCATCCAGGAGAGGAGCCATCCTGTGATGGCTGTCTATGCTACACTGCTCTCCATCCCAGTCTGGCCCCGAGGAAGCATGCCAGTCTCAGAACCCTGGCCTGGCTGCTCCTGCACTCCTGGCGAATATTCCTGGGTCATAGACTGACATGGACTGGAGGCGACTTTACTGCAATTGTGCAATTATTACATGGCATGACTAAAGTCATAGCATCCAAGTAGCAGAAATGTGGCACACAGTGATAGTCAGAAAGATAACACACAAAATCACTTCATGAACATTCACTTCTCTTGTTTCTCTTTACTTTTTCTTTCCTCTTGCTCTCTGCCCAGGTCTCTTGACTTTTTACAGCATCTAAAGGACATAGATTAGAATATGGTATAGAAATGGTCATGATGCTATCTTTATTTATTCCTACCCCAGCCTCCTTAGTCCTTACGGTCTCCTGGTCTCCTCATCTTCACCCAGGTAAGCTAGTGACAGTACTTAACAGACTGTCAATCTGCTGACTTGAAATCATCATTGCCCATTTCGTCTCCAAGGAGCTATACCACAACTCTTTATATCATTAGAGATGGAAGAAGAGATTCACTTAAAGACCAGTCAGGTCCTTGGAGGCTGTGACAGTTGGGTGCCTGGGCCCATTGTGTCCTCATTTTCTTTCTTGCCTTTGAGACTTTCGATTGCATCTTTTCTCTCTCAGTGCAATCTCTCCTTCTTTAGTACACATTTGCTGTATTTTAGGACTATATGTCTATTCTTACACAGAGCAGGTAATGCAGATAACCCAAGATGAGATCAGCTTCCCATATAATGATGATAATAATTGTTATCATTGGCACCACTTGCCAGTTCTTTAGCTGGAGGAGTGCTAGTGCCTTGCTTACTCCTGCTGTAAGTTTCATTTTCTGAGATCTAAAAACTGACTTCAGGAATAATCAGTTAGTGGTAGCACCAGAGGATCTGGGAAAGGAAAGAAGCAAGGAGACATCTAGAAAAGGTAACTAACTTTCTCAACAGCGAAAGGTACAGGAGAGAAAGTCGACTTCAGGTGCGTTTAGCCTCTGCGACATGCTGACTAACAGGGCAGGTGCACGGCTCATGCTCACTCACCGTTCTCACGTCACAGCTATTTGGCAAAGCAAGTGGTGTTATTATTATTATTATTTTTTTTTGAGACAGAGTTTCACTCTTTTGCCCAGGCTGGAGTGAAGTGGCACGATCTCGGCTCACTGTAACCTCTGCCTGCCAGGTTCAAGCGATTCTTCTGCCTCAGCCTCCCGATAGCTGGGATTATAGTGGCCCACCACTGTGCCCAGCTAATTTTTGTATTTTTAGTAGAGACTGGGTTTCACCATGTTGGCCAGCCTGGTCTCGAACTCCTGAACTCAGGCAACCCACCCGCCTTGGCATCCCAAAGTGTTAAGATTACAGGTGTGAGCCACCACACCTGGCCTTATTCTTGTTTTACACATAAGCCCAGTGGGTCTTTGCAAGATGAAGTTAGCAAAGTTCCGTGCCTGGTGGGCATCAGCACTAGCACTCCAGTTTCCTGCTTGTTAATTTACTCTAAACACACTTGACTTTCACACTTACATGTTTTCTAATACCTAATTTGCTGTTGGTATTGGCAGTGCATCAGTAATGATGTTTACATTTCTAAACATGTCATTAAATGTTTAAAGATACTCATTCAGTTTCTAAGAAATGCCATAGCTGTCTCCTTCACATCTATGCCCTAGTGCAAATGTGGTTAAAGACGCCTGTAATAGCATTTACCACTATTTGACGTTTCCATATTTTCTTTCTCCTTTAGTAGTCTGCTATCCATTTCTCTCCAATAGAACACAAGCACCAAAAAGCCAATCACTGTGTACCTCTTGTTTCAACCCCTGTGACACCTGCATTCTCTCATATTGATGCCATTCAGTAAATATTTCTTGAGTAAATAAATTAAGGAGCTCTCTCATGAGTAATTAGAATTCTCATCATCCCCTTATTAAAGTAAGTTTCTACATGGTGGATGAATAATTCTGGCTTTCTGAAAGTTGCAATCTGTATGAGTGTTATATTATTACATGGCCAGAGATTGATAGATACAGAGCCAGAGGGGTGAATAGAAAATAAAGGATTAAAAAAGCAAATGTCTATTTTAAGTTTGTGTGTGGTTCTTTTGTTTATATATTTACTTAATAATCCAGACTACTATAAAAATACCATATAAAACTAATATTTATTCACAAAAGCCCATTGACATATTATAACAGTACTTGATTATGTCAGATTTTTTAAAATGCATTGTCTAGACGTACCTGACAAGTCTTTTAAAATCTCATAATTAAATAGCTTTCAAAAATAACTCCATGCACATTGGAAAGTATGTTATAAAATATTGCATGTTTCAAGAAGTTGTGGCTTCTCCATCACCTGGAAGACTCCCCATCTAAGACTAGATAATTTATATTTATCAAATACAGCCAGTAACCCCCACTCTACATAGTTAAGGCTAACGTTGTAAATAGCCAGTGAATCACAGTAGGTTAAAATAGTGTACCTTTGCTAAAACCCTTCTCTCTAGGAAATTGGGCCACCACTGGAAGAGAAGGTGTTTAAAATGACCCCCTTCTTCTGTAGTCTTCCGGCAAATGTAAATGGGATGAAGAAATGAGTACTCTACGCATTTCTAACCCACTGGGTATCACTTTCTCACTTTCTATTTAATGGCTACAATGAAAGTGGTTTTATATTCTTAGTGGTTTTAATTCTGGTGTGACCAGGAAAGAGATCTCAGTGAAAATGACATTCCCATTTTGCACATCACCCCTCTGAGTGCCAAGATCTCCAGCGTCACAAAACAGTGCAATGTTTTTCTGTTGCCAACACTGATGAGCTCAGCCTGATGATGAGAGGGCAAGTTGTGCTTTCTGTTTCGTGGATCATCAGCCCTGTCTGACACTAGGACCCTGGAGTAAGGGTGCATCTGGCAGGTCCACTGATGCTGCCTGAGGCAGGGTGGAAGTCAGCTCGGCCTCCATAGCTCCTTGGCTCTGTGCTTAGTAAACACCTTGCTTATGTCAGAGAAATAACACACAAATGAATTGAGAAACATACTGACAAACAGATAAATACAGTGCCAAATTACCGACGTCTTTAAAATTCTCATTCTGTCTTCTAAAAATTTGGAGATGACATTCCCTTCCCCGATTTTCAGTAAAGTAGTTAATACTACCTTAAAAAGATAGCTCTCATTTACTTCCTTAAAAGTAATTAATATTACCTGAAGTGGTAGTTAGTTTTATATAGTATTTCATTTAATCAGTTATTAATTCCCCAAATATTTAGCTGAGCTTAACTCTGTGCTAGTCGCTGTACTGGGGGAATGGGGGCTACACAAATGCCTGAGAGAGACACGACCCCCACCTTCATGGAACTTACAGAAGGGAAAAGCCTCTAAGCATATTAATAAACGAATGAATGAGCAAAAGAGCTAGTGAGGGAACAAATGAATGAACAAAGGAGCAAAGGAGCTGGTAAGGGTTCTGGTCAGTGCTGTAAAGGAAATGACCCAGATGTTAAGAAAGAATAGCACCACGGGCCTAATTCAGCGGATTGGCCATTGACTTATAGGATGATGACAAGATACCCTGGAAAGCTTTCTACAAGTTTCTAAGAAGGAGGCCAAGCAGGTGAAGGCCCTGAGGTGGGAGGAGTAAGGCATTGGGGGAACTGTCAGCAGATGACAGTTAAACACGGGGCAGGTTAGCCAAAGCACAAGGTTGGCGACACAGGCAGGGTCCAAGTTATACCACAGCATCTTGGACCACATATCTAAGGACAATAGGAAGGGCCTAAGATCTGGGGCCTTAGATCTGGAAGAGCAGAAATCTAAGGGCCTTCCCTGGAGGCCCCCCACAAGGCTGTTTAATTTTACAGATAAGGAAACTGATGTTAAGAGAGGTTAGCAGACTGAATCAAAGGCACTCAGTTACTCACATGGCAGAACCACAAATTCAACCTGGTGGGTCGAACTCTGAGTGTTCACCAGACACACTTCTTTCTCTCTTAGAAATCCTCAAATGAGAGGCATGGTGAAAAGCATTGGCGGGAAATGCTATTTATAATAGAAATAATAATACCTGATGATATTTTGAAGAAACGGATTATGCATATATTAACATGATTTTTCTAACCACATCTAACATACCTGATGAGCCAGATCTCATGTAAGAGTGTGTTATTGCCATTCACGTTCATTGAGGTCATATCTATTTGGCTGCTTAATGGCAAGTAGCTTTTTAGCTTTTTAGATCAGTTTCATAATGTAAAACCTAATGTATTTTTCTCCAAAGCATTATTCAGAGAGCATATGCCTAAATGTAAATGTTGAGATACTTAAGAGCATGTGGGTCTTTGTGTACTCTACTTCTGAGGCTGGGCTGGGTTTCCAATAAACTTGCCCTGGAAACTTTTATAGATGGAAGTGGAAGCTTTATTTTTTTCCCTCTCAAATAGAAGCACATGTGTGCATGTGTGTCCCTACACATATACAAGTAATGATAGCTGTTGGCCCATTCTCTGCAAAACTGGAAAAAAAAAATGGTTCTTTGGATGGCAGCTGTTGTGCAGTGAATTCCACAGCTGTAACCAGAGTGAGGATGACCTCTTAGTGCAACAGTCACAAAGTAGCCAGGAAGTTTGGCTTGGCTTTGAATGTGTCTCTCTCCCCTCTCTTTTCTTGAAGTCAGTTTCTCACATTCTGGTACCATGTCATCTCAGTGGTTCCTGTTGCCTGACTTTACTTCCAATCTTGATTTCATGAGCAAAAGAATTAGGAGAGGTGGGATACTCATTGGATTCTTCTTCGGCCTGTAGTAAACTAGGTTTGTTGTAGCATGAAGTTTCTTAATTCCAGTGCCCTGACCTAAAGGAATACATCCTGATACTATCACATGAGTTTCTTTTAAGGATGTTGAAAAAATTCAAACCTGAATGAAATTTAACAACCAAAGCAATTGGAAGAAGTGTTTTATAGGTGGCGGGTAGACAGAGTTGATTTTACATTTACAAGACATTTCCCAAGAATCCAGAAGTGCCACATATTCATTACTCTTCACATTGGACTGAGAGCTGGCGCCTTTGTGATGGAGTGTGATTACCACTCACGCCAGGGCTTGCCTGTGGCTTAGTTCTCTAATGCATCACCTACCTGCCCAGCTCTGTGCACACCGCGCTGGGTCATTGAGAGATTTCAGAGATGAACCTGGAAACTGAAGAGCCTTCCTTTCTGCTCAGCTTCCTACATCCTCCTGTGCCCTTTCCCCACATATATCGTGTGCTGGTGCAGAAACCCTGGCACTGTGATTACATGGGAGTGAGATATTCCATGGCAACTCTAGGAAAAGCTGTTATGTTAGGGAAGGGTTAAGAATGTCCTGTGGATTGAAATCATCAAACAATAAAATAGTAGCTTTTACCTTTAAGTGTGTGGTGGCTGGATGATACGGCCTCTTGACATTTTTCGTACTTTCCTCTATTGTTTTCTTTATTTTTATATAAAAACAAATTTCTTGAATATTGTAATCAGCTCTTACTTACCATTCCAATTTAAAGGGCTACAGCAAGCCATATTATGCTGCTTTATTTATAGTACCATTGTTAAGGAATCCAGTATATCCCCAGCGCTCTGACCCTCCTGCCTTATATAGAATTCCTGAAGCATTTAAAAAACATAGGCTTTTCTCATATACTGTTTTAATTGGGTTTTATCCATTTGATTTGAATATTAATGACTTTGAAGTGCCTATATGTATAGTAGGGTAAATAAATGTTTAATGATTGATTTTCTACAATATGAACTCTGTGTTTCCATTTTATATATTATTTTGGGAATAAATATAAATTGTATTAGCAGAATGGATCACAAGGGTTTCTGTACAAATGTTGACTTACATCACTTCCTTGGTGTGAAAAAAATAAATATTTATTGTGAAAGCCAAACATGATTATGTATTTCCAGGTTTAATGTATTAATTATAAATTATATGTAACTTTCTGGTTACAAATAATTTTTTTTTTCTTTGGCAATATAAATGGGATTTGTATAAAGTACTCAGTTAAAACTTGCTGAATTAATGAATGAGATGCAGTGTGTAGACTTTAGGACATTTATTTTGGTTGCTTAGCAGTTTTCCTTTTACCTGTACTCTGTTTAGCCCTATTGGGTATAGTTTTTGAGATTCCCAGAAGGGAGACTTCCATGTAAGTGAGGTGTTACTGTGCTGTTTACTGTAATGCTAAGAAACAAGAACCAGTTTGCAAACTTTGATCACACTTTTTAAGAGTATTGACAAAACTTTATATGTCTGATTTCTGATGTATATCTACATCAGAACTTTCTTAAAGATTCAGACTTTGATAATTTTATTTTGAAGTCTTCGTAAAATAGAAAAAATGGTTCCCAGTCAGACAACGGTTTGTTAATCACTTTTAACTGAGCTCAGAGCTGAATATGGAGATGAAACTGACTGAGAAATTATCCTTATTTAGACCCTGCATCCAGTGGAATGCCCTTTCAAACTAACAATCCAGTGACCATACACCTGCTCTGGTTAGTAAGCTATCTAACAACCACATTTTTCTCCTTGTCTGCTCTTCAGTAAAATAAAGGGCAAATTAACTTTTAAATTAATTTATTCTGGCTTTATAATTGTTGCCCTAGAAGAATGTTTCTCAAAGTGTATTGTGAGGAACACTGGTCTCTGGAAGCTCCTCCACATCCTGCTGCCACCTGTATCTGGGGTGGACATTAGGAATGCACAGAGAAACAGGCCTGGGCTGTATTCCTAAGAGTTTGATGACCTTGGTACTTCTTTCTCTTTCTCTCCATTACACTTACTCACCTCAGGAGGCCTCTGACTGTGTTAGCACGTTGCTTGGGAAGATCTGGGCCATCTAACACTTTCTTTCTACTGATCTTATTGACTAAATATAGATTAACAGTTACAGGTCACATTTTTATAAATGTTTGTTGTTATTGTCTTAAATTACCCCATCTTTCATATAGTTATTTAGAAACAAAAGCTATAAAAGTAATTTTAGAAATAATAACAGATTAATTGTTGAATGCAGAGAATTCAGAATCAGAATGTAAAATTAATTTCTGGTGACTCATTGGAAAGAGTGGGGTGAACAGAAACATGGAGGCTATGAGGATGGGAAGCACAGGTACCAAGGTTTAGACTGTAGATTATGTCCTGCTCTAGAGAAGGTATAAGAGATTATTAACAATTTCAACTATGCCTGGGTGTGGTGGCTCATGCCTGTAATCCCAGCACCTTGGGAGGCCGAGGCGGCCGGATCACTTGAGGTCAGGAGTTCAAGACTAGCCTGGCCAACATGGTGAAACCCCATCTCTACTAAAAATACAAAAATTAGCTGGGCATGGTGGTGCATGCCTGTAATCCCAGCTGCTCGGGAGGCTGAGGCAGGAGAATCGCTTGAACCTGGGAGGCGGAGGTTTCAGTGAGCTGAGATCGTGCCACTGCACTCCAGCCTGGGAGACAGAACGAGTCTCCATCTCAAAAAAAAAACAAGAAACAAAAAAACAAAAAAAAAAAAAACAAATCAACAATAGTAATAATTTCTATTTGTAGGAAATTGTGGAATGAATACATGAACTATTTAGGAAGGTTCTTATTCAGGGCCCCTAAAAATAGAATTTACCTTCTGTTTTTAATTCTGATATCTTTAATCAGCAAAGTCTGTCCTGTGCCATTGAAGTGCTGCAGAAAGAAATGGATGTAGACACTAGCTTCGTTTGTGTAATACTGCTTTACAGACATGTTGTCAAATTGTAGTTTTCAGAGGAAAACATAGTTTTCTTTGAGGTGACTCTTTTGAGTGTGGTAGGCAGGATAACGGCCCCAAAGATGTCCACATCCTAATCCCCAGGACCTGTGAATAGGTTACCTTCCATGCCAGAACGACTTTTGCAGGTGTGATTAAGCTAAGGATCTTGAGATGAGAAGATGATCCTCGATTATCCGGGTGGCAGTGATGTAATCACAGGGTCCCCTGTGAGAGGGAAGCAGGAGAGGCAAGTTAGGGTCAGAGGAGGAGGAGGAGGAGGCCTGAGTGATGTGGACCCCTGAGCCAAGGAATGTGGGCAGCCTCCAGGTAATGGAACAGGCAGGGAGCCTAGACCGTCTGGAATAATGCAGCCCCGCCGGCCTATTGCAGACTTCTGACTTCCAGAACTGTAAGGTAATAAACAGTGTCTGTTTTTTTAAGCCACTCAGTTTGGGCTGTTTGTTGCAGCAGCAACAGGGAACTAATAGACACTGAAGAATGGATTCAGTCACTCATTGACTCAGTACTGCGTGTCTGCTCTGCCAGGCACACTGCCCGGCCCAGCTGGACCTTGCCTCCTAGACAGAGAGACAGAAAGAGTTTTAGAGAGTACTGCGTGCTGCCATGAGAATAGAATTGTCACGCAGTAGAAAACGATGGGGCAAGGAGGTGCAGAGGGGCCTCGTTTTGATGGGGCATGAGTCTAAGAAGGCCCCTCTGAGGAGGTGACATTTAAGCTGGAACGTGAATGTAAAAAAGGAAGTGGCCATTGTGAGCTCTGGAAGCCAAGGGTTCCAGGCAGGGGACACTGTGAGTGCTGAAGATGCAGAGGGACTCATGCTGTGACAGGAGGCAAAAGGATGCAGGACTCCCCTCCTCCACGGCCCTCCCCACCTTGATTTAAAGGAGGAGGCTGTGGTGGCTCAGGTTTTCTTATCCCCCTAGTGGGAAAACCTCAGGAGAATCTTTTCATACCTTGATCTTGCCCAAGAGAGTTGAGGGTATGCGTGGGAGGCATCCTTTCTCATGGGCATTTTGTCTGCGACTCTTGACATCCGTTTGCTGTGCCCAGTCATCGCCCGTCCTCTGCCCCAGCACTCTGATGGCAGTGTTCTGAGAGCAGAGGAGCCTTGACTCCCAAATCTGTTAAGTGATACTGTGTCAGAGCTGAGAACTTTCTACTTTTGTCATCAAATTCTAAATTGGCTTTGTCATCTGGAGTGGAGCAGCCTTCCTGCGCACAGTCCCTGGCAGGAGCAGCAGCAGAAGGTCGAGGGCCAGCCCTTCTGGGTCCAGACAAGCTGTCCCATACCCTGCCCTGGCCCAGGTCTGTGCACGAGGAGGAGGAGAATGTTTCTGTTGCTGGCTTCTTATGAATAAGCACTGAAGGCTCAGGATCACCGTCCACTGTGTGTTCCCTCATAGCCCTTGCAGTCTAATTGTTGATGTGGATTTTAGAGAACATTTATTCCCGTCACCTGGTTTTACCAGCAAAAAGGTGGAGGCCCTGAATGGGGATATGGCCAAAGTATGTGAAGAGCTTTCAGAACCCCTACCCCTGCTCCCCGAGGACAAGGAGGATCGTAGACCTAGGAAACTGCGGTGGGAATGCTGAGTCTTATCTTTTGTAAGGATATCTCCTACATCTTTTTATTTCTTTATTTTTATTTATTATTATTATTATTATTATTATTATTTATTTTTGAGACGGAGTCTTGCTCTGTCACCCAGGCTGGAGTGCAGTGGCGCGATCTTGGCTCACCGCAACCTCCGCCTCTCCAGTTCAAGTGATTCTCCTGCCTCAGACTCTCGAGCAGCTGGGATTACAGGTGCATGCCATCACGCCTGGCTAATTTTTGTATTTTTAGTAGAAACGAGGTTTCGCCATGTTGGTCAGGCTTGTCTCGAACTCCTGACCTCAGGTGACCCACCCGCCTCAACCTCCCAAAGTGCTGGGATTACAGGCGTGAGCCACCGCGCCCGGCCTCCTACATCTTTTTTAAAATGCACTTCCCTTATCCGTCTGTGAATGCTTTTGAGTTGCTTTTGTATAAAATCAAGGGCATGTTTTCTGAATGGTCTCTATTTTTAATTAAGTACTGATTTTTTAAGCCCCCAAATGTCGTGTCTCCCAGAATTAGAAGTATAAATGACCTTCAGGGACCCTCTTTCAACTCTGCCAGATAGTCTAGGCTCCTAGAACCCTGGAAAGGTGTTTGGAGATACATGCAAAGTCGGTGTGCCATGGTAATTATATGTGAAGTGGGTTATTTTGGTTTTTGTTTATTTAATGAATAGAATAACGTAGTTACACTTAGTAATACTCATTCACCCAAAGGAAGGGGGGCTGTTAAATCATTGTGTTTTTTGATGAATGGCTTGTACACTGAAAAATAAATTGGACAAACTGGCATAGAGCTCAGTGAACATGAAATCAGCTATTAGAAGAAAGCTTGTGAACAAATTCTGAGGCAGATATGCATCTTTTGATTAATGCCCTATCAATCATCCACACAGCTACCTTAGCTAAGTCTTGCCATAATCATTCATGCTTGCTTTTGGAAACACTGGCAGTAACTATAACGCTGCAGAAACGGAATATTATTACTGATTTCTCCCTAACTTACTGTGAACAATGACTGTTTTCACCACGTTTCTGCTTTCCTTTATTAAGGAAATACAATGTAGAATGAAAGGAGAGTTTCTCAAAGCCTGGTGAAATTCTCCTAGGGTATTCTTAATGATATTCAGTCTTAAATGGGCAAGCTATTGTAATGTAAGGTTCTCTGCAGGAATGATAGTAATGTAATCCCATTGAAGCTGCCTGTTATGGATTGTAGTCAAATAGGCAAAATGTAGAGTCACATTAATGAACAGAGTATATCTTTGGAATTATTACTTAAAGTTGTTGAAATGGTTTGAATTTTGCTATTGTAATTATTTTATTCTCCTTTAATGCGCTTAATAGCCATAGTAATTAACCCACCAGATTGGAAATTTGCATGAGTTCTAACTTTGACATTACAAGAAACCCTGATTCTTTCTGGGTATTACACAGCAGGACAGGGAGAAATACATACATATATATATATAAATATTTTTTTCACTGATTATTTTTTTAAAAAGAAATTTCCATGAATGCAATTATTAGTTTTTCATGCATTTTTAAGCCATTGGCAAATTCCTTAAGAACACTCCATTCTTTTAAGAGGATTTGATTCCAGAACCACACTGGCACAAAGAATGATTTGGCATTGCCTGCTAGTCGAGAAATCTTTAGGTATTATCACTGCTTCCTCAGGACTTACTGTAGCCTGGGAAATAGTGTGGCATAATAAAGTGGTGACAGTCATTAGCATGCATAATGGGCTTTAATAGACATTAAATGCTGTTTAGCTAGAAGAGGGAGCAGTGCTCTCCCACTGGAATATTCCTCCATCGAAGCCCATTGATCACTGATTTCAGCGGGGAGAGGTTAATCCATCAGCTTCTGTAACCAGACGGCACTGATGGAAATTCTTTAGGTGGCATTCTGGATGAACCAAGCTTTCCATCTTTACAAACAAATGAGTGATATGACAAGCATGGTGTTCAAAACACATTTAACCAATTGATTTTCTTTCCTCTTGTAATAAGATCTGGAGACATATGAAAGCGTGCAGTGTGAGCTAAGATTAAAGGAATTGCTCCATGCACAGGAACATACGGAACTAAGAGCCAATAAAAGTCCTATAAAGCATGTAGTCACCCATTCTCTTTTTATATAAAGTTTGTTATTGCAATAAATAGTTATTATTGAACTGATGCCTTTTATTTCCGTTTTTGCAGAATCTTGTTTTAGGTCTGCGTGTATGTGTGCACACACATGTGTGTCTCATCTCAGTGTTCATCTTTCTCTTAGAAGTTTTCAAGATGCTTGGCAATAATCCTACCTTCTCATTTAAACAAATTTGATTTGGGATGGTAAAATTATAGATAGAAAGCTGCAGATCTTGTGTACTTGTCTGAGCTCAGCGTTTAAGTGATGATCGTCTTTTTTTATCTCCCCCGTGCAGCCCTGCCTTGAGCTTCACCTACTCTTCCGCGCCCGTCTCTCTCCACATGCATCAGCAGATCCTAAGCCGACAACAGAGCTTAGGTTCAGCCTTTGGACACAGCCCTCCACTCATCCACCCTGCCCCAACTTTTCCAACACAGAGGCCTATTCCAGGGATCCCTACGGTTCTGAACCCCGTCCAGGTCAGCTCCGGCCCTTCTGAGTCCTCACAGGTGAGAGGGACAGGTCGATGCACCCGGCCGTGCTGGTCAGCCGAGGGTGGGGGCAGGCCACCACGTCAGCTGTTAATCAACACGGCACCTCTGTGTTCTCACAGCCTCTGTACTAGCATCCTGTCTTCTTAATGCTGAGGTCTAGTCTTCAGTTTTGGTGGACGTGTTGTGTAAATGCTTCTCATCAAACAGTTTTTTCCCCCAGGGTCATTTTCCCATGGGCATAGCAGCAGGCTGCTTGATAAGGCTTCACTGTGACCTGGTGCCATCTGTAACCTGCATCCCATGTCAGTGCAGCATGTGGATGCATTGCTCTCATTTGGTCACTGTTCACTCCCTCCGCTAGAACCACAGTTGCGACTTACCACCAGGTGGTACTTTAGAGTAAGACTAAAACTGTGCTTTGCCCTGCGTTAACTGTTGCCACTTTGATATTGTTTGGAGAAGAATCTGGTTGCTCTAATTAAAGAACTTCACAAATGGAACGTGTTGGTCTTCTACCCTCCTCACAACTTTGTTCTTTTGAAATACCCTGTTGGAGCTTGTTAAAGCCTAGGGCCTCAGCTCCATTCTTCTAGCTTTTAAAAGCCATAGGGAGTTTATACTCACGAGTTAAAAATGAAGAGCTGCCGCATGAACGTATTTTCTAGCTTTGAACATACTATCTGAACTCTGCTTACACTGGGATTGGAGAATTATCAGAGTCATTGCTTTATAGCCAAATAAGACCGCTTGTCCCGAGTTGGCAAGGTTTTAATTATGGTACTGCTCCTTGTTGATGAAAATCTTTTTGTCTCTGGCTCTGCAAATGTGACCAGCAGAACAAGCCCACGAGTGAGTCTGCAGTGAGCAGCACTGGTGACCCGATGCACAACAAGAGGTCCAAGATCAAACCCGATGAAGACCTCCCCAGCCCAGGGGCTCGGGGGCAGCAGGTAGGACACCGAGGCCGCACAGGCCAGCGCCCACTCCTCCCAAGACTGGTGTCTTTGGGTCAGCTCCCGCTTCCTCCCCAGACCTGGTGTCTTTTTCACGGCAGTTCCTTGTCCACTGCATTGTTGACCTTGGCCGTACTCTACATGTTGTACAAAAGGCTAGATATGGAGTGACTAAATCATTTTTCTAGCTCAGAAGCAAACACAGGCAGTGCAGGAAGCCATGCGGGACATACCTTCTTGATAGTTTAGGCAGCTTGGGAGTATTGGCAACTGTAGTTCGTAGAGGAAATGGTTGCATTAATTTGTTGCTGGCCACAGGTGCGACCAGGCCTCAGTCCTCATCTGTGATTTTGGGCCTGAATTATTGAGCTCCTGGACCCAAGCCTGAGCTGTGGCGGATCTACTGATGGCTCCTATATCATTTTTTCTTATTTTGCTACTTCCCACTTTCTAGGAGAGCCTGGCGAACCAGAAGGGATGAAAACATAACTAACCTAAGGCTAGTTGGATTCTGGCACTCAGCCTAAAATTCTGAAAGGAAGAGTGTAGGATTTCAATCCGGACTCCGCCTCTAGTCACTTAAATTCTCTGGGCCTCAGTTTAAGGATGTGTAGGTTATACCCATAATATCATCTCATAGGGCTCTCAGCCTGATGCAGGAAGGAGCTCTATGAATGCTAATTCCCCACCATAGAGATTGGACAAGAGTCCAGATGTCCACAGAATCTGGACCTTGCTGTCATCAGGCTGCTTCAGCCCAAACCTCAGACTGCTTGCCCAAATTTCCTTTTCAGCAAGAACGTGGAGGCTGGAGTAAATTGTGTCACGGGCTCTGAAATGGATCTTTCCTCTTGCATATCGCCAGACAGCAACAACCTTGCTGGTTACACTTCAATGCCTGCATATGGCTTTTATCATCTAGCCCTGGATTGGGACCTGAATCTACACAAGATGAATTCTCAAAATGACTTGTATTGGCATTGCTGTGAAGCTGCCACAGGGGTTTAGGAAGGACTGTGCCCCTGAGCTTTGATGCTGTGGCCCCTGGGCCCTGGGTAGTGAGCATATCCTTAGAGATCAGAGGTTGAATCGAGAGGGCATTATCCCTATAAAGTCTACAAAAGTGTCTCACACAGTCTCCAACAGCAGCGAAAACAGCATTAGAAGTACTAGTAAACCATTTCCCTGGATTACAAAATATAAGAATAAACAAAGTAACAGACCAAAAATAATTAAAACAACTAAACAAAATAGAAGTACCAATCTTTTGGGTAAAGACCTGATTTGATTTATTCTCTTATGAGCTTTGTTTTGTTTTTTGTTTGTTTGTTTTACGTTTTGTTTTGGGTTTTTTTTTAGATGACATTTGGGTTTATTTTCAGCTTTGTAATCAGGGCAGCAAAGTTTGACCTCAACTTTTAATTCATAATTTTGACAGGCTGTTGCCTTGAATCAGACGTTTAAAACTCTCAGAGTGTATTTGGTAAATCTGAAAATATGCACAGATATGATTTTATTGTTTGACTTCTTCACTTCACAAAACCCTAGACCCAAATCTAAATTGGGTTTTTACTTTCTCTTCTTGTCTTCCCTCCTGTTGTGTCTGATTCTTCCCCCTTCTCTGTTCCCTGCCCCCCACCCTCTTCTTTCAGGAACAGCCCGAAGGAACAACCCTTGTCAAGGAGGAAGGGGACAAAGATGAAAGCAAACAGGAGCCTGAAGTCATCTATGAGACAAACTGCCACTGGGAAGGCTGCGCGAGGGAGTTCGACACCCAAGAGCAGCTTGTGCACGTAAGTGGATGGTATTCAGGAACCGAGCTTTACAGCTCTGTGACACTTTCCAGGGAGGTCAGCCTCTCTGACCCTGAGCTGAGTCAAGTTTCTTAGGAGCCGCATTGCGAACTGGAGAGGGCTTTATGACTTTCTGAGAATAAAGAAAACTCGGAGCCACGGTGCTTGACCTGTTCAGTCAGCTAAAGCTGAGTGTAAAATTCAATAAAGTCTTCAATAGAGAGTGTAATGACTCTGATCCTGTAAGCCAGAAAACACTATTTTGAGTTAGCGACTTTGATGGTTATTGAGTAATAGTAAGCTGGACATGAATTATGATTAACCTTTTAAACAAGTTTGATTCCCCTTCCAAGACCCGGTAACAATGGAAAAAATGTGGAGATGAGGGATTTCTTTTTTCCTCTCCCAAACTCTCAAAGCCTAAGGAAGCTCCCGTTCTTTTAAGCTGCAGTTAGTACTCTATATGAGCTAGGTAGCATAATTTCTTGGTTTGAGGCCAGCCCTTGTGGGGTTAGTAGTTTCATGGAAAAAGTTGTAAGTGTTTTTAAATGTATTTAGTGATGGATGTTTTGGAAACTGCAGCATGGTCAGATTGAGAACCACACCTCCTCTCCCAAACCAGGTTCAGAAATTTTTACACACTCTCCTGCATATCATTTCAAAAAATGCAGTGTGCACAAAGCCTTCTCCCCACCCCATGCCTGATTTGTGATACCCCCTTCCCAGTGCTTCACTGTTCTTGGCACTTTCTTGAAGGCCAGTGGAGTTTTCCCTGGAAAATGGGACCAGGATTGGCTGACGTGGAGGGCATTTAGATGATCGAGAATAAAAAGATGCAGGTGCTACAACTCCTGGCAGAAGCACAGGGTCTTGTTGAGGCATTAAGTGTGGCAGTTTTTTAAACTTTTAATATGAAAAATTGGACAAAGTAGCATTTGTTGCGATTCCCCTCCTCCTGCTCTCTCTCTTTTTCTCTTTCTCTCTCCACTTTCTCTTTCGTGGTACATTCTTTTTTTTACAGTAACTGTATTTTTAGGCAATTCATGTTTCTTGATAACCCTCCTCCATTTAGATTAAACACTAAAATTATGAAGTCCCTCTTACATCCCACACGTTTCATAGGCAGTGTGAACTTTTAATGTGTGTCTCTTGCAACTCGGCGCATCCCATGTAATGTATTCCACGCATTGCAGTTACATTATAGTGTTAAGCACGCAGGTTGCCAGATTTTGAGCTCTGTTCTATACAGAATGTTTTGAGGATTTTACATGACATCGCCAGGGTCCCTCCCCTCCATTTCTTTTTAAATCATGTCTCCTGGTAATTGTATGGGAAGAATTATAGATTTCTGAGCACAGAAAAAAAAAGTCAAATGTTTTTAATTAAGGTATATTTCCAGAATTTTTCCATGAACTTAATTCGATTCTTTCTCTTTAATTTAATGCAAGTGTTATTTTGAAGCCAAGCCTGACTTAATGGCCGTTTATTCTTGCTGACTGTTTTAATGGAAATCACAAAAACATTGGAATATCAAAGGGGAAAAGTTTGGAATTTTTGTTTTATTATGGGGAAATACTCCCAAAGAGTAGCATATGCTATGTGTATCCTTAGTGATATAACGAATGACCAACAAACATGAAGAGAATTGTTTGTGTAAAAGCTGCCATTATAGAACAGATGTTGGCAGGGTGTCTTGGTTTTTAAAATATCCTGAAGGTGACAGTCTCATGGTGCCGTTTTGGAGGATAAGTCATTGTAGTTTGCAAGGAATGTTGGATACTGGTTCAGTCATTACCAAATCAGGAATGAAATAAGAGCTTATTCTAAGTCTACATTTAAAATGAATTGTGCTCCTCATAAGAGGCAGGGTTTGAAGTAATATTTTTTGGAGTGCGGTAGTAGCTTAACCCTTTCACAACCTAAATACAGTAATGTGAAAGCTTTTAAAAGATGGTGAAATTGCAGGTATTTGAATTTAATTTCAGTGGCCGATGGTCTCGATGTTTTAATAGAGAGATCTGAGTAGTTTTAAAGGAAGGCTGCTTAAAACTACCAACTAAATGACCACCATATTGTCTGTTTTATCGAAATGGTCTTTAAAAAATATGAATGCGCACATATACAGTGGACTATTTTAATTTCAGATTAACCAGAAGAAATTCATGTCAGGATTAGAAGAAAATCTAATATCTTACCTTTATGATATTAATTTTAGTCTGAGATAAATTATATGAGTAAATAAACTTAATTAAATGAATTAAGAATTATAATTTACAACAACATAAATAAGAATACTAGTTTATGTCACTTATTTTCCACCTTTTTACTTACTGTCTGAGGTGCAGGAACCCCAAGTTTGCATGTTTAAATTGATTCTACATTGCATGACATGCGTGTACTTTCTTACCCATGAGTATATCTGGCAGCAGTAATGGTGGCCTGTTATAGAATAGGTAGGTGCTTTGTATTATGTTGATTGAAGGAATAGCTACTTCAAGTCCACCTAATTACTTTGGTGGTAGAATAAATACCAGTTGCAAAAACTACTTTTTTTTTTTTTTTTTTTTTTTTTTTTTTTGAGACGGAGTCTCGCTCTGTCGCCCAGGCTGGAGTGCAGTGGCGCGATCTCGGCTCACTGCAAGCTCCGCCTCCCAGGTTCACGCCATTCTCCTGCCTCAGCCTCCCGAGTAGCTGGGACTACAGGCGCCCGCTACCACGCCCGGCTAATTTTTTGTATTTTTAGTAGAGACGGGGTTTCACCGTGTTAGCCAGGAAAAAACTACTTTTTTACAGAGGGAAGCATTAACAGTTTCCATTCCTGTGACTTTCCTTGGAGAGAGGACATTTTGTGAATTAGTTGAATTTTCATGCCACATACAACCAAGAGGCAAGGTGTTAAACCATTCTGATGCTCTGCCTTATTTATAGCCGTGACCCATTCTTTTTCCCCCTCTTACAGTTAATAGAAAGATTCATGATTCTTCATGGTTGTCTATCTAGTGTCTGACAGTCCCGACTGCCTGCTAAAGCAAGTCACTATCTATAATTGATATCCTTCCGGGGAATAGGGTGCTGGCTGCAATTGAAGGGCTTTGCTGAAAGCTCTTAAATCCTGACAAGTTCTCCCCTTGTTCTGGTTCAGTCGTTGAGCTGCACGGTTGGAATTCCAGAGTTATTTGAACTTGAGACATGTGTTTCACATTAGCAAATCACAATTTGATTTGAAGAAGAGAATTAGAAACTTGGCTGACTTTGCCCGCCAGGTAGTCTGATTTCCACTGTAATGCACTCCATGTACTCTTGAAAAGATTACCTCGTTCATTACTATCTGAACAGATGGGCTAAACATTCGCCTTTCCTTTCTCTTCTCCTTTATTTCAAGCCCCTCTTCTTCACCAATTATGTGTTTATTCTAGGTTTGCTGCTGGGTCTTTATCACAGGGATGTTTAATTAATTTCTCTTTCCAGCAGTATAATTACAACTGGGCTTAGTTACTCTCAAGCTAGTATTAAATTTGTCATAAATTTACTTCTGTGACCAGAAGCTAAGAAGATAGGTGTGTATTTTTGTTAGCTTTGTTCTTGTACTTCATCCCTTTCTTGGTGTCGGTTAAAACTGAAGGAAACAAAAAAGCAAGAGGAGTATATAGAAAGAAAATTAATTCCAAGTACATTGAAGACTGAATTTATTATTGATTTGCCAAGATGCAAGTATTTTCTCTTGCCATTTGAAAGGCACACATTCTAACATCTCAAAATGAGTTGAAAGTCCATATTTTTCTTCAATTTTAAATTAACCAGACCTTTTTTTTTGTTGAGCATTATATTATAAAAGACGTGAATCATAACTTCAAATGTGTTTCTGAGAGTTGTAGTGTATCCACTCTCAAAGTGTCGTTTGGTTTTGCTTTCTGTTTATGCTATTTGGTTTGTGCTGATGTTATTTGGTTTAGCTTATGTTTATTATGTAAAACAGCTCAGCCCAACTTCTTCCAAGGAGGAAGGATGCTTTCTGTCTACACGGAGATCCATTTCCCTCATGTTTTAATTTTGTCCGAGAAGTAAGTTCCATCTTTGGGTCTTTGATGTTTGAGGTGTCTGAAATATGCACAGCCTGCAGCACACGTTAGTCTCAGGTTCTCTGAAACCTGCACACTTTGGTTGTGCATGACATTGTATATACCAACTATGTTTTGAGAGGCTTTCTAAGAGGAGGAATAGGAATAAACATAAAGAACTTCCATCTCAGTGTGGAGTCATTACTGCTGAGTGGCTGGTTATGCTTGAAAACATCAGTGCTGAGATCGAAAGAATAATAGTATCATCACCATACTTCATGTCCACCTGTTTGCTGTAACTCTGCAACTCTTCACCCTCAATTTCAACAATCCAACCCCGTATTTCTGTGTAAGAAATAACACATGTAATATTATCCCCAAGGGTCTTTAAAAAGTCAAATGATTTTAAAAGTTTTATTCCCCAGCCCAATCCCCAGCAGCATAACCCTGCAGGGCCCTTGGCAATCGCACTGGGGGATGTTGTCTTCTACCTGTGGGGCAGAACCGCAGAGAAAGTGAGATGTATTTCTGTTAGCACCCAGCTTCAACTGGGTGGCGTTCAAGTCTCTGTAATCCTCCATTTGTCTCCGTGAAGCATTGTGTCAAAAATTCATCTTTTTGTAGAGTGATTAACCACCTACTTGGATTTTAAAATGCTTTCATATGCTGCGAATTTTGATCTCTAAAAGCATGCTGAAGTTTCCTTTATCAGAAGAACACAGTCATAATCACCTTTGCTGCCATTTGGAAACAAATTCTATACATCAGCAGCATGAAAATGAGGGGCTTTCTTTTTAATATAGAGATTTAGATATAAAGAAAACACATCTAATTTGTGAAGAATTGATGTGTCTGTAGAAACGCAAGGAAGAGTTAGGATGTGAAGACATTCTTTTCACATTAATACCGTGATCCTAAATTTGCATTTTAAATGTTTCCCATATAATTTCGATCCCTTTGCTAAAGTTGCATTGTCTATCCTTACCTAAGAGAAAATTGAGTTTAAGATGCGATAGGGGTCTCAGATATGAGGCAGAAATTAGTTTTGTGTGCACATAAAACATAAAACAAATGAGTGGAGATTTTGATCTTATTTTCCCTACATGGAGTTGCTAGTTAATTCGGTTACTCTAATTATTTGGAAACACGGCATATAAAATATAGACTAAGAACTACAAACTTCAAAGCCATCTTTTGACAATTTTGCCTTAAGGGTCACGTTCTCTTTAAAGTTGCTGACTAAATTGCACCTGCAGAAATTGTTCCCATAAAGAGACACTCAGGAGATCAGATTGATTGCGAGGGTGTGTGAGGGCTGTGTGGTCCACCGGCCAGAGCCCCCCAGGCCCAGCTAGGATTCTGAGTGGCAGCCCCATCTCTGCCCTGACTCTTGGGATGACCTCCTTAGAACCATTTGACCCCTTAGAACGTTATTTTCTCACTTATCATACTGTGAAACAGCCATGAAAATAAACGCTGTCCCCAACGTCCAAGGCCAAGCACAGATCACATGCAGTAGGTCTAATGAGAAACAGACAGAGGGTCTCGAAGAGGTCACTCAGTCTCTCATTGTTTTATGTGTGTGTTTCGCTGGGTTGAGTGGGGGAGGAGAATGCGGTGGCACTGTCGGTTTCTGTGGCTTATTTTATATTAATTGTTGCTAAACTGGGATGTACGCTAGACTGAAGCCAAGAGACTTCCTTTTTCTTCCGCATTGTGTGTCTGCTGAATAAGACCTGGCCTTGCCTCGTTCAACCTTGGTTTCAGTCAAAGAAAGCAAAAAGTTTGAATTGGATAGTCCTTAGGACAGGGATGGTAAACAGATTCTCCCTCAAGTGCGAGCTAGCTGGCTGGCAGCCACCAGGAGTACTGTGCAGAGTCCCCCTCCCCTTTCAGCCTGGGAGGGAGTTTGGGGTGGGCTGGGAGTGGCGGGGGGCTGTGAACAGTTATGGGTGACTGCCCCCAGGTGGAGTTTAAGAGGCGGCCATGTATTAGTTACTTTCTTAATTCATTCATCCGTTGTATACTCCCTGAAATATTTCATCAAAATCTTCCTCCGAGTAACTGTTTCTGACATCTGGGGAACATTTTCCTATTGAAAGCTTTTTAGCTGGTTCTCAATGATACTTTAGGTGAGATTCTAGATTCTGCCAATAGTTAGTGCCCTGGAATATTCTGTATGGATCCACTCCAGACAAGTGGGAATGGTGGTCACTTTGGGCTGGGCTGCATACCTCATTTGAATATGCTTGCCTATAGCAGATGTTGCTGGCATAATGTATTCTCCTGTTTATTAGGAAAAGTACAAGCCAACATTAGTGGATCAGCCATTTGCTCAACAGCTCTTGATGAGATGTGCAGAGCCCTGGCAGGTGCTACATGGGCTGGGGACAGCCCATGTGGTACCCACAGCCCCAGCTTTGTGGTGGACACATGATTTACACCCTCAAAGACTGGACAGTCTGACTGGGAGGAGGAGATAAGGAAACATAAAAGCATAGTGAACAACAAGAGGTGAAACATAAAGAAGCCATAATTGTGTATTGCGACTCTATGGGCTGAGAGAGGGAGGAGTACAGAGGAATACTGGAAAAGACTCCTAGGAAACAGGTGGAAAATATGGTTAGGGTCAAAGTAAATCATGCAGGTAAACTTTTGAGGCCTGATGAAATGATGATGGTGGTGATGATGATGATGATGATGATGGTGGTGATGATGATGATTTGAGAAGAATTAGCACCTGATTTGAAGGAATAATTTTGTTTCCCATCATTACCCAGTGGCAGTACAGTGTGAATGTGTTTCAAAGCAGACAGACCTGGGTTCACGGCCTGCTCTGCTCCCAAGGAAAATAGTGACTTTTACCACATAAAACGGTGAGGGAATTAGCTAAAAAAGTTATACTCAATAAAATGTTAGTGATTCTGCTTACGAGAGAAAAATGTCAAGATATTTAGAGGCTGCTGTGTCCATGCATGTCACGTATAAAAGCAGGGGTTAGGTTAATATTCAGGCAGTGTTGGGGTTGGTATGTCAGCATGAAATTAGTAATTGCAGAAAGATGTCGATAGGCCCCCAGTTCATGAAACACTGCAAGAGAAGAACTGGAGCGGCGCTCTGGGTTCATTTCTTCCATTGCAGGTTCTTCCTTGTGCTTTTCTGCAGTGCGGAGATTCCATCTCTCCTGTTCATGTGTCCTGACATCCTTCTGGAAATTTTCTTCGGTGGTTACACCAAACCAAGGTTTCTCCACTGTAGCACATAAGGGCAGATCATTCTCTGGCGTTGGGGGTTGTCCTGGGCATTGTAGGGTGTTAAGCAGCATCCCAGGCCTCTCCCCATGAGATGCCAGTTCTTTATAGTGGGAGGCTGTCCTGCGCATTCCCTCCCTCGTCATGACAACCAAAACTGTTTCCAGACATTGTCAGATGTCCCTGGGAGACAGTATTGCCCCCAGTTCTGCCCTAAATATTTCCTCTTGTCGCGTAGTGTGGAGAAAGAAAAACACACGTAAGAAAAACAAAAAAAAATTGTGATTAAAGAAAAAGTTTCTCCTGTTTAAATGTTCTTTAGAATGTTCAGATTAGAAATAAGAGATGATCTCATTAAAATGTCTCTAGTAAGAAGCTACTTAAATATACCTATGTGTGGGGGGGTGGGTGTGTGTGTGTGCGTGTGTAAACTGGCAGAGCTTAATTTAAAAACCACATTTGCTAAGGTTAGGCACACAGTAGTTCTCAGTAAGGCCCATAACCAGCCAAGCCCGTTTTCTTGGTGGAGAAACTCCATCACTATTTTTTTTTTCAGGCCTAGGGAAGTCACACAGACTCCAACTTCTGAGATCATAGCAAGCAGAGTTGGAGATCAGGCTCCTGCTTTGACATAAAACAGAGCTCCGGGAACAGAAAGCAGTTTTCTAATGCGAGGACTTTTTTTTTAAGATTTGGGGATATTTAGGCTTCTCTGGGATTAGCCAAATACTACCATGGAGGCATTTTTATTTTTTCTAGAACAATTAATGTTGCAAGAGAAGAGAACTGTAAATGGGATATCCTCAGGAGACAATGTGTAAGCCAAGGCCTTAAACTTAAACCAACTCCACCCGACCCCACCCAGTTACCAGTAAAACCAGCATTAATCAGTGAGTGGGGGATGGGAAGAACACCAGATAATGTGTTGGAGATCTGTCTTTCATTCCTACATCTGCCAGAAACTGTTTCTGAATTTAAGTAAGTCACCCTGCAGTAAATCCTCCGTGTCTCATCTGTAAAGTGGAGATAATAATATCCATTCTAGGTTCTTCACTGGGTTTTTTAATTTGTTTTTTGTTTATGAGGATAGAATGAGATCCTATAATGGAAGTACTTTGTAAACTCAAAAGCTTTATTCAAACATAAGGAAAAATCCATAGCAAGTAGTACTAATAAACTCACTCAACTGAAGAATGGAGAGATTAAGTGCACTTTTATGAACATTTAAAAATAGTCATAAGTATACCATTGATTTCAGTTGCACAGGCTCGCCTATGCAGGCTGCTGTTCATCTTACCTGTTTACTCATCTGCTGTTGATCCATCGTCACCACCTGGTGGCCACTACAGAAATTGCAGGCATAGCAGCTAGAAGAAAACGCTTCATGCATGTCCGATCTAGGGTGCTGGGGTTGGGGGCTATCCCTTTGAGTAAGGGGAGCATACAGGGCAGGCTGTTATGAGTACTATCGATGTACAAGCAGGACAGTGGGAAAATGAGTAAGGTGAAGGCACAGAAGAAGGAATGAAAGATACATCTCATGGAGATTGGATATGAGCATGGTATGGAATAAACTGGTGGATGTAAACACAGAAAGACCATTGCAGAAAGGCATTGGGGATTCTATGTGGAGAAGACAGCAGGAAGAAGTTAAAGGGTACAGAAAGTATGGGAAAATTTTATCTATGATTATAGCTAATATAATAAAAGACTGAGGTTTTTGGCATCTCTTTGAATTAGAAATATAATTACAAATGATTTGTTTTATGCTTTTTGGTTGAAGAGTGGTATGATAAGTAATGCAGTTAGAGCAGAACCAAAGTATGTCCGGAAGGCAGAAGGGTAGTGGGTAGTAAGATTAAAGAGCCGAGTAGCACCATGTCATGGGAGATGTGATTGCTAGACTAGGAGTCTGACTTTTATTCCAGGTGGAGTAAGGATAATTAAATGCTTTTGATGAGAGGAATGGCTTGAGCCAGCATCAGCTTTAGAAAGATGGGGCTGAGCCTTGCAAAACCTGGCAAGTTGCAAGTACAGTGTATTAAAGAGGGCAAGGTTAGACTGGGGTAGGGCCAGAAGTGAGACTCTGCAGTGGAAGTTATTTGAAATTATTTTTTAAAATTTGGGAGGATAGTTTGGAGATGTTTTACGAGTACAGTTTGAGCAGCTGATGTGGATGTTCTGCATGATATCCAGAGAGAAGTCAGAAGCTTCAGGGCTGCTGGCTGAGTGCTGGGAGGAGACGTTACCCATGGAACCTCTGTGTCTTGCCTGTGTGGCATCAGGCTCTTTACCAAAGGGTACTAAGATTCTGCTATCTTTCTTTAAAACAGGATTATCAGGGTCGTTGGGATAATTATCTCTGATAGTTTATGGGAGATACCTACTACAGTGCTAGTCAAGTTTTTAGAGCCAGTTAGCTTTTATTGTGATTGTTATCATTTTTCCTTTGTCATTATTTTGCTTTGTGCAAAATAAGATGTGCCAGGCCAAGCGAGTGGCACATGCCTATAATCCCAGCACTTTGGGAGGCCGTGGTGGGAGAATCACTTGAACTTAGGAGTTCAAGACCATCCTGGGCAACATAGCAAGACCCTATCTCTACAAAATAACAATAATAATACTAATTTAGCCGAACATGGTGAGGCACACCTGTAGTCCCAGCTACTTGAGAGGCTGAGGTGGCTGCAATGAGCTATGATTGCACCACTGTACTCCAGCCTGGGCAACAGAGTGAGACTGTCTCAAAAAAAAAAAATAAGGTGTGTCTTATTTTCTAGTTATGAATATATAATCCTGTGGCACACAGGCATCACCTGGCAAATAGTTCCATACATCTACAGTGGCCACTTTTCTTCCAATCAGGGCAGGATTGTTTTGGACGAATACAGAGAATGAATATTCAAAGCATTAGGTCTGGTGGGCTTAGACAAATAAAATAGACAGGTAGGTCAACCACATTTTATTTCTAAGTGGTGATTCAGATGAATGGGATGTAGTTCCTGATCTGTTTGGCAGGAATGAAAATGTCTTTCTAATCAGGAAAACAAAACTGCACCAGCTGTCTTCTGTTAGATTCACAGGACTCTCTCCGGTCAACCATGTCTCTAACATAACCGGCCCAATCTTATCTCGGCTGCTCTACCTGCCTAAAGGGACATGGTGTTTCTTTAGGCTCTCCCTTGTGCTTCAGCACATGTGACCTGTCCCAAGGAGCTCTCTAGGACATGCGGGAGAGCCCAGTTTGTGAAGAGGAGGTCTTCCTGGTGGCCTTTCCTGGGGGCAGGGAGAGTTTGCACAGGTTCCTCTGGTGCAGTTTCTACCACAAGATAAAGCAGTCAAGCTGCAAGTGAAACACAGCCCTCACTGTATTCCTCCTCGTGTTTAGCAGAGATAAACTTCACTGGAATCTCAGTACTGAGCCATTTGGCTTCTGGCTGTAGCTTTAATTGATATAATGCAGATTTTTTTTTTCTTGATCAAGAGGGGATTATTCTTGTTATCAGTCCAGAGCATCTTATTTTAAGATGAAAAGCCTTTACGGAATTACAGATGCCAGCACTTGTACAAAGCTTTTTGGCGATTGACAACTCAAAGAGAAAGTATGATTTATTAGCCTATAATGGCTAACCCTGAGCAATGGTCTAGGTCCTACTGATTTGTGAAATTGCTTAACGTGAACTGCCTTTTTATGCTACACAAGCCCCAGGTTACTCAAGTAAATGTAGTGTCTGCATTACATGAAATGTTACAGGAGAGAGAAGAAGAAAAGGGAGGGGGGAGAGGAGCAAGGTGGATTCTAAAATCCATCTTGGTGGTGCCTTTTACAGTAGTTTGGCTGATAAGCCGGCAGAGGAAAGATTAATAACGAGGCTTGTCGCTATCAGTACCTGCTTGTCGATTCTCTGTAACAGGGCTGTCTGTTCAGCATGGAAATTATTGATTAAATAAAAATGGCTATTAGATTGTGACGTGATCCATAATCACAAACAATGGTGGACATTCCTCTCTTAGATCCTCGGCCATGCATCAAGTCGTTTCTTTTTTCCCCTGGCCGTAATTTATATTGCGCTGACACTTGGGCTCATTAGGTTTATCCTTTCTGCTCAGAGGCACGAGCGGTGAGGACCAGCAGGAAGTCGGGGAGGAAGAGAGGAGAGATGATGGCCCCGGCCAGGGATCTGGCCAGTGTACTCACTGGGCTAGCATAAACATGTTGCAGTAAAATACATATCACATAGCAGTTACCATTTTGTCCATTTTGAAGTTTGCAGTTCTGTGTGGCATTGAGCGCAGTCACAGTGTTGTGTAACCGCCAACACTGTCCACTTCCAGGACATTTTGATCACCCCACAAGGCAGCTCTGTATGCATGAAGCGGTTACCTCCCATTCCCCCTCCCCGCCAGCCCCTGAAAACCACCAACCTGCCTTCTGTCTCTATGGATTTGTTTATTCTGGATATTTCTTATAAATGAAATCATACAAAATGTGACCTTTTGTACGATGTCTGCCTTTTTTGCACTTACCATGTTTTCAAAGTTCATTGATGCTGTGGCAGGTATCAGTGCTTTGTTCTTTTTTATGGCTGAATAATATTCTCTTGGATGGCTGGCTATACCACACTTTGTTTATCCGTGCATCCGTTGATGGATATTTGAGTTTCTACTTTCTGGCTATTGTGTTACTATGAACATTCATTTACAAGTTCATGCTTGAACACCTGTTTTCAGTTCTTTTGGGTATATCCCTAGAAGTGGGATTGCTGGGCCATATGGTGATTCTCTTTGCTTTATTTCAGAAACTGCTAAAGCTATGGCAGGGTTTAAGCTGTAGGCTCTGCCTTTTTCAGGTGGTCTCACCTTTAACTTCATTCTGCTTCCCTCAGTACCACCCCTTCTTGCCTGAGTGCTGCCTAAGCTCCCCTGGGCTGGGGACTCAGTCTGGCTGTGGAGTGCTCTATGACACTGCTATCTGTGGGTACACAGGCATTACCCAGCAAATAACTCCATACATCTACAGTGGCCACATCTACAGTGGCCACATTTCCCCTAAACAAAGTGGGACTGAATAGTCAAAGCATTAGGCTAGGTGGACTCAGACAAATAAAATAGACTGGTAGATTGACCACATTTTATTTCTAAATGGTGATTCAGAGGAATGGGGTGTAGGTTCTGTTCTGTTCTGTAGGAATGAACATAATCCTCTTTTAGTAGCTGGTTTGTGTCCTCCTTCCTGGACATTATTGCTGTGGTCCCTCCTAGTTGTGGAATCTTAAAAATGACCTAACCAACTACAAGGAGGTCTAGCAAGGCTAAAAAACATATTGAAGGCCACTAAACTCATTAGTGAGTGGTTTGCTACTGATTAATCAGTTTCCTCATACACAAATCATATTGTTTTAATGGCTGCTTGGTGCATATAAGGAAGGTTTGGCCTTTAGATGTTCTTAACTATTAAATGTATGCATTTTATTATCTCACACTTCACCCCAACAAAGACAGTCCCCTTCCCCTGTCCACTTCAGTCAAGTTGCCTCAAGTTTGATATTTTCCCACATGTTTATGGCCAGTTAGATACCATTGAAAGCGAATATAACACTTCATCAGAAACTTCAGACTCTTTGATCAAAACACAGGTGAAAATCACATGCTCATCTATAACTGAATATTTCCACTCAGGCTGAAACCCATGAACTCATCCAGAAGAGGCATCTGTCTATTGATGTGGTCAGGTGTGCTATCGATTATCCTAAACTTAAAGCTGGAAGCAACACTTAGAAGAAGCATAACTTCTTAACTTGAACCTCCAAGCTCCCAGTGCACTCCCCTACCCAGCCCTGTGTTATTTACCGTCCCACTTTAAGCCGCAGCCTCACATGGAGAGAGGCAGAGATGAGGCTTCTCCAGAGGGAAACAGCTCTCAGGGCAGCCTCTGGAGCCTCGTGCAGGCACAGGAGCAGGTGCCCAGGAGCAGCTCCGAGTGTCAATCCTGGCTTCCCTGGGGGCCTTGTTGAATAGCAAGAGACTTTGGAGAAAGTGCTGCAAGTCAGTTGAGGATCATTCCAGAAAGCCACTGTAAGCATTCATGGATTATCTAAGAAAGAAAAGACCAAGTTTGAAGAATATAGATCTCAATGGAATTCTTTGATAAAGTTAGATACATACAAAAGATTGAAAGAAAGTAAATATGTGGAAATAAGAAAGAACTAGTGACATAGACTTACCTGAACATATCCAGTCCACTGGGGCTACTGTGGGTCCTGATGGCCACAGAGAGGATGCTGTGGGATCCAGGAACGGGGAGGCACATCCCTTGGAATGAATGGTTTACAATCAACGAATGGCAGTGAAAGCAAGCAGCTCACTTCCTCGTTTGCTCATCTTCTGTGTTGGTCCAAGTGAATGTTCATTTGTTCATTTTGTTATTTGTTTGGAACGAGAACTGAGAGGACAGTGATGACGCCGATGAGACCCGTTCTCCTGGGGCTTCCCATTGGGAACAGAGACAGCAGGAAAAGGAAGCATGCGTGCCCAGCTGACACAAGAGTAAGATCGTTGATTGGTAAGGGAGTCAGAGGCCAGTTGAGTGGCAACGTCAGGACTGCAATTCCTTACAAATGGCACGATGAACCAATATCAGAAATTTTTGATCAATTACAAAAAAAAAAAAAAAAAAAAGAACAATTTGCTGGGGGAGATAGAAAGTGGTGACTATCGTTCTGTACTTTCAAAGGGGACAAGAAAATGAATTCAGAAAGTTCCAAGGGTAGGGTCAAGTCAATTCTAGAGAAAACTCTATTTTTATTATCATAAACGTGTTGTCCTGTTATAAGATAAAATGGTGATCATTGATACCCTCTGGGTTCACTAAGAAAACTGTCACACTAGACCGGGCTGATATTTTCTTTCACAATATCATTAGACTGGTTGTTCAGGAAAATACAGTAAATATGATTGACGGGACTTCAGCAAAACCTTTAATAAGAAACTACGGCCAAGGCAGAGGAAGATGGTTGTGTTAAACAGCAGTTAGGAGATGTAGTTGTTGGGTGGATGATAAGGGCATGGCTTGGCATCAGTCAAGGGAGCTGTTTCTAGAATCGTGCTGCTGGGCTGGGCTCCCAGCCCTGGTCTGCATAACAATTTGGTGTACCTGTTTCCAGGATGAAGTTGTGGAGTGCAATTATCATCAGAGTTGTTTGTGAGGAATATTTATATCCAGTTAGTGACTGAATCAGGATCCTCAGAGATCTTGAAAAATAAAAAACATGAAATAGCTCTAAGGAGATTAAAAATTATGATAACAACATAGGACCTTTAATCAACTATAAGTTCACTATTACAAGACAAAGATAGTTTCCACCAAGCCTAGCTAATGTGATTCTCAACTATAGAAATAGAAGTATGTTATTAGAATTACACTCAAAGTATCTCTGGAAAAGAGCACCTTAGTCTGGCACTCCACTTTCTAAAGATACACTGATGTATAGGCATTGGATCAGGTAGAGAAAGAACCAGACTTGCCTCGTGTAGAGTGGTTGACAGAACCAGATAAGAAGGTGTGGTTTGCGCCTATAGTCCCAGCTACTTGGGAGGCTGAGGCTGGAGGATTACCTGAGCCTAGGAGTTCAAGGCTGCAGTGAGCACTTGTGAATAGCCACTATGCTCCAACCTGTGCAACATAGGGAGACCCCATCTCTGAAAAAATAAAGAAGAACCAAGGAAGAGAAGTTTTGCAAGTTGAAGGTGGGCAGAAAGTGCCAAGGGACATGATAACTGCTTTCAAATATTTGTTGGTGGTTGGCTGTCCTGTGGGAGCTGCATCCAGCTTGTCCTCAATGTATGGATCAAAGGTCCAATGCATGGAAACCATAGGGAGACAGATTTAGGCTTGGTATAAGGAAAACCGAATTGTCCTCTGAGACCCGTCCAAAATGTTTACCCAGGGGAAAGGGAGCTCCTGTACTGCAATGTGAGGTTGTTTAAATTGTACACCATGGGTGTGGGGTATTATAGAGGTAATACAGAGCATCCAGTGGGTTGCTGGACTAGATTTACTTAGTCCCACTCGAACCTGAGTGAAATTCTTTATACCGCAGAAGTTTCTTGCAAGCCAGTTACATGCCTATGTTTAAAGTAGGGACTCATTTTCATTTGTTCTCAACAAAGAACAATATCATCTCAGTTTTATAACACTCCAGCAGTTTTTCCTCTCCATCTAGGTCAAGACTTTTCCTTCTTTATTTTAATTTTTTTATTATAAAACATATTACTACTTAGTAAAACAAACTAGGCCGACATACTGTTTGAAAGGGTGAACCTCTGAGTTCCTCAGGTAACTGACATGGGGTAAGAATGTGGGTACTGTGAGGCCTCAGTTTTTCCTTGTATACCAGAGCCACCTCTATTGTAAAAACTTCTTAGATTTTTTTAGTTTTTCTCACTTCATTTTGATGTAACCATTCCTGCTATGGGTATTACATATGAAAATTCCCATATAATTTTCTTTAGAAATTAGTCTTGTGCTGTGAGTGCTTTTGTATCACATACATTTTATTCTGAGATCCTTTGAGATAAAAACATTAGTGCCGAGCTTATTGAGAGGTAAATAATCAAGTACTTTGAGAATACCAGGAAAGGCGTTTTTTTCCTCAATAAGTACTTCTTTTTCTCTTGGGTTTGCACTGTGGAAATGTGTGCCCTAACTCTTAACCTGAAGGATATAAAACTTGGTGTGATCATTGAGTTTTTAAAATCACTTTTTTTAAACTGCAGTCCTTAGCAGAGTGCATCTCAATCTTGTTTTTATTTCAAGCACATAAGAGATGACATAAGAACTTTTAACTTGGCTGAGCTCTTTCTCATTCTGTCTGTTGCGTAGCAATATCTTGCTGTTGGGTTCTTTTTTCTTCCTTCCTTTTTTTTTTTTTTTTTTTAAATTTCCTCCTTAGCATCATTATCTTGGTAATTCACTTCACTCTATTCCCCTGTGTTCTGGGTGGAGCTAAGATATCTTTGGTGGTGTTGGTCAACTGGCCCTTCATTTTCCTTCTCTCCTTCAAGAATTTCGAGTTAAGAATGAACGTTTCCTTTTGAGAGATTGTTGGCTCTAAGCTGAGGCTGAGCTAAAAACACCTGGGAGAGCCTCACCTGCTGCCTGTGGAACCCAGCCACATTTCTGTTGCCTGAGAAATGACCCAACCCTGTTATCACTTCCACTTCCTAATGCTTTTATTGTCAGGAACTCCTGAAATGTATTAAGAAATTTAGAAACTAAGAAATGAATAAAAAGAACCAAATAGAAATGAACTGGTCTTTAAGTCCTAAGAAAGTGCTCTGTGAAATGCACTTACCAGGGCCTCCCTGGCAATTCCTGTTAGGGATCCTGTAAGTGTCAGAAATGTCTCCCCCTGAGAAACTTGGGCTCTACCTGGCTGGGTCACTTGAAGTTATCCATGTTTCCCTGGAATAGCACATTCCTGACTTGGGAATAAACCTTACTGTCCCTAGCCCCCAAAATTAGGAGTTGTAGTCCTTGTCAGAGCCTTTTGGGCCTGTCCCCTGATAGGATATCTGTAGCCTCATACACATGCAGGTTCACACACTGTATATCTCAATATTTAGAAGCTGTAAGCCAAGCTCACAAGCTGATAAATGAATGAAATGTTTCATACTTTGTCTAATACACCTGCATTGTGACTAGGGAGGGCAGGTTTCATAGAGAATTCTTGGACTCCTCAGAGTTCTCTGCCAGCACGTGGTGGCCCAGGGACAGTTGTCTCCCAGCCCACCCTCTTCTCCTCCCACTCTTGGAGATGTCTGTTCCTGAGCCTCACTCCAGAGCTGAGGAATAATTCCTGTGCATACAGAGATCTGAGAACCACTGCCCCCACTAACTCTGCATTGAGGGAAGCACCAGGCAGCCTGTGCCCCATTGGAGCCTGAAGTCTGGCAGACAACAGACAGCCTTGTTCTGGGCAATGTTGCCCTTCGAGCTCGGGTATCCCTTATACTTTTTTAAGTACAGGGGGATCCATATTCTAGTTTAGAATTTGTTCTCTGTGTCATTTGCTAAACTTATTTTATCTTTTGAGGGATGATATATTCAAATTAGGGATAAGTGGCAAAGCAACAAGATCCTTTATGGTAGAAACATGCATTTGGTTGGTTCTAAGAGTTGTAACATCATTTCGCTTATGGAGACCATGCTGAACTTGGGACTATTTCTAGAGAATAATGTGAGATACCCATCCCTCACGCCCTGAAAACAGCCTCATCCCTCTCCCCTTCCTCAACTCCTCTCACTAACTAGTGTCCTCCAGAGGACTCCAAGGGGAACCCTGTCTTTGGTCTTTAGAACTCGAGAGGAACAAAACAAGGAAAGAGAAATTGAACAGGAAGTTAGAGAGATAGTAAAATAATATCCTTTGTCTTCATACGCTTCCCTCCCTTCCCACGTCGGGCAGTGGTTAATGCTGCAGCAGAGCCCAATGGGTCGGTGTCTGAACAGTGGACAGGAGACCTGGGGAGGCGAGCACCTGGGCTGTATTCTAGGGAGGCAGGTATCAGCTGCTCCCTGCCAAGGGTACAAAAGGCAGCACCGTGTTCACTCAATGGACCCCAAAATTTAGAGGAGGTCCATCCAGACATGACTCTGAATCTGTGTGTGTGTGTGTGTGTGTGTGTGTGTGTGTGTGTGTATGTGAATTCAGGATAAAAAATGTTTTTTAGCAGTTAAGCACTTTGCACCACATCCATCCATCTATCCATCCATCCGTTCTTAAATTTTGACGTTCTAAAATATGGCAAACATTATAGTCACATACGGTAGAGAGCCCTTAAAGAGACCACGCTCACCAAAGCATTCAATAAGGGGAACATAATGAGGCTTACTAAAGCAACAGGGAAACGGTAAGGTTCAGATAACTATTTTTTTAAAGCCCAAATCCATAATTCCTTCAAAAGCAGTTAAAACCAGAGGCAACTTTTATTAAAATATTAATATTTTAAAATATTTTTGTCTTCATGTATTTCTAAAAATTGAGTCTGTACTTCATGTGTTGGTTCTGTGAGTTTCTATTTTGTGTCTTGCTTTCATCATATGTATGTGCCATCATCACTGAATCGTTGTGTGTAATTTACGGTTTTTCTCACCACTCTTTTTGCCATCAGAAATAATAAACCTCTTTGTGTAAAATTCTTTGTTCCTAATTTGGATTGTTCCTTTCAGATATAATTTTTAAAACCAAATAACTGAGTTAAACAGATGAATTTTAGAATGATTTGAACTAAATTTAAAAGAATATACCATTCGGATTTTGCCTGGAATGTTACTAAAGCCTTGAATTGAAAAGAATATCATTCTCTAAAATCCAGTTTCCTGGCCCAGCACGGTGGTTTATGCCTGGAATCCCAACACTTTGGGAGACCCAGGTGGGTGCATCGCTTGAGCCCAGGACTTCAAGACCAGCCTGGCAACATAGTGAGACCCTGTCTCTATTTTAAATAATTTTCCTTTAAATTCAGTTTCCCCAGATAATAATGGAGTATATATTTTTTTCATTTTCTGAGCTTTCTACCTTGATTTACCTCATATTTCATTTCTGGCCTATTCCTAGGTAGGAAGTTTTTTTCTGTATGCATTTTTCCTTTCCTGGTCATTGCTTTTAATAGCAAAGGTATACTGGGTTTTTGTTTCTTTTTATTTTATGTGCAATCAACTTATTGAATACTCTTGATATTTCCTCATGCCTCTGTATTTTATGTCTTGGGTTTTCTAATAATACACTCCTGTGATCTGTAAGTAAGAATAATTTTATCTTGTTAAATATCAGATACATATTTATCTAAAATATCAGATACATATTTCATTTATGTCTCATTGCATTGGATAGATTTCTTGGCATTGTGTTAGATAATTGTGTTGGTTGTATAACACCAGTTTTGTATCTGGTATTAAAGGGAATAATGCCTTTGGGGTTCAACCTTTATTATTCTCTTTACTGTTCAGTTAACATAGATAATGTTTGGGCATGTGAATGAAGTGCCCTTCTTTCTCCTCCTAAATTTTCTAAGACTTTTATCTCAAGTGATTGTAGTTACTTTACTGACTGTTTGCCACATAGAGATTACTGTGTGGTATGATATATTTCTATGTCTTAAATCATCTTTGCATCCCTTGAGTGTGCCAGGTGAGTTACTCTTTTGATATGTTGCTAGATACAGGTTTCCTGTTTATTTATAAGTTTCACATTGTTATGACTGAGATTTATATCTTTGTTTCATTTTTTGTGCTGCTTTGATACCAGAGACATGGCTAGATGTACAAAAATATATATTCTACGTCATATCTATCATTTCCGTCTCTTGAGTGCCTTACGTAGCATAATAATTTGCTCCTGGAATTTCTGAAATAACATTCTGGTAAAGCTGTTTGGATCTACAGCCTTTTGAGAATAAAATCCTTTAATAATGATTTTTAAAATTTCTTTTTATGACTTGGGTCATATTTGAATGAATGAGTTATTTCTATTTTCTCCAGAAGAATCTCGGGTTTTGATGAGATTTTCAACTTTAATATTATCAAACTGTGGTTATTTAAACTAAATGCCTGCTGTACACTTTATTAAATCACCTTCATTATTTTATTTCTCTGTCATTTGTACTTTCACTCATTTGTTTAGTTATTATCAGTGGTTTCTTTTTTATTTGTTTCATTTTTTTTCCAGGAATGAGTTTCTGAAATTAGTTATTTATGCTGCTATGTTAAATTTTAATTGTGTCTTTTAGGAAATATTTTTCTCTAGCATCATTTTCTTGGGCTGAGTTTTGCTTTTCCCTCCATAATTTCTAGTGTGAAATGCTGCTTTCATTTCTTTCTTTCTTTTTAAATAATACATGCACTTCGAGATTATAACATTCACTTTAATTTACCTTTGACTTCCATGAATTTTGACTGTCTTCTTTCTTTTGATATTTCAAAATAGTCTGTAATTATATTTGTGTGATTTATTCAGTCATTAATTCCTTATTGCTCAACAAATGTTTTTGGATCTACTGCTATCAGTCAGACACTGTTCTGGATTCTGGAGATACATCAGTGAATGAAACAGTCAAAGATGCCTGTCCTCATGGTGCTTGCATTCCTGTAACAATACAGGCTCTGAAACTAATATTAGGCAACTAGTGCTTGGTTTGTCACCACGTGTTACATGCCAGGCACTATTCTAAGAGCATGCACTAACTTAATCCACTCAGTAACCTAATGAGGTGGATATTATCATTAGCCTCATTTTCCAGATGATGGAAACAAGTCACTGTGAGTCTGAGCAGCTTGTCTCTTGTCACATTGCCAGTAAGTGGGAGAGCCAAGTTGGCTTCTTACAAACTGTGCCAATAAGTATGCTATGATTTCTTATAGCCCCTGGACATGAGATTTTGCTTATTAGTGTTTCAGCTTGTGGTACAATTTTATAATTTTATCTTGACGATAGAGATTTAAATATTTTATTGAGGTTATTTTCATGATGTGATATATATGATATTCTGTGGTCAAGTGAAAATAGATTCTCAGGCAATACTGATTGTTATGTGTCTGTTCTTTCAGGATTCCTAATGATGTTCAAATTCATTTTGTCTCTACTTGTTTCTTTGTCTACGTATTTTATTATAAATTGGTACTGGTATATTAAATCTCAGGTGATTATGGTTCTAGCCATATTCCTCCTATTTTAACAGGTTTTACTTTATGTTTTGATGCTCTGTTATTTGGTGGAGAAAAGTGTTGCTTTTCTTTAATGATTATGTTAGAGAACAACTACAGCTGTTGTCGCTATTTAAACTTTTTGTCATAAGTCTAATTTGTTTAATATCAAGATTATTATCACTAATATATTCATCTGTTTATTTTTTAACAATTCTCTATAATTTTTAGTGACTTTCTTATGAGCATTATAGCTGCGTTCATCACCCTCTGAGAAACTTTGCCTTAAAGTGGGTGGCAATGAGTCATTTATTTTGAATGTGAATTTTTGTGTGCCCTCTCAATTCTTCCCTTTATTTGCACACGTGTGTGTGTGTGCGTGTGTGTGTGTGTGTGTGTGTCTTGCCATGTTTTCCTTATTTTTACCATGGTCAATTTGGAAGTAAACACAGTGTTTTAAAAATAGTGTTTTTGCTTATACATTTAATGAACACATAATTAAATGCATGATTTCTAATTGTGGAAAAATAAATATCACTCCTTGCCCCCCAAACACACATACATGATTTTGCAAGACAATTTATAATTTAAAAATTTTTTTACCTTCTGTCTTTTCTTTTCTTTCTGCTTTTATCAATTAATGCAGTAGACTCAGTTATTATTGTAAAATGATTAATTATTCCATTATTGTCCCCCTTGCTTATTATTTTATATGTTTATTTTTATAACAGTCTTCAACTTTGTTTCATATTTTGCCCTGTGTGTTAGTTGACTTCAACGCTGGGTTCCCTCATGCAATGGCTTCTTCTTTCCTGAAATATTTTTGTTGCCATCCCTTTGTTCCTTAGTAACAATTCAAGAATTTGGCAGAGAAAATTTTATTTTCTCTTATATGCATTTATTAATAATATTTTCTAAAATGGATTGCAGCACACTAGTTCTGCAGGATGTCGACAAGTATCAGGTGAAAATGAAAGCTAGGATAAATAGAGTTAACCATACCTGGCTGTGAGACTTATCCAAGCCTTTCTTATGCCACTATGTCTTGCAGCTCTTCAAGAGGAGAATATGGTCAGGTTGGCCTCCTAACACCATTGATCATAGAATCCTATTCCTGATTAGTATATGGCAAAATTATGTTAACTTGTGCTTTCCTCTTTGGGAGGATACTTCTGTGTTTGTTTCCCCTTTTTTTTTTTAACTTTTTTTTTTTTTTTTTTGAGACATAGTCTCACACTGTCGCCCAGGCTGGAGTGTGATCTCGGCTCACTGCAACCTTCACCTCCCACAGTCAAATGATTCTCCTGCCTCAGCCTCCTGCGTAGCTGGGATTACAGACGCTCACCACCACGCCCAGCTAATTTTTGTATTTTTAGTAGAGACAGGGTTTCACCATGTTAGCCAGGCTGGTCTCAAACTCCTGACCTCATGATTCACCCACCTTGGCCTCCCAAAGTGCTGGGATTACAGGCATGAGCCACCGCTCCCGGCCCTCCTCCTTTTTTTTTCTTAAAATGTTTTAATGGTGCCAAATATACCTAGGTCTTATACGTGAAGTTCAGGTCTGGTTTATTCCAAGAATGTTTAATTCTGTTGTGACTTAATTTATCTCAGTTTCCTTTATTCCACTTTCTTCTCTCAGGACATGTGTGGGTCCATGAGTTGATCTGATTTGGTTTCCTTGGTCTTCAATCAGCTCCTTGCTGCCTCCACTGTGGGTTTTGTCCTGCTGTTGTATGTTTAGACTGCTTCCTATCCCCCTCAGCCTTCTAGCCACATGCTTCTCCACTTGAATGCTTTCTTTTTTTATAGGCATCATTGCTTTTTTTATTTGGGGACAGAAAGCAGACATTTCTAATTTTTTTCTGATTGTTTTTCAATTCTTTGTTTACAAGCTTGCTTTTACCGAGTCTTTAGTGGTCCTCCCCCTTGTCCTCAGCAAGAAAAGAATGTTCGTGGACCTCCTATGACTGTGGGGGCTTTTGGCCTGTGTGCAAGGTGTACAAAAATAATCCCATTCCATATTGGAACATTTCCTATCTCAACTCGCAAACATTTTTAGGTTGTTAAAAATTTGTTTGCTTTTTCTGATTTATTTTACATTGTTTCTAGAGCTTTGAATTAGAATGCATTCATGTACTTAAAAAACCAGCAAGTCGTAAAGTTTATATTGAAAAATCTTCCTCTTTCTTTTGTCCTGGATCTGCCTAATTCTCACTCTACTCTACAAATCAACTACCCTTAATTTCTGCATATTTCTGGAATTCCTTTGTAGATACATAAGCAAACACAGTATACATTTTCTTTCTCCATCCCCTTCTAAGATAGAAAGTTCCCGCCGTGCTTCCTGTGTGTAATACGGTCAACAGATGAGCGTGCTTGGCTCAGCCTGAACCAGTTCTGTGATTGACGGGCATTCAGCCCTGCAGGACGAAGGTGGGATGTTCCCTCTCCCTGTCTGGGTAAGACATTGCCACTGGTTCTTCTCTAGTTAGTACAGCATGTCATAGTGTGGGTCTCTGGATGTGTGGCTTTCAGTTCCCCTGCTGGTCTGAGGCCCTATCCATGAGGCTGCTGCAGGTGCTCTCTTTTTTTCTGATTCTGTAGAGCCTTGGGGCTCAAAATGTGCTTCATGGGCAGAGAATGGATAGTATGCATTTAGAAACTTTGATGGCATTTTGACATTGCCAAAAAGTGTGGGATTTAAAGGTTCTTTTCACCAAACAGAGGATAGACTCATTTGGATGTTATCAAATTCAAGGTCGCCAAGGAGTGGCCCCCACTTGTTCTAGTCATGTGTAGCAGGACCACATATCCATCGGCGACAGATGAGAGAGGCCAGAATGGTCCTTCACCACAGAGAGCTTCAGGGCCCCTGATGCAGGGCGTTGGAGATGTGGTGTCTGAAAGGTGTAAAAGAGGAGTGGATGAGGGCAAGAATAACCACCCTGGATGACTTTGACGTACTTGTGGTTTATGGGAAGATGTTTGCCTAATTTTGTGGCCAGTGAAGCCCCAGTAGCCCAGAGCCAATGAAAAGCAATAGTATCAATCAGAACCTTTTTCTGTCTTTGTGGACAGTATTGAGTTCTGATTCAGAAGATGTGTCCAAAGGCCACATTGCATAAGTCAAGACTACGCTGCTCTGTGAGGGTGCAGCAGTCTGTGGGGTGAGTTTTCAGTGCTGCTGTTGTGCATACAGTGATGAAGGCAGGTGTCCTAGGTCACTTTCATTTTTCCCCCATGTTAATCCAGATGGTCTCATTTTTTTTCTTAGTAGTTTTTGCCATCTAAGGTCCAGCATTTATTGATGATAACTTCCTATCATGGCGTAATGTCCTGTGGAAAATGATATGCTACCCTCTCTTCAACAGGAAACTCCATTCATCTGAATAATCCATTTTTCATACTAAGCAAACTTCCAACTTCTCAAGTCACTTGATACCAAATGTGGAAAACCCTGGACACATTTGAACAAAATCTCAGTGCACGTGCCCATCACACTCCATAGAGGGTGAAAGGCTGTGTGGGGGAAAACACAGAAGATTAAATAGGACATTGAAGTAGGTTGGGGTGAAAACTAATATTTTTAGCAGAAGAGAAAGATGCAAAATAATTGCAGGTGTTAGTTTATATTTACATCATAGATTTGCATAACACAAAAAAGTGCTTTGATTGTTGATGTCCAAAGTTGACGAATAATTTGGTGAGTAATGTAGAGGTGAAAATATCCATAGCTTGTGCATTAAGTTGGCTGTGGAGTGTAATTTGTACTGAGCCAATGTTAACACCATTCAGAGTCTCTGCCAATAAAATCAAGCACTCTATTGAAATGTTCTAATTTATTATTTTACTTTCTTACTAGGAGTAATGGATTTTGTACTTCATAGTCTGATGAGAGGTGTTAAAAGTTAGAGGTGAAATTTATTTTTGAGGCATTTAAGAAGGGAAAAATTATATAAGTGAGGGCCATGGAATAGGTCCCATTAATGAATGCATAATTAGCAATTTGTTTGACATATCCCGTGTCCTGCCATGGTGGGAAGCAGCTGTTTGCAGCATATTTTGGGCTTCTTTTGAATGGTTTTTACAGGCTTTCTGGACACTTCAGATAAGAAGCAGTAAAAGAGCTATTTTTTTAATATGTATAAAGAAAATACAGTGTTCTCTGTCACATGCTTGGAATTTGAGCCTGTGGTGTGAATACCTTAGAAGAGGTGCCATATATTGATTACTTCAGCCATCTCAGTTTACTTGTAAAATAAATGAAGTCAGCCCCTGGCTCCTCTAAGTCCCTAGTGACCATTTCCATCCTTTACCGCCTCTTTCCAAGCATTACCTTAGAATGACCTGGTGGAGCCAGCTTAATGACAACATGTGAACCAAAAAGAATTCCTAATTCTTGCCCTTTGCAAAAAATAAATTAAAATTTAAATTAAAAAATTTTAAGTGTGCAGCCGGCATATAGGAGATGTCTTCTGCCCTAGAGCAGAAGCTTCCCTCCTCTGACGTAGAGCAAGAAAACATCAATATTAGAGCTAAATTGAGAAAATCTTTTCAGTGCATCTGGATTGGTGAACGGCTTAACTGCAGCTACAATGAAATATGAGGAAACAGATTATTGGTTCAAGTTATATATTTATGTTGCACCAAGCACCAGTTCCTGAGCACCTGCGTGTGGAAGTCAGGGTGAAGGCCTGTGGGGTACCAGGATGAATGTGATACAGTTCCTCTACTCAGGAAGCAGTCCAGAAGGGGTCAAAGCCATGCTCACGCAAAATAAACCCAGCTAGAAAGCAAAGCAGAAGGTATCATTTGAGGGATTTTGATGTTCAGGAGAATTAGGACACACACAACGTCCAGCCAGAACACCAGCTCTTTCTCTCTTTATTTTTAAATTTCTATTACTTGGACACTTTTTTCTTTTGCTCATCTAATCATATGACCGCAAAGAGCAATAGTGGATCTGATACTCAGTATTCTGGAATGATCATTGGCATCTGCCAGAATTGTCAGTAGCGTTCACTTTAGTAAAATGTGAACACTGCAAAACTCCTAGGTCCCAGCCATGCCTAGTGTAAAAATGTCAGCCTGCAAAGTTGGTAAAGTCCAGCCACCACATAGTGACTTTTAAGGGTGTTGTAAAATTCTTTCCATAAATAATGTTAAAGAAGAAAAAAAAAAGCTGGACTTCTCAAAATGTCAGGTTTCTTTATCAGCCTTCCAACCAATCACTCAGGGATGCCTTTCCTTCCTGGGAGATGGTACCATAGGCTTACATTATATCATGTATGGAAACATCTGGGGGAAAAACTCAACTCCCATTAAAAAATATATTTTATATAGCCCTGAAAGGAAAACAGTGAACGCCCACACCACTCACAGCTGAGATTACGGGAGTGTCTCTCCCAGCAGCTTTCCCATATGAAGAAATAAAAATCCCAATTCTTCTGCCCATTGTTTTATGGCCACATGGGCTTGCACAGGAAATCAAGGAGGAATTGTAAAACACTGCATTCACAGAGCTTAGTTTCACTTTACCACACTTGCCACATACAGATGCATCAAATCAAATCAGAACAAGATGTGATCTTACTGAGAAAGAATCCTTATAATATCACGTTACCTCCCCCTGAAAATTCCCCCAAGCATGCATAAAATCCAGAAGACCTTAAGTAGAATATTGAAGAGAGCCTTTAAGGCTGAAAAGCAAGCTGCATTTACCTTCCTTGTATCATATTATATATACATATTACAATTATGTCAGCGATTAAAAGCATTGTCATGCTGCATTATGAACTGTTTTTACGTTTAGGATTAGATAATTCTTTCCCCATACCCCCTCAGATTCCTTTTATGTCCTAAGGGCAAATCCTTTCTCTTGGGTCAGGAATGTAATAAGGTAGGTTTTCCTCTCTCTGGGATATTGTGTCTGTCTCACTGTGTTTAAATTGATTCAGAAAGCTCTTCAGAGCAAAATACAGTATTTTCTTTGTATATGAGCCAGCGGTTGACTAACCCTTGGGGAATTCTCTGTGTTGAGCATTTGAAAGGTACAGGTTGGGTATGTTTGAACTGCTGATGCTCAGTGAAGACCACTGGGAAAGTGGATTGGCCGTGGCTCTGAGAGAGGCCTTTTCTCTAATGTGGACTCGAGGAAAAAAAAAATAATTGTTCCAACAAATAATTTTTAATGGTACAATAATTTAGGAAAATTAGCCAGTTCATTTTAATAAGAATGGATCAAGACCAAAATAAAGAGGGAATTATAGTTTATACAAATGTATGAACATACAGTTTAAAGGCATTTAGCCACCAAAAATAAATTTTCTAAAAACAGCAGTTTTCTCTCCATCCACTGTATGAAGTGTTAACACATCCCTCCTGAGAGTTGAACCACAGGCCCTGGGATCAAAACAGAGCAAATTTACCATTTACACTGAAGGGGACTTTCACTTAGATTTGGTATCTCCTTCCAGACCACCAGTTAGCAGAGGTCAGACCCATTGCCAACCAAGGATAACTAATTTAACCCTTGTAATGTTGGTTACTGGTTTTGACAGTGCCCCAGAGTCTAGGATCTTGGAATATGTATCAAGTATAGTCAGAGTATCAGGAGTACACTGTGTGTGTTTGTGTCTGCATGTCTGCATGGATGCTTTCGGTTTTCTCCCTCCCTCCCTTCTTGCCTTTCTTCTTTCTTTTCTTCATCTCATTTATTTTAATGGGTACACAGCACCCCTTCTCTTCTGTGCATTTTCTGTAGCATTTAATTAAAAGGCATTTGGGAAATGTTCTCTTCTGTCGAGGCCTTTGACTCTCTCACAAATGAGCAAACTTTTAGACCTTGAAATTGCCACTTTTTTCCTCAGCTACATCTACATAGTGGGTAGAAAGTTTAGCCCTGAATTTTGTTCTTATCTATGCCACAAACTCATGGTGCACTATTAGGTAAGCTTCTGAACCCCTCTGAACATCAGGAAAACCCTCCTGTGGGAGATGAGGTGTGAGGAGGAGGCAGCCAAGTAGAAAGACATCGGACAAGCAGGCCAGGCAGAAGAGTTGGCATGAGCCAAAGCCCAGTGTGTGCAGCCTACACACCAGGTTCCTGCAAACAGATGAGAGAAGATAAACCAGGAAGGAGCATAACGCAAGCAGCCATGTTCCCACATCTATGACGGATGGATTCACATCCATCATGGGTGGCAAGGACCTTAATACCTATAGCCTGGGACCAGGGGACACATCTTGACTTTTTGCTAAACAAACTATGCTCCTGATACTTGTACTGCAGTTGTGTTACCTGACAAATGAAATATACAGACATCATTTTGCATGTACTTTAGATAAAATAACTAACAGGACACTTTTACTTTAAAAATCCAGGTGGCAAAATTTGGCCGAACATTGAGTTTCAGTTAGTTTCAGTCTGGTTTATTTTGCAAGCGCATTCATTATTTATTCCCCAGAGAGTGCTGAAATTCATAAACTTTTAACCAGTTGCTCTGGTATAACCACACTAAATTAATATTCTGTTCACATGCAATGTGGAGATCATTATGAAAGCCACGTATATGTCACAGGCATGTGCCTGAAGTGTCAAATGAAAGATTTTAAAGACTTGAATGATTATGCAATATACACCGGCCAAATACTCCCAAGAAAATCTGCTTATAAAAATAAGTTTTATGGAATAAAAGTACCAAATTAAAAACATATTTTGAGGAATAAATTAGCACTTCTTGAGGAATGAAATTCTTACTTTGGTGGGGAGGTAAAAGACAAAGCAAGAAAACAAAATTGCAGAAATGGCTCAAATTCAAGAAAAGTCACCCTCCCCCAGGAGTGATTTCACCATGTGAAGAATGGTGCTTAGCACAAGGCAGGCTTTCTTCCCAGTTCCCCTTTGGAAGGACCACAGAATTTTGCACACACACACACCCTTATTTATTTATTTTAAATTGCCAAGTTTAAACCTGTGTTTCTAGGTAAAGTGCCTTCTTTATTGCTCCAATGAAAATTCTGTAGGACCAACCTTACTTCCCTTTTTTGACTCTTCAAACATGTTAGTCATGATAGGGGGCAAGATTTCTATTCCGTGAATGAGATTTCCACAAGCAGATTAAGGAGGAAATATGCCCTTTAGTTTTCTATTCGTTGACAGCATTGCATTGGGAAGAAATCTCTGTGCAAACTGTCCACAAGAACAATAGCTAGGGGCCCAAATTCCAGTGAGATAGAGTGCAGCTTAATCTTGTCAAGGATAACTTGGTCTTTGTTTTTCCTCCTTCATCTGATGCTTTAATGAATTATTTCAAGAGAAACCTACGATAAAGCATCAGATTATTTTTTTCTACAGCCAGTGGGACATAACATTGAAAGTTAGGGTTACCATTTAAATGCCAGAACCCTTACCCCACAGTTATGTCAACATTGTCATGGTGGGCAAAAATAAATTTTAAAATTCTTTTCATTTATAACAAATAGGAGCCAACTAAGATAACTCTGAATTATGTCATGACTAACTCAGAACCCCAGTCTAAAATTATAGTCTGAAAGGAGGCCCTCCTTGGTGGACCCTACAGGCATCTGTGATGCTGAGGTTTATCAGATTGTGGGGAATAGAGCAATCACAGGAAATTGCTTCCGTTTCCTGTGGCTTCTGATTCTCAAAGCACAAATCTAAGGCAGGCAGCCGGTTGGGAGTATATTGAGGCCTGGGACCACATTGGCTCCAAAGCTTGTTGTTTTCAATAACACATTTCTAATAACACATTCCTCCAGCAAGTATTTACTGAGTTCCTACTATAGGCTGGGCATTGTTCCAGGCACTTGGAACATATCATTGAACAAAACTGATAAAAATCCCTGGCTGTGTGGAATTCACATTCTGGTGGGCGGAGCAGACAATAAATATTAAACAATGTCAGTCAGTAAATTATAGTGTGTTGGAAGTGATAAGGGCCACGGGAAAAAAGGGAGAGCAGCAGGGTAGGGCTTGGAGAGTTCAAGGATGGGGAGGTTGGACAGTAAGTGGGGTCATCAGGACCAGGATCGAGCGGGGCGATGAGTCTCTGTAAGGAGGTGGCATTTGAAGAAGGACTGCCAGAGGTCAAGTTATCCTCGCTCAGTGACCCCATCCTAGACGTGACCACACGTCTCCAGCTGTGGATCTCTATGTTGCCAGCCTCTGGAGGGCATTTTCCTCTAAAACCCTGGCTCTGCTCTGTCTCCCTTGTTTCAGGGGTGGTCAGGTGTGCCTCCAGGTCAGTGTGGTCCTCGGGTTTCCTCTCACTCCACCTTTTTTCTTGCCGGACACTTTGTCACACATCCAGCTGACTTCTGGTGACCACTCATCTGTATTCTGGGATGAGGTCACAGTCTCACTTTTCCAGCAGGCCTCCTTGATAAAAGGCTGTTGCACAGAACTGAATTTTGCAGGCAGCATGGGAGAAACAAAAGGTTCAAAACAACAAACTGCTTAAAACTCGAGTGCTATATTGATTTCTATTTGCAACTCCTTAGCCCCTTCCAGCACAGTAATTTCAAATGAACCAGTTTTCCTGCTTAAGCCCACACTCCAACATATTGCTAGACATTTTCTGTCTTTCCTGTCTGATCCCCCCAAACTTACTGGGGCTGGCAAGCTACCACTGGCAAAGAACTTAATACTTCCTTGCCTTAATCGCTTCTTTTGGGGTCCTCCAAAGACACCCCACATGATGACATGCTCTGTCCCCTGCCATTTACTGTGTCCTTTGTTCTCTCCTTTACTTTCTTTTTTTGTTTCCCTATCTCTTAAAATACCGGTCTCGTCATTGTTTTCAATTTCTTCCTTTTTCATCCTCTGTACAGTCTCCATTGGTCAGGGGTTTTCAAATTGGGCTTTGTGAAATCTTTAAAATACTGTGTAGGTGTTTTTTAGTTTACCAAAGATAACATGGGGTAGGGAAGGGGCCCACATTCCTGCATCAGCTGCAGTCTTTCTTAGATTCTCAAATCTTTATGTCCAGGATTGTCTTCTCTGTGGGATCTCTCTACCAGAGATGTCCTGGAGGCATCTCCACTATGATATGTTCCACACAGAAGGGTAATCGTCACCAAATCTCCTGGCCCTCCAATACTGTTATTGTCTCAGATCTTTCAAGCTGGAGACTTCGGTATCACCTGTTACTCCTCTCTCTAATTCATCACCCACAAATTATTCCATAATGTCTTTCACATCTAGCCCCTTACTATTCATCCTCCTGGCTACTGCTGTAGTTCAAGGTCACAGCTTTCTTGGATGATTATAGCAACTCCTAGATGGATTCATTGCCCAGTCTTTGCTTAGTGCCTCTATGATGCTGCCAGAGTTACCTTTTATAAGAACAAATCTGATCATTGCCCTGCTTAAAACCTGCTCTTGGTTGCCTGGGATCTGGTTGCCTTAGGGCACTCAACTCCCCTTATAATTTTTCCCCAGGCTGCCTCTGCAGCACTCATCCTACAGCCACTCACCAGCATGTGCACACATACACATGCATACACACACATATGCACAGACACGCACACACATTCCCCAATCCTATACTTGGCACCATTTTCCAACACATTGTGTTTTTCTTAACACTGGGCCTCTGTATCTCTCTTCCCTTCTTCCTCAATTCACTTTTTCCTGTGTCAGCCTCCCTTTCTTCCTTCTGAATTCAGCTCAGTTACCCTGTTTATGAAACCTTCCCTTCTTCACTATTTTATTAGTGCCTATCCCATTGTTTCCCATTCACCTTATTTAGACTCAGGCACAATGCCTATGTCTCATATATGTTTTGCCCATGGCACACAAATGAATGAATCCCTATAGCCTACTGTCTGGGCTTATGCTCTTTCTCTAAACTCTATGCCTTCTACTAATAAGCTAAAGAAAATTACAATCTAGGTATAGAACATGTAGTGGATACTCATATTGCGTGTATGGAGATTTTGCTTTTATATACTTAGATGTACTGTTAATAGGGGGTCAAGATGTTTAGGAGGGTACTGCACACCAGGGTGGCTTGTGAATAAAAGTTGATTGAAAAATGATAGAGTTGATACTTCTACAGGTTGAAAAGCATGCCGAAGCGGAGGGGCTTGCTTTCCACCTTGGTTTGGTAGGACAAACCTGGAAAAGCCCTGGGCAATGGGCCTGCTAGTTTTCTATGATGTGGGGAGCATGAGTGAAGCAAAAGAATCATGCATTCTTCTGAGTAGCTTACTTTTAATTGCCAAGCAAATGTGTCCGTGCATTGAAGGCTAATTTTTAGACAGTATTCGTTTCTGCATTCCCGCAGCCAACCTTGGATAAGATCCAATGGACATGTCTTATTCTGTCTTGCCTTTTCAGTGTTGAGCACAGTAACTGTCATATCATAAATAAGCTTTGAGTGAATAGTGAATGAATGCGTCAGCTCAGCAGGGACTGTGGGCAGATTTCCAAAGGGATAATTTTGCCTACTTGCCTGCCTCCTTCCTTTCTTCCAGTAGTTCTTGAGACGTGCCTGTGCTTCTGTGATCAGCAATCACCATCCATCTCTACACACACACACACACACACACACACACACACACACTTGCCTTAATCTATTTTTAATTGCCAATGGAAAGTTCTCCCAGCACTTACCGTGTAAGACCCTCCCTTAGCAATGTGACGAGCAGTAGGCCTTCAGGGAGAGCCATGACCGTGGATGTAGTTTGGACTGTGGCTGGTACCAAAAACACTTCTCTACCTCCCATCTTCAAAAGATTTCATTAAAACGAATTGTCAACTTTTCTCCCAATATTAAAAATACTCTCTCCAAATCTACTTGAAATTCAAATACATTTTATTGTAACTATGATTATTTTAACCTATATTTTAGTGATCAAAATTATATCAGAATTTCTAAACTTGAAGGCCAGTTCAAGAGCTGATTGTTCTAATGTTCAGAATCAGACTTCAGTGATGTGGAGGGAGTATGGTTGCTTTCGTAGGGCATTGAAGACAGAGACCACCCATTCAAATTGGATCTCGTTTTTCATTTACGTTTTTTATTTTATTCTTAACTTTTGAATTTTCTTGGAATCACACTGCATGTTCAGATCCTTTACTAGTAATACCTATATGCTTAGGCTTCATGTGGATTGCTGAAATCATAAAAATTAGGAAATAAAGGCTAATGTTCTGTGTACTTCTAGATACTGGTGCTCCTAGTAGCTTGATTTTCCAACAGGAAAACTTTGTGCCTACCTTTGTAATCAAGGAGACTAAAAATTAAATCTTCTCTGTTCTTCTTAGGGATAGTCATTGTGTGTGTGTGTGTGTGTGTGTGTGTGTAAGCAAGCATTAATCACCCTACAGTTAAAAGTGCAAATGTACTATTATAAATATTATTATACCTATTCGTCCTACCTTTCAAAGTTTTAATAGGAAAATAAGCATTATGTTTCCTTTTTTTTTTTTTTTTTTTTTGGAGACAGAGTCTTGCTCTGTCACCCAGGCTGGCGTGCAGTGGTGCAATCTCAGCTCACTACAGCCTCTCAGGTAGCTGGGACTACAGGCGTGTGCTAATTTTTATTTTTATTTTTTGTTAGAAATGAGGTCTTACTATGTTGCCCAGGCTGGTGTTGAACGCCTGGGCTCAAGCAATCCTCCCGCCTCAGCCTCCTAAAGTATTGGGATTACAGGTGTGAGCCACTGCACCCAGCCCAAAATAAGCATTATTTTGACAACAGGTTGAATAGTAAAATTGCTATTAGTGTAGAGAGAAACTATCCATTAACTCTCTTTTCTGAATCTGGCAGAAAACCAAGCCCATAGGTGAGGGAATTTTAATGTTCTGGGATACAATCTGGCTTCTGAAATCCTTAACTTGGATATAAATGCAATTGCAATGGATGGTAATGCTTTCTCCGTATGCTGGACTTGTAGGAATGATCGTGCATAAGAGTGACAAATTCATTTGATCCTTCGGAGAGGTTGCATTTATAGCCACTTTCTTAGCTCCTCTGGCCTTTCTATTTTCCTCATCTAGGAGCCAGTTGTGGAACAGGAAATTGGGATTTAACTGCACCTCCTTTGGGGCTAGAGCTCAAATCAGAAACCTTGGCTCTTACCATGTTTGCTGGATTTGTTCATTACAGAGATGAAATAGAAGGTGCCTCTTTGGAGAATGGTTTTCCAAATAATTTCGTTCCATGACTACACAGTTAAAATAATTTTGCCTATCTGTGTTTAATAGTCTTTTTTAAAAGTATCTCTAGAATAGATACTACTGAATCCTTACTTGCTTAACTCTATATCTTTCTTTTTGGTAATTAAGCCCCTAATCAATTTGCTTAAGAAGAGTTTACTGGTTTTGTTGTCATTTGGCTGAAACAAAGTCGATATTTAAAAGGATATGGTATAAAATTAAATCTGCTCAGTAACTTGTAGAAACGATGTGCACAGAGTCTTAGAATAGTTTACACACGTCACTTTACTTCTCCATGTAAAATCACAATAGGACTTAAATACAGGCCACTCCAGGAAAGAAACTCTGAGAAGCTCTTTAACAAAAGGCAACTTACTGGATGGTAAGAGAAGCCTCTTAAGAGACAACAGTTACATTTTCGTTTTAGTAAAATAACTTAGAACTCAGAAAACAAAATTTTAAGAGAAGGAGCACTTTTATAGTTTCTAGAAGGAATTAGGGGCCTGTCTTAGCCTGTTTCTGTTGCGATAACAAAATATCTTAACACTGGGTAATTTATAAATAAGAGAAGTTGATTTCTCACTGTTCTGGAAGCTGGGAAGTCTAAGGTCAAGACGTCAGAAGATTCAGTGTCTGGTGAGGGCTCATTCTATGCCTTATAGCTGGAGCCTCTGGCTGTGTCCTCACACAGAAAGGGAGAGGGCTCCCTCCAGTCCCTTTATAAGGTCACTAATCCCTTTCATGAGGGCTCTGCCCTCTTAATCACCTCCTTAAGGCCCCACCCCCCCCCCCTTTTTTTTTTTGAGATGGAGTTTCATTCTTATTGCCCAGGCTGGAGTGCAATGGAGTGATCTTGGCTCACTGCAACCTCCTCCTCCTGGGTTCAAGTGATTCTCCTGCCTCAGCCTCCCGAGTAGCTGGGATTACAGGCACCTGCTACAATGTCCAGCTAATTTTTTGCATTTTTAGTAGAGACAGGGTTTCACCACGTTGGCCAGGCTGGTCTCAAACTCCTGACCTCAGGTGATCCACCCGCCTTGGCCTCCTAAAGTGCTAGGATTACAGGCGTGAGCCACCGTGCCTGGCCAAGGCCCCATCTCTTAATACACCCACACTGGTGATTAAGTTTCAACATATGGATTTCAGGGGTGACACATTCAGACCATAGCAGGGCCCTTAAGGCACTTTGAAGAATGAGGATGTTTCCTTTTGACCTAAATAATATAAATAACATCAACCAATATTATGAATATTTACTTCTTAGAAACTCTTCTCAAAAACTCACATTTCCTTCAGTTTTTAGGTCACGTTAATATTAAGTCACTACTGTGATTCTATTTATATGAGTTTGAGCCTGCGACATGTGCATTCCTTAGGGTAGGGTGGAGGGTCAGCTAGATAAATTATGTCACAAATTTTACATTTATACCTAGTTATTATATAATCCAAGGTAACAGCAAAACTGAAAAGATAGAGATTCTGAATTAACAGTGCGTCAATTTTTCAAGCATCTTTAGTAAATTTTAGAATATATCATGGATTAGAAACTATCTGCTTTTTCAAATCATGCACTATTTTGCATACTTGAACTGATGTTAGCGTATGATGTTTTTTGGCTTTGTTCTGTTAACAACTCTGCACAAAGTTCAGGTTTCTCCATCTTTCCACTCATCTCTACAACTTGGACGATGAGGACAGAGGAATACAGAGAAGTCGTCATTTATGTGAGGTTCCCAGGTTATTAACTGAGGCCAGTAAGAAACCCACTGGAAAATACTGTATCATAAAAATATGTTCCACAGCCGGGCGCAGTGGCTCACGCCTGTAATCCCAGTACTTTGGGAGGCCGAGGCAGGTGGATCATGAGGTCAGGAGCTCAAGACCAGCCTGGCCAATACAGTGAAACCCCGTCTCTACTAAAAATACAAAAATTAGCTGGGAGTGGTGGCGCATGCCTGTAGTCCCAGTTGCTCAGGAGGCTGAGGCAGAAGAATCACTTGAACTCGGGAGGTGGAGGTTGTAGTGAGCTGAGATCATACCACTGCACTCCAGCCTGGGCAACAGAGCAAGACTCTGTCTCACTCTGTCTCAAAAAAATAAAATAGGTTCCACTTTGACTCAACCCATCTGTGTGTGTGTGTGTGTGTGTGTGTGTGTGTGTGTGTCTGTGTCTGTGTCTGTGTATGTTGTAGCAGAAGTTGTGATTAAGATGCAGTCTTGTGCTTCCATGGAAAAACACTTGTCGGGCCCTACCCCAGTCAGTCTGAAGGAGAGGTGTAGCTCTGGGGAAGTCAGATTCCATTCTACCTGGCTGTTCCTTCAACCTTCTTCCTATTCTCCCACAATTTCCTGGTACCAGACTTCATCACCAAGTATACTTTTGTGAGTTTTTCTTTGGAGGCGTGGGGTGGGGGTGGGGGGTAATATCTTTATTGAGATATAATTTATCTACCATGTAATTCATCCATTTAAAGTATACAGCAATTCGTATGTTTTGATATATTCTCAAAGCTGTGCAACCAATACCACATGAATTTTAGAACATTTTCCTTACCCTACAAAGAAACCCCATACCCTTTTGCTGTCATCCCCAATTTCTCTATTCACCCACCTTTTTTAATATATAGATTTACCTATTCTGGATACTCATATAAATGGAATCATGCAGTATTTATCTTTTCTTGGACTGGCTTCTTTCATTTAGCATGCTGTCAAAGTTCAACCATGTTGTAATGTGTATGCGTATTTCATTCCTTTTAATAGACTTTTGTTTTTAAATGTGAAATGATAGTGTTCTGCTGCAGTGAAGCATAGTCCAGCTTTCCTTGGGGAGGTCTGGGGAGGTGATGGGGTGGGGTGGGGTGGGGGTCATATTTTAGGTTAGTTCATTTCTCTTCTTCAGATCCAACATTATAAAGCCCTTTGTTCAGATAAAACATCTACCTTGTTAAAGAACTTTGCCTTTCTTACACATAAGAAAAAATAATTTTGTTACACATTTGTACCTAAAAGCAGGATTCAAATAACAGCCAGGAAGAAGTCCATTTATTTATTCATTTTTAACCAAGAAGCGTATTTTTTTATCTCGTCCTAATTCTTAATATTCACAAATCAGAAATAAGAAATTGCTTTATTTTTATAAAGAGAATGCTGGTTTGTACCCAAAGTCTTGAGTCCTCTGGGTATTTTCTGGTATAATTTTATAGTTATGTCAGAAACTGAAAGATGCCTTGATATTTATATTAACCAGTTTGAATTGAAACAGGCATTTTGTGAAGTCTCAGGGAGATCCCTCCCACAGCAGAGGCTGTTTCAGGTTTTTAAATAATCTGTTAGGAAGGAAGATTGATGGGTGCCACCAAAACAATTTAAATTATTTTATTTATCTAAAATTAAAGTGCACATTGATATATAAGGCCTATTTCAGTCCTGATAGTCTGTGATTCATGTTTTTTTCTATGTCTGCCTAGTGAAGCATTTAGGAATCCAATTACAAGGTATCCCCAATATAATCCACATCATGACAGTTGTAAAACTTTCAAAAATGTTGCATTTATCAAGTAATACACAAAACTGGAGGGTATAGACCTTATTTCAGGCAGGAAGTTTTGAGGGATTCTTGTGGAAAGTGTTTTTTTAGGCAAAACATTTCAGTCTTTCTTGCAAATCAGTTTTAATATAAATTAAATTTTAATAGATTCTAAATTATTTTCCCATTTTTTTCTTTTCAGAAATATTTCTGGACTACTACCTAAAGAGTAATACTACCTAAAGAGTAATAGGCTTATAACATAAAGTCAAGAAACACTGAAAATTGAGCTTACTTGAAATAGTTTACTTCTTTATATCCCATCTTATGTCAAAGTAGAAGACTTTCTTAATATCTTTCCCCAGCAAATCCCACAGAAGTTTCAAATTATCGAATCCTGTTCAGTGTATTAATTAACTCAAGCTGCATTTATGAGCTCACCTGGTAGACTAACATAAAAAGATTTTGAAACTATCAAACATTTCCAGTTTGACATTCTGAGAAGAGAATGTTTCAGTTTTATTTTCTGCCTTTTAAAAATATAATCACCGCAACAAATGGTGGCATCTTAATGGTTCAAGAGAGAGAAATGTAGCAAAGGCATGAATTGGAAATACAACTGGGGGTGGAGCAAGTGTGCTCAGCCTTCCACCAGTGACTCACCAGTGAACCCAGTGAACTACCAGCCAGAAAGGCTGTTCCATTTTCTTAGATGTTTATATATGGAACACACTGCTTTCTAAGCCCTTATTCTATTTTCTATGAAGGCCATAACACCACCTGTGTGTGCACATGGGTGTTTGTGTGTATGTGAGAGAGATCATATGTATTTGAAAACTATGAACATATATTTTGCTTTTACATGTAGCTTGTGTTGTGATGAACTTGGCGTCGTACCTTGTAGAAATCTTTTAAATTGATAAAGCAGTTCTGTGGGATTTGAGAAACATTAGATACTGACAGAAAGACTGGCGTGAAAAGTACATGCGCAGGGGAGCTGTCTGGAAACTGGTGAGGGTTGAGCCTGAAGCTTCGCGTTTCCCCCCTCCACTGTTTTTAGCAATGCTTAAAGGTAATATTTTTATTACAACAGTGGAATTCACCTTCTTGATGTTAAGAAACTGGCTGATGTAAAGAGTGGACAGACTTTTGAGGCAGCCAGGTGTGTATCTATGGATTAGTGATTCCCTCGGGCAGGGTTTGAATGGGGATGTGCAGATCTTGCACACACACATTTGAGCCTTGTGGTAGCATTCTGAAGAAGTCACTTAGAAGGGAGGACACTTATCGATCCAGAGAACTGTGTTTCTGAGTGGGAATTGGTGGAGAGGAGACTGAAGGAAAGCAGAAGTGTACTTCCCAGCCTCATGAGCTGCGTGAACGGCGGCTTTATTTGGAGAGCTGCGAGCCATGGACTGCATGTGTCCTTTCATCTGGAGGGTTAGGAACAGACCAAGGGAAAACTGCCTGCTCTGAGCTAATAGTGAAATAACAAAGTGAGAAGAAAGGACCCTGATTAGCTCAGTAAAGTCCATTGTGGCATCTATTTTGCTGCTAGTGAAAGAAAAGCTTCACTTTCCCATTTCTTCCTGTAGCTCTCCAAGCCTCCTTGGTGGACATCCAGGGCTCGGCTTCCCAAAGAAACTCCGTTAAAAGAAAGAAGCACCTTCTGCCTCCTTGATTGCTAAACCAGCTTGTGATTTCTCCCACCTTTCTATGGGCTCCCGGAGCCCCAAAGGAGTGGAAGAAACAGTGGAAGAAATACTGAGTCGTGGCTCATTTTGCTCCCATTCGATGACAGTTAAAAAAACATCATTTCATTGGTTTGCTATGGGCTCATGAGGTGTTCACTTCCTCAGTCACCAGTTCCCTAAGGCTAATGCTTGGAGCCCCAATTGGAAAACTGAAGACATGGACCCATCGGGAAGCTCAGTGTCGGGACTTGGCTTTTCTGGGGAAATTTCCTGGTCCTGATGTCCTGGCCCTGTTTATTCAGACAGGGAGAGTTCAGAGTGGCTGCGCCGAGAGAGTTGGCATGCCACATTGTAATTTACACCATCTATCTCTTTCTGACTCTCGGGCCTCTGGCAAATTGCATGTCTATGTGTTGGATTAGTTTGGAATTTAATCATGCATTATTTTCCCTCCAATTAAATTATTTATATATTTGATTAACGTTTTCACTGCTGGGAAGTCAAATTTTCAATGAAACCACAAATAAACTCGTGCCCATTGAATTTCAGGCCAGCTTCATATGGGGTCAATTCGTCCATCGAATGTTAAGAATTCATTGCCTATCACTTTTCTTATCTACCTTGGATTTTGGTGAGAAAAAGAATGTGTTTTTTTTTCTTAGTCCTAGGAATATGATACAAACAGTGAAGTTTGGCCTAATGTATGGCCCTCCCTTCGTTGGGGTACCTTTTATAGCGCAGGATCCTGATTTTCAGTCCTTCCTACTGCCTTTTCTTTTCTCTGGCACTAGAACGTACCTCCTTCTAATTTTGCTTTCTCAGGCTTGAGGGCTCACCTGTCAGATGTTAGTACGAGAAGGAAACAGAGCTCATCCACTTTGGGGATTAGCAGTCAATGGCCCATAGGCCAAATCCAGCTGCTTGTTTCTGTGCAGCCTATGAGCTAAGAATGGTTTTTAGACTTTTTAAAAGTTGAAAAAAAAGTCAAAGAATATTTTGTGACACGTGAAAGTTTTCCACATTCATAAATGAACAGATAACCCATTCATTTAAATGTTGTCTGTGGCTGCTTACAGCCCTGTAAAGCCTAAAATATTTACTATCTAGCTTTTACAGAAAATGTTTGCCAACACCTGATCTAATTCATTACTCTAATTTTACAGATGAGAAAAGTAAGGGCCAAATAGGTGAATTGGTCTGTCCAAAGGTACACAACTCATCAGAAATTGTCTGGAATGCTTCCTCCATTGCCCTCCAGTGCTCTGCCTACTGTGATATAGGCCCTCAGATGAACACTCACTGCAGAGGGCAATGTACAATGTATTTTCTTTTTTTTTTTTTTTTTTGAGACAAGTTCTTGCTCTCCCAGGCTGGAGTGCAGTAGTGCAAACCTGGCTCACTACTGCCTTGACCTCCTGGGCTCAAGTGACCCTCCTGCCTCAGCCTCACAAGTGGCTGAGACTACAAGCCTATACCACCACACCCTGATTTTTTTTTTAGACATGGGGTCTCGCTGTGTTGCTCAGGCTGGTCTTGGAGCTCAAGTGATCCTCCTGACTCAGCCTCCCAAAATATGGGGATTACAGGTGTGAGCCACCATGCCTGGCCCAATGCAGCTTTTTAAAGGAAAGTAAATATTTAGAACACATGCACATGTTAAGTCTGTGAGTTCTTAGAATTTTAATTTTCACTTGAAATCTAGTTCTAGGAAATATGTTAAGCTTAAAATACATTTGAACTGCTTAAACAGGCAGAGAGATGCCTCCCTTTTTCCTTATAGCAATTGATTACATCCTCTGTGCAGCATTTAAGCAGTAAAGAAGAGGAAGATTGACTTGGTTCCCCAGCCTCCTAGGTGTAGAATTTCATTTAAAGAAAAATAACTGTGGTCTCAATGCAAGTTTGAACTTAAGAGCAGTTCCAGAAAATTGCAAAAATATATTAGTTGGGACTCGGGTCTAAGGGATTGGAAAGGGAACATTCCCAAGATGCTAACCTTATGAAAATGAGGTTGCTTTAAGTGCCCAACATAAGTTTCCCCCACCCCTCCCCACATGGAGACAACAGCAAGGGTGTTCATGCTTGCTGACTGGTGTGGGATTTCCTGCCACTCAAATTTCCACACATTGTCTCAGTGGCAAAGGTAGAAGAAGCTGGGTGCGGTATAAATAGGAAATGATTGGGATTTTTCCAGGCACTGCCCTCCTCCGCTGGTTGCCAGTTCTCCCTTCTCTGCTCAGTGCCGGATCCCTCAACACCATTGTAGGCAGATTCTATACCTTCCCCGTCACTTTGGATAACTAAAGTGTCCAATTTAAACGTCCAATCTCAGGTCCAATCCAGAGCCTTCCCTTCCCTGTCAGCAGCGAGGCACAGGCCTCAAGGGAACTGGCAGGCTGTTTGCCCTCCCTTTGCCACCTCACCTAAAGGAGCTGGGGCCTGGGAGTGCTGCCAGGAGATGCCTTCCCTTTCTTTCTAGGGTCCAGCTCCTCCAGTGTGTTGGATGAGACAGGAAAGGAAAATATGAGAGTCCCTTTTTTTACTGGCCACTGTTGGCACCTCCTTCTTAGCCACCCCTGCTCCCTTGAGTAGCACCAGGTTTCCCTGATGCCCTCCTCTTCAGGGGCAGACATGCAAGCCTGGCTTTCCCCTGGGGTGTATGTGAGTTTTATGCAGGGGTATTTCCCACATCCTCACTGCTGGAGACATGACTGAGCACACAGCATTTTAGGTGAGCCCTGGCAAGCTAACCCAAGCTTACCTACGTCATGGATGTCCACTTGACCCACAGAAAACTCATGCCTTCTCGCCATGCCAAGTGGTGGCAGTCTCTCCCTGGCCAGTTCTCTCCTGCCATGCGTGGCCCTCACGCTGTTCCTCAAAGGCACCAGGCTCTGTTCTTCTGCAGGTACTTCTGTGTCATCGGTCCGCTGTAGTGTCCCATTCTCCTACCCCATCCTTCCCTGCACACCTGATGTGTCTACTCATCCTTCAGGTCCTGCTCTAAATGCTGCTTCATTGGAGAAGCGGACCCTGATTCCTGATGCTGCACACTGACTTATGATCCCATTACATGTTTTTATAAAACCCTGTTATCTCCCTTCATAATGCCTATCACAACTGTAATTGTATAGTAATTTAAGCCATGACCTGTTTCCCTCTGGTAGACTTAATTCCTTGGGGCAAGAATCATGTCTGTCATGTTCTCCAGCACAGGGCCTGGTGTGAGTGGCACCCAGCACATCCTCATAAAAGCATGAGAGAGAACAGGGAACTAATAAGACATGGATCCAACCTTAAGCAGTTGGCTCAGCACAAATTATAATTCAGTTTCCCAATTTTACCTTTTCCTTTCTCCCTCCTGTGTTCCTTCCTTATTCTTCCCTTTCCTTCTGTCTCCCTCACTCTCTGCTTGCCTTCCTTGCTTCCTCCCTCCCTTCCTTCCTTTTTTCTTTCCCTTTCATATGCATTAATCCAAGGATCCAAGCTTTATTTCCAATGACTTGGAAAACTGAACCAAGAGCAACTGTTAGGGAGTGTTTTTGTATGATCATTTCTTTTTCTCCCGTTTGAGAATCCATAGAACCCCTCTGTAAGATGTGAGCTTGGTTTCCAAGGCTGGGCTTCAGCACACATTTGGGAAAGCCCTGGTCTTGTGTATGGGCTACAAAGACTTACTAGAAGCAGACGTGCGGATTGAACGTTGACCCCTGTCCAGAACATCTGTTCTCTTCCTATACCTGTGTGCATCATCATAACTTTAAAGAAACACTGACATGGAGCATGGCTGGCTTTTCATAGGAAACCCACATCTGTTTGCCGTGGGGTTGCTCCCCAACCACTGCAGTTTCTGTGTCATTTTTGGAGCTACTGACGGGACATTGGCTCTCTTCTTGTGTGCTGCAATGTACCACTCTCTCTCTGCTCTTCATCAGATTTTTCTGGGAACTGCTCCAAGGAGAGGAGATAGAGAACAACAATTTCTTTTCTCTGTCCTCACCCAGTTTTAAACTCCAGAAACAGCATAGAAAACTTTACTTTTGTAAAACTTTTTTTTACCTAAAGCGAAAGGCCATCTAGTGGAGTAACTGGGAAAGGCACACTCTGAGGGCAGAACTTCACCTTCAGACTCACAGCGACCACCGCTTTAGGAGCCCTGGACTCAGCAGGAAAGTAATGAGAGGTTGTGTCACTACCACACGAGGCATGGAGCCAAAGGGAGCTTTCTCTTATTGAACGAAGTTTTTTGGTGATGTAGTTCTATGTATACTTCAGAAAGTGTTCCCACAAGCCTTAAATTAAGGCAAATAAAATGTAGAATCACCAGAAAATAAAGACCAACAGCATCAACCTAGGATGCAAATGTCTTCAGTAGTCCATAGCTGGACATTGAAATAGTATGCTCAACCTGTTGAAATTGACCTTAATTTGATTCAAATTAAGAAGCTTCTCTTCCTCTCATGCTGCAGTAGGTTTCTAATGATTCCTAATTGTATTAATCCAAGAAATTAAATGATTCTAAAACCATGAATTGGTAAGTAATTCAGAGAACTTCATCTTTATGTTAAAAACTGTATTAATAGAATTTTAGAGCTAGAAAGTCCCTTAGCAACTAGTGAATCCAGTCATTTATTTTCTACAAGAAGAAAACCAAGGCCCTGAAAGACTAACTTATTTGTTGATGACCACACAGTCCTCTTCCTCAGTATAATTCTTTTCTCTGCAATTCTTATTCAGGAAGCAGTCTGATTAACCCTGAGCTAAAGTTTCATTTGCAAGTGCTTTTGGTTTTTTTGTTCTGGAATTGTGCATGTCTGTGTGTGCCTTCCCTTTTTGAAGCCTAAGCCGCGGTGCTAACCCATGGCCCAGCATGTGAGAGTTGGAGAACATCTCTGCAGTTGTTTAGCCTCAATCGCCAGCCTTGGCAAGGAAAAATGACAGAGATTCAGAAAGGTCAACAGTGGCTCACCTCATTTCATAACTAGCTGGTCCCAAACCTGGAATTGAACTCTGCTCTTCAGATGGCCAGTGTACTGTAGTATATTTCCTGGAATGCCAGGCTCCATCCCGGTCTTGCCACTCCCACTGGTTAGGAAGCATGCATACACAGTTAGCAAAAGCAAATTTACTTGAGAAGTGTACTAACTGGAATTTTTATAATCTGTAATATGGTAAAGTTATTCTTGTGGTCTTTAGAATTTTTAAGATTGGGGTATTTTCTGCATTTTCTTCTGTCGCCTTCAGAAATGATGAATACGTTTCCATTTGATTTCTCTCTCTTTTTCCAAACCCCAGCATATAAATAACGACCATATTCATGGAGAGAAGAAGGAGTTCGTGTGCAGGTGGCTGGACTGCTCAAGAGAGCAGAAACCCTTCAAAGCCCAGTATATGTTGGTAGTGCATATGAGAAGACACACGGGCGAGAAGCCTCACAAATGCACTGTGAGTACAGAAGTGGGTGGCAGGCACACTTGGGTCCTTCCCCATACTCATAAGAGCTGTGCAAACTGATGACACCAGCTCAGGGGAAGCGTGGTTGGGTGGCAAGAGAAGAGGACTAGAGTATTGTCTGGTGATAAATGCCTCGGTGTTTGAGTGACTGAGTTGGACAGCGCAGCTCTGCACAGTGGCAAGGGGGCAGTGGTGGCTGGCACTGGGAATGAATAGCGGGCCACCCTGCTGGCCGCAGCCCAACAGCTTATGGTACCACGGGGCTTGGAAGGCAAAGGGAAGTGCCAGCTTCCAACTTACAGAGTTGAAGTTGACTTTTAAAACAGCTAATCCCTATACGAGGTTTTAAAGTTTTCCCTTCCTTTCCTAGTGAGTCCTCAGGCATAGGCGTATGGAATGGGAAGGGGGTGCCGCAAGGTTGTGCATTCTTCACTGAGGTGCCCACGAGGCGCACTGGGCACGCTGAGCCCTGGTACTTTACATCTTAAAGGCCCTTTACAAACATGATCAAATTCCATGTCTTTGTATGGACACAAAGCTATATTAATGAACTTTGTGCTGAATCTGAAATCAGTGGGAATTTGAGGAGATCAATGAGCAGATAATGAAACCCATTGTCCACATTGAGCGGTCTATTAAAAAAAAAAACTTCAGGACTTTTACTGGCACTGAAAACTCTTTATCTGGAACTACACCAAGCTACATCTGAATCCCAATAAATGCAGAGTTTAGTGGACTTTTTGTTCCTGGGTTTTGAAAAGCTGCTGACCCTTGAAACATCAGTTTTTCATCAACTTGGAGGGCGTGTTAGGCATAAGCTGCTGTTGCCATTGTGCAGAGTAATCCAGATTTACCTGTTGTCCTCAGTTTGAAGGTTGCACAAAGGCCTACTCGAGACTAGAAAACTTGAAAACACACTTGAGATCTCACACTGGAGAGAAACCATACGTCTGTGAGCACGAAGGTTGCAACAAGGCTTTCTCAAATGCCTCTGATCGCGCCAAACACCAAAACAGAACGCATTCCAATGAGGTAAGCATCCTCAGTGGGCATGGAGCTTGCATAAGGAAACAAAGAACTATCCCGGGGAAGGCACATGGGAAGGCGCAGTGTGTTCTGTTTTGTTTTCCCCTTGGCCATTCCCAGCATGAGGGGCTCTGCCCCTGCAGGTGAAGGCTTGAGCTTCCTAGGTGGGACTGGAAACTGGATCTTATTTGGAGAATAATAAGAGATGAGGAGGAAACTTCTTAAAACCCCTGCGAACTTACTAGTTTCATGTTGTTTTGAACTGCCACCTACTGGTCAAACAGTGGGAGCATTTGACTTGGAATCTGAGCCAGTCACGCTGCCCAAAATAGCAGGAATCCATGCAAAGGATGACCCCATAAGCCCCAAGGATATATTAAGAAGTAGCATGTTGACAGCTGACAGCTTCCTGCTAAGTCATCCACTTTTATTTGCTTCCTCCAAGTGGTATCTTCAAATGGTATTATATCAAAAAAGATTTTTACAGAGCAACCAGCCTTGGCTAAATGCAATTTTCAGACATTCTAAATTCCAAAGGATCTTGGAAAATGGTCTCAGAAACCCAGAATACTTTCTAGGCAGTTACTTAAGAAAACATATTGAGTAAAGCTTCAGGGTGATTCCTGTTGTGTTACTGTTATTTTTAGGTAGCGATCCCCCCTAAATTGTAGAGAGGCATAAGAATAAAAATTATTCCAAATTCATTGCTTACATTTTAGTGAACATCTTCCTACAGACTTCCAATTTGGCCTTGGAGGTCTAGCTCAAATTCTGGCTTGTCTGTGAAATCTTCTCTTGAATGTATTGAGAGATTAACAAAAGGACTCCCCACATTTTGAGTGGAAATAGGATAGCTAACCAGAATTTGTTAACATGAGACATAGTTCAGCACCACAGCGTGTCATCAGTTTGCTTGAAATGTGTTAGAGAAGGAACATCGTGCACACATGAGACCCTGGAGTGGCTGTCATTTCATCTCACCAGTGCAGGTCAAACACATTCATGATCTTTCAGACAGAGAGCTGGGCAGAGAGAATCTTGATAGAAACAAAGTGAGCCATTCTGCTCAGTGGACTTTTGGCTTTAAGGTGGCAAAGATGGTTCTCACCATGTTTTCTTCAGCTGAAACTGACAGAGCAAAAACATCTCTAAAGGGATTAACTGCACTCTGTAAAAAGCACACTCACTCATAAACTCACACATGTAAGTTCATATATATACCAACTTTCTGTGTGAAAAGGTCATGGAAACTGGAGTTATTCGGAATCTCATTTTCTAACTGTTTGAAGACATTTTAAAGATGCCACATCTCCATTTTTAATGTAAAAATGCTTTTACAGTATGCAGTAGCTGGAATATAATCTATTACACTTGTTTTGTACAAAATTTTAGGGAGTCTAGAATAGATAGATACATAGAGATAGAAAGTAGATCAGTGGTTGCCAAAAGCAGAGGGGAGAGGGAATAGTGATGACTGCTAATGGATACAAGGTTTTTTTGTTGGGGTGGTGAAGATATTCTGGAATTAGGTAATGGTGATGATTACACAATGTCTAGAATGTACTAATGCCACTGAATTGTGCAATTTAAAGGGATTATTTTTATGGCATGTGAATTATATTTCAATTTAAAATTTTAAGGGGTTTTGACTTAACAGAATGTATTTCATATATTTCATAGATTTAAGTGTAATTTTGACTAGAAATTTAGGGGGCATTCATTCCTATAGATGTTAGGCCAATGCTGTCTCCTATTATCATGGAGAAGTTTGGACAGAGGGTATGTTAGGATCAGAATGCACACATATAAAGACAATTACCAAGCTTTTTTGTCTTTTTATGGACCTAAAATATTTGTACATGTCTGTTTGCTTTAATTGTGGTGTAGTTGAGCTTGTGTTCTTCTCCAAGGTAAAAAGTGCAATGTTGTGTGAGAGTTGAGTGTTTGTTATAAGATTAAAAGATAAGGATATCTTGGGTAGTAATGTCATTGACCACACTTGAGCAATTTACTTAAATTACTAACTTTTATCATAAATACATAATTAAAATTCTACCCACAGACATATTTACAAACAAATTATACTTCTCTCTTCTATATGCAAGACTTTGGCCCTGTGTGTGACTGATGGACATTTTCAGACGCATCAAAACTAAGTTTGTCCAGGAAATCCAGATTTGTGCAATTTCACAATCCTAGATGAATCAAGTGATTTGCCTTCATTTATTTCCTCTCTTATTTGCAACTTCATTTATTCATTGAACAAATACTTAAAGCTATTTATGTGCCAAGCCCTTTGCTGTTCTAAGTGTGGCCAAGAAAATAATGGACTGTAATGGGAAGGGAGTAATTGCTGGCACTTCTCTGTTCCTCTGGCTGTCCTGCTCATTTAGGGCTGCTAGACTGACCGTAGCTCTGACAGGACTTCTTACTCCAGATCAGACAGCTCATTTTTCCCCCAAAGATACCGCTAAACAAGTTTCCTGAGCTCTGATTCGGTTGAACCTCCCTCTCTAGAAAGCTGCAATGGCTCCCTCTTTCCTATAGGGAGACTTGAGACTCCCTAAGGTTGTGTAAGTGTCAGTTCTCACAGGGCCCAAGCTCATCCCTCTAGTCCTGACCTCTCACTATCATGACCATGAATGAAACCTTCCAGAAGCTGGTGCTGTGCACTGCCATGCTTAGGTGCATGAAGTGGTTCTGCCACTGGACCTTTGCTGAGGACACTTCTTTTTGGCATCCCAAGTAAAATGACTCCTAATAAAAGCTCTGTATATTGAGTGCTTACTATGTTCCATGCATCCTGGTAAGCACTTCATGTACATGATCTAATTTAGCACTTACTGATAATCCCGTGAGCTGGGCATTAAGCCCAGATATAGAATCTTAATAACTGATGCCTCCCATGATTATCCTAGCTGAAAAATGATCCCTCCTCTGTCTATATCCTTACATAGCTTTCACACTTTATATTACAGATCATTGCATCTTCTTATTTTTCCTATCAGATTTTGTATTCCTTATGATTAAATTTTGTTGTATGCAACTTTGTGCTTGCAGAATCTTGCACTTCAGTAAGTCTGAGAACATTTTTCTTAGTCTCTAATTATATTTTATTTCAGTCACTGATCACAACAAAATTTGTGGGCAAAAGTTGTGTGAAGGGTTAATATATTTTGTTTATGTTATGTTGTTGTGAGGTATACATTTCCTGAACCTGTATTCTTGTGAATTTGTGAATTTTTGTGGGTAGATAATGTGTATGTTCACACACAAGGGCACACGGGCACAGGTGCACCTGTATGGGCTGTTGTTTCTGGAAGTGCAGGAGCCGACACATTTGTATCTCATTACATATTGGCTGCGTCCTTGGTTCTAAGCTAACCCATAATGTACATCCATATATTTACAGGAAGAGTAGCTCTCCAAACATGCAGGCTTTGTGCTCCCTCTCTCCTTCTGGTCTCCATACCTCTGCCCCATATATCCCAGTCTGCCTGTTGATGGAACAACCTGTCACAGGAATGCTGTGAGCAAGCATAGGGCCTGTGTCAGAACACTGTAAGGTAATGGCACTAATTATCAGAGCCAGTCTTTTGTCCCTAATGCATAGAATTTGATGTGCTCATCTTATTATATATATATATGCTGCAAATCACACAAGCTCCTGAATAGATGTAATTCATAGTTAATGGGAATCAATTCTGCCCAAAGGAGTCTCAGGTTTGGAGGTGAAACCTCTCAGTTTCAGGATCTTTGCTTCACTGCATTAGGACATTTCAGCATTTTAGGTAGCACTCAGTCTGTTCTTGGGCTTTTAGTGAAAAAGCATCTTTTAGACATACATTCTACAAGACACGGCATCCTTTTAAATATAATAGGTACATTATAGTAATCCTGCTTTTCATGACGCTTGCTTACGTAAAAGCTCATCCTCTGCTATACATAGATATAAATATATATTCATGAAAGCATTCTTGCGTATATTATATTTTAAGCCAAGTGAACAAACTCACAAATCCGATGTTGGTCATGAGCCAAAGGTCAGCAGTTCTGTGATTTCAGAAAATAATCCGCTTATATAAGCATCCGCATAATTTTTTATGACTGTATCCTTAGGCTTGATCACTGACCCACATAGAAAATGAAATTAGCATGAAATAATTTATAGACCTTAGTTATAAATTCACTGAGGAGAAGAAAACAGACCAGAAATCCTGGTCCCCAGAACATCCGTCAGCCCTCTGCAGTTTATGATGAGGATTCATGGACAGTCTGTAACAGGGCTTTCCAACTTCAAAGAGCAGAAAGGTTCTGGCTATTTTGAGCCCTGAACATCCCCACACTTGTAATGCTACCCAAAGGAGCACATTTTAGTGTCATCTAACATGGGAGATGCCATCGGCAATTTTTAAATTATGCCTGTGCATAAATAGCACATTTTCAAAAGGATCAGAGTGATATTAGATCTCACAACCAGGACATCCATAAAAAACTTTGTCACACAATCTCTTCTGAAAGGTGTGCAGTCTTCTCCTGATTAGATGATGGGTGTCTTTTAAGCCATCTTCATAGTCATCGTCATCATCATCATCATCATCATCAAATATCTATTGAGTGCCTATTATGGCACCGTGATACTTCTCACTCACAGTGTAAATGCTTCCAAGAACATCAAGGCAATTTACACATTCTTAGTTCTCCCTGAGCCTCTCTCTCAAGCCATAATCTATTAAAGCTAAATTCTATGGACACGGAACAGTGTTCTAATGGCCTTATTAAACTATTAGTTCCTAGAGGTATCTGAACACCTCAAAGCCTTGTGAAAGTGTTTTGAAAGGATTAAAAATGTAATGAGCAACCATAAAGGACTTTTGGGCTGGGGCATAGTCTCTTTCATAACAATCTCTTACCTCGTTCTTGTGGGATTTGGCAGAAACCATATGTGTGCAAAATCCCAGGCTGCACTAAGCGTTACACAGACCCAAGCTCCCTCCGGAAACATGTGAAGACAGTGCATGGCCCAGAGGCTCATGTCACCAAGAAGCAGCGAGGGGACATCCATCCTCGGCCGCCACCCCCGAGAGATTCCGGCAGCCATTCACAGTCCAGGTCGCCTGGCCGACCGACTCAGGGAGCCCTTGGTGAGCAGCAGGACCTCAGCAACACTACCTCAAAGCGGGAAGAATGCCTCCAGGTGAAAACCGTCAAGGCAGAGAAGCCAATGGTATGTCATTCACTCTCCTTCTGACTTCACAGCAGGCCCATTTAAAAGAGCCAGGTAGGGTGCATAGAGGGACAGGACTTCCCGGTCCTCACTGTGTCAGGCTGTCTCTGATCTGAGGAGGCGATGAGGGCAGTGACCCGTATTGCTTACGTGAAGTCGATCAGCTCAGAAAAAGAGTTTCCAGGTTTCCTAACTGATTTTTAAAATCCCTCCCAGAACCATACCACTGTGCCATGGAAGGAAGAAAGACACGACTGTCTGTCTCTCCAGCGTGTCTGTAATGTCGAAAATCATTCATTGACTCTTCCTGTAAACATGCTTTCTGTCTTCTTTGCCCTGGTGACCCCAAGGTAAATAGGCCATGGCCCATATTCTTTAGGAGTTTACAGTCCAGTGGGATAGATAGACTGAAAAACAAATACCGTGCAGTGTGATGGAGGCTTACACACAAGTCTGTGTAAAGAGGATTCAGGAGAGGGACGGACTGCCGGTCAGTCGGGGCAGAGGAAGCCATGGGACAGGAGTTCAGTGCTCCAGAGGGAAGAGCTGAGGAGGATGAGGAGGCAGAGGAGCACAGGGGTGGGAGGGGAACAGCATAGCAGGGGTGAGTTTTTTTGTTTGTTTTTTTGTTCTTGTTTTTTGAGGAAACCACTCCAGTACCAGTCTAGAAACTGGGTAAACTGGAGACCACTTCTGCAGTTGGGCCTGAACCAGTAAGGCAGAGCATGAGAGAGGGATCTGGAAGATTCAGTAGGCAATCTTTGTGTTTGGAGACTAATAGGACATGTGGGCTCTGCTACTCTTTCAGCTTCTTTCAAACCTCAGTTCGTGACTTCGCTTCATGAATGTGATTTTATAAAACACCTAAAAATTTCAAAGACAACAAGAAAAATTAAGAGTAGATAGTATAGTAGAGGAGATTCAGCCCATCTGGCCATGCGTAGAATGGATTTAATTGTGCAAATATATTGGGTTCTGGGCTGTCACTCTCTAACCTGTGAAGGAAGTGTACCAGAGAGAAGTTTCATGCTCAGACTGCCGGATGCACGGAAACAATCAGGCAAACAGATTTATACTTAAAGCCAGCATTTTCTTAAAATTAGAGCAGTCTATCGGATGGAGAGCCTATGAATTCATGAGTGATGTCACAGTACGTGTGGGTGGGAAATAATGCACAATCTTACCATTGAGACGGTGAGAAGCTATGTTTTAATGACTTACTGAGTTTGTCTTTGAATTCTTAAGAGTCTTAGAGAGTGACATTAAGTCTAGCCAAAAATAACACAAATCAGCTATGCAGATTTATCATGATTTATCAGTGGGTAGCTGTACTTTGCTTTAAAAAAGTATCTTAATAAGATGTTTATACATTATGGTTGATCACTGTATTTTAATCAGTTCATAAACTGTGTTTTATATACTTTTTTTGAAGGGGAGCACATGTCTATTCTTAAAATAAAGCCTACCTGTATAATAATTGTACAGAACATTCAACGGTTTATCCTCACGTGTTTAACAAAACAAAGAAAGTTAATTTGCAGTCTTAGATTATGTCATGAAACCGATGATTTATATTCTTGGGATATTCCAAGAACCCAAAATCTCTTCTACTTTTAGTGTACATTCCTAGCTCAAGAAAATTGTCATTTTCTCTTCAAACACCCATTGTTTAAAAAGAAAATTGGTAGAAATAAAAATTACAGCGATTTGGCTCAGCAACATTGAGATGTCCCAATGTGTGAAATATTTCATAAAGTAATTCAGTCATATTAGGTTGGTGCCAACGTAATTGTGGGTCTTGTCATTACTTTTAATGGCAAAACCCACAGTTACTTTGGCACCAACCTAGAACCATAGGACTAAAAGAAACCATGGAGATCAAGACTATGCCCATATTTTGAGGAAGCTGAGGCTTAGTGAGGTTAATAAATTAATCACATTTCCACAGCAGATATTATGTGTGTATATGCTCACACACATTTAAAAGTAGGTATCTTCACAGACATTTACTAATAAACATGAAATTTACATTTCTAGTTTTCTTTAAAAAACATGTCTTTGATTTGATCATCATGCTATAAATTAAATTCTTTCTTCTTTTTTCTTATTAATGCAACATCTCTTCTGTCTAATGCTCCTAAATGTCTTGTTCTCACTTCCTAAGGACAGTGGGTAATAAGGTGAGGGAATTTTGGCTTCTCTGTCCTTTTTGTTTTGTTTTCATTTTTTTAACATTTACTTTTTTCTGTTAATTTTTCTTTAGTTTTTGTGGTTTTGTGATACTTTTGGTAGTGAACATTACTCAGATATGTTTCAAATATAGAAGCAATGTGTTTTCAACATTCAGCATGTGAAAAATGTGGAGTTAGTTGGTGAAATTCATTGTTCTATCTGTCTAGGTTTCCATAACAAATCACACTGGGGCCTACCAAGCAGATGTTCTGAAAGACTCATTATTGTACTGACTAATGCAAATTCATCCTTAGACCAGATGTGCACCACCTTCTTTGAGGAAGATCTGGCTTTATTTGTTGTTAGCAATGTAATCTCTATTTAAATGTGGACGCTCATTGAAGCAATTTCCTAATTGTGAGTGCATTTGTGCCTTATATGAAGTGTGTCTGCCTGTGTGTTTGCACAAATGCACAAGTTCATGTCTGCACACACTCTGATTTGACAGTCCAGGAGTCAAAGACATCCAAAACTCTGGAAACAAGTACCTCAGGAAGGAGCAGGTGGTCTGGCACTCCAGCACTCTGCTGAGGCCAAAAATTAAGCAAGGCTTCACATACTCACGATCAAATTTGTATAACTTATTTGGCTCTGCTTGGTTGCCCGGGACAAAGTTAGTGTACCATGCAGCACTCACTTAGAAAGTGTTCATTTGCTTGGGTGTATGTACCATGATAGCAGAAGAAGTGAAAGGGTTCCACTGCGAAGAGCCCTTCCTGGTGGCACTGTGCATTCCACCTGAGACTACAGTACTCTGTAACCGAGTGAGTGTAGTTATCTTTCCCTAAAGCACTCTCCCTTTCGGCTGCTGTCCGTGTTTATAGTAACACTGGTGAAGGCGCTGCAGACGCATGGAAGTAGCCGGCCTAGGAGTCCAGGCTAGTTGCACCATTCACTTTGTGACTTTGGGCAGTCACTAAACTTCTCTGAACATCACTTTTCTTATCTGTACAAAAAGGATTCGACTGTTTATCAACCAGGACACCGCTGGAACTTGAGATGGAACAATTCTGTGCTGTGTGACTGTCCTGTGCATTGTAGGCCATTTTATATAGTAATCCCCAGATATTGGGCACCCTGAATTTCCAGGAGCCCTGGGAGCGAGAGGAGGCAGTACTTTCCCTGATTGAGGACTACGGTGGACTAGATTAAGATTCCATTGTTTGCAGCATTGTCTTATAGAGTCTACTCGGTTGGGGTTAGGGAATCATTTCCTAATCCTCCTAGTGAACTATTAGGGAGTACACTAAGGAGAACAGTGAAATCATTCTACAGACTCATGACGGCTGTGATCTGCAGCCTTTCTTTCTTTCTTTCTTTCTTTCTTTCTTTCTTTCTTTCCTTCTTTCTTTCTTTCTTTCTTTCTTTCTTTCTTTCTTTCTTTCTTTCTTCTTTCTTTCTTTCTTTCTTTCTTTCTTCTTTCTTTCTTTCTTTCTTGGTATAGCACAAGCTAAGTGATTGAAGTTTTACCTCTCTCAACTGCTTTTACTGACACCTTGGTTGAGGTTCTACAAAAGCAAGAAAATGTGGAAGGAGGGAGGAGAGGTTACAAAGAGCTTGGCTAACCAGCCCTGAACAGCCTAGAGGGGCTCTTGTTGGAGGAGGTAATGTGTGCTGATGGCGCATATCTTACATTTATGTTTCAGCTGAGCAAAATGAACCTCAAGACTAAAACCACCCGGGATCATAATAATTGCTAACATCCTGTGAACCAATTGCTATTATCCAGGTCTTTTTATACTTGTGTGCTCTCTGGGCTTCACACTTAATTCCTCACAACAATCCCTGAAATAAATGGTCCCTGTTTTATAGATAAGGAAACTGAGGTTTAGAGTGGCTAAGTAATGTGCCCAAAGAATAAAGTGGTGGAGATGGGATTGGAACCGAGGAAGTATGTCTGCAGAGTTGGCGATTGGGGCAGGATTCCATGGCTGATACCATGCCAGTCACACTGCAGCTAGCATTCTCTGCTTTCCATTGCCTCCTGTTGCCCATCAGCCTGGTGGTCCATCCGTCATTCTGGCCAAAAGTGGCCAGCTCCATTCACCAGAACATAGTTTTTCTTCTCATTCAACCAACTGATGATCTTGAAGATCTCGATATGCATGAGCTCTCATTATTGGCTCCCTTTCCTTGACCCTCCCTGGTGACATTTCTTTCCTTTCCACTTGACCCCAACAGACATCTCAGCCAAGCCCTGGTGGTCAGTCTTCATGCAGCAGCCAACAGTCCCCCATCAGCAACTATTCCAACAGTGGGCTCGAGCTTCCTCTGACCGATGGAGGTAGTATAGGAGACCTCAGTGCCATCGATGAAACCCCAATCATGGACTCAACCATTTCCACTGCAACCACAGCCCTTGCTTTGCAAGCCAGGAGAAACCCGGCAGGGACCAAATGGATGGAGCACGTAAAACTAGAAAGGCTAAAACAAGTGAATGGAATGTTTCCGCGACTGAACCCCATTCTACCCCCTAAAGCCCCTGCGGTCTCTCCTCTCATAGGAAATGGTGAGTTCTACATCAGACCATGCATCTGCTCAGGGTTTTTTTTTCTGTTCTTTTAAATGCAGGCCCTCAGTTTTATGTTTGCTAGTTTCTCCACCAGTCCTAAAATGACGCTGTAACCATCCGTTAATGTTTAGCCCATTCAAGTTGCCTTTTGGGATTGTCCATATTTTAAAAACAGCTAGGAACAGGATAATATTGAGAAAAAAATGTGACTGTGCATGACTCATATTCTGATGGTGAAATCATAACTGTTAGATTAGGGTAAGGGAATGCCAGCAGTGGAGGCATCTGTGGTTGGAACTCTGTCTCTGGTTTCCAAAATTTAAAACCACGAGGTTAGCAGCCACTTTTATTTATATTTACCCAGTTCAAGGAAAGTCAGAAATCCCTCCCCACTGTCAGTCCCCAGGTCAGTTTGCACTTCTGAGATTACACTTCTGAGAGCACCTAAGGGGTGAAGCTCTTGCCTGCACCAACACAGGTGTTACCTGTTGGTAGGATGTGGCATGAACAGGACGCCCTGAGCGTGAATGTGAAACTCGTGGAGTACCTTTGCCTGGGGACTTGCCTGGAACTCAAGCGTTGTGTACCATCACAAGATTCTTTTTGTCCTTGCACAGCGCTTGGGGAGGGGCTTCAGTGAATCGAGGGAGTTGTTATTGTTTTGTTTAAGCCAGGCATCAGCAAACTACAGCCTGCGGCCATCTCCAGCCGCCCCTGTTTTTGTAAAGGAAGCTTCATGGACACCCCGCCACGCTTGCTTGCTCACTGCTCTCTGTGGCCGTGTTGGGGCTACACTGCAGAGCTGAGTAGTTGTGAGGCAGGCAATGTGGCCTGGGACACCAGAAATAGTTCCTAGCTGGCCCTTTACAGAAAAGGGTTGCTCATGCCTGGTGTAAGTCATGCTCGAAGGGAATTCATCTCCGCATGGTCTCTCCCTTTCTCTGTCTCCAGGCACACAGTCCAACAACACCTGCAGCTTGGGTGGGCCCATGACGCTTCTCCCGGGCAGAAGCGACCTCTCTGGGGTGGACGTCACTATGCTGAACATGCTCAACAGAAGGGACAGCAGCGCCAGCACCATCAGCTCGGCCTACCTGAGCAGCCGCCGCTCCTCAGGGATCTCGCCCTGCTTCTCCAGCCGCCGCTCCAGCGAGGCGTCACAGGCCGAGGGCCGGCCGCAGAACGTGAGCGTGGCCGACTCCTACGACCCCATCTCCACCGACGCCTCGCGCCGCTCCAGCGAAGCCAGCCAGAGCGACGGCCTGCCCAGCCTGCTCAGCCTCACGCCCGCCCAGCAGTACCGCCTCAAGGCCAAGTACGCGGCTGCCACAGGAGGGCCGCCGCCGACGCCCCTGCCCAACATGGAGAGGATGAGCCTGAAGACGCGCCTGGCGCTGCTCGGGGATGCCCTCGAGCCTGGCGTGGCCCTGCCTCCAGTTCATGCCCCGAGGAGGTGCAGCGACGGGGGAGCCCACGGCTACGGGCGGCGCCACCTGCAGCCGCACGATGCGCCGGGCCACGGCGTGAGGAGGGCCAGCGACCCGGTGCGGACAGGCTCCGAGGGCCTGGCCCTGCCTCGTGTGCCGCGCTTCAGCAGCCTCAGCAGCTGCAACCCCCCGGCGATGGCCACGTCCGCGGAGAAGCGCAGTCTCGTGCTTCAGAATTACACGCGGCCCGAGGGCGGCCAGTCCCGAAACTTCCACTCGTCCCCCTGTCCTCCCAGCATCACCGAGAACGTCACCCTGGAGTCCCTGACCATGGACGCTGATGCCAACCTGAACGATGAGGATTTCCTGCCGGACGACGTGGTGCAGTATTTAAATTCCCAGAACCAAGCAGGGTACGAGCAGCACTTCCCCAGCGCCCTCCCGGACGACAGCAAAGTGCCCCACGGGCCCGGTGACTTTGACGCGCCCGGGCTGCCAGACAGCCACGCTGGCCAGCAGTTCCATGCCCTCGAGCAGCCCTGCCCCGAGGGCAGCAAAACCGACCTGCCCATTCAGTGGAACGAAGTCAGCTCCGGAAGCGCCGACCTGTCCTCCTCCAAGCTCAAGTGTGGGCCGCGGCCCGCTGTGCCGCAGACTCGCGCCTTTGGGTTCTGCAACGGCATGGTCGTCCACCCGCAGAACCCCTTGAGGAGCGGGCCTGCTGGGGGCTATCAGACCCTCGGGGAGAACAGCAACCCCTACGGTGGCCCAGAGCACTTGATGCTCCACAACAGCCCCGGAAGTGGCACCAGTGGAAACGCCTTCCATGAACAGCCCTGTAAGGCCCCGCAGTATGGGAACTGTCTCAACAGGCAGCCAGTGGCCCCTGGTGCACTCGACGGTGCCTGTGGTGCCGGGATTCAAGCCTCAAAGCTGAAGAGCACCCCCATGCAAGGGAGCGGGGGCCAGCTGAATTTCGGCCTGCCGGTAGCGCCAAATGAGTCAGCTGGCAGCATGGTGAATGGCATGCAGAACCAGGACCCAGTGGGACAGGGGTACCTGGCTCACCAGCTCCTCGGCGACAGCATGCAGCACCCGGGGGCAGGCCGCCCCGGTCAGCAGATGCTTGGGCAGATTAGTGCTACCTCACACATCAACATCTACCAAGGGCCAGAGAGCTGCCTGCCAGGGGCTCACGGCATGGGCAGCCAGCCGTCAAGCTTGGCAGTTGTCAGGGGCTACCAGCCATGTGCCAGCTTTGGGGGCAGCAGGCGCCAGGCTATGCCGAGGGACAGCCTTGCTCTGCAGTCAGGACAGCTCAGTGACACAAGTCAGACCTGCAGGGTGAATGGTATCAAGATGGAGATGAAAGGGCAGCCCCATCCGCTGTGCTCTAATCTGCAGAATTACTCTGGTCAGTTCTATGACCAAACCGTGGGCTTCAGTCAGCAAGACACGAAAGCTGGTTCATTCTCTATTTCAGACGCCAGCTGCCTGCTACAGGGGACCAGCGCCAAAAACTCTGAGTTACTTTCCCCAGGTGCTAATCAGGTGACAAGCACAGTGGACAGCCTCGACAGCCATGACCTGGAAGGGGTACAGATTGACTTCGATGCCATCATAGACGATGGGGACCACTCCAGCCTGATGTCGGGGGCCCTGAGCCCAAGTATCATTCAGAACCTTTCCCATAGCTCCTCCCGCCTCACCACGCCTCGGGCGTCCCTCCCATTCCCAGCGCTGTCCATGAGCACCACCAACATGGCTATCGGGGACATGAGTTCTTTGCTGACCTCCCTAGCGGAAGAAAGCAAATTCCTTGCAGTTATGCAATAGGCTTTAGGAAAAAAAGACTGCAACCAACGGAAATCAATAGGAGTTGAAGAGATTAAACTGACTTTGTTTTGGCTGTTTTTTTAGTTCTGTATGTATTTTAGCAATCTCATCTCACCTAACTGAGATGTGTTTCAATTATATTCCTTTTATGGAAAAGGACTCTGAAAAACCCTAAAGTATTCTAGGGAGAAACTGTCTTCCATTTCAGTTTTGAATCAGTATTGTTACACTCAAACCACCCTCTTTTTAAAAAAAAAAAAAAAAACTGTAAGCCCCGCCCCCTTTTTAGTAAACCGATGTAAATTTGTGATGTGCATATTCTTCTTTCTTTTAGAAGAGCAGTCAAATTAAAGGATTTGACATGTTTTGCTGTTGCTCAAAGGAAATAGGAGTTGGTGTGCTTGTGACCAAGGGGTTACACTTCCAGCTTTTAAAATTCTCCTTTACATGTGCTCAGTGTTTTGTTTTGTGTTTTGGTTTCTGTTTTTTATTTTAATTCCCACATTGGGCACAAGAATCAGAATATGGATAGCTAGTTTAAGAAACTTTTGTGGGTGCACTGTAGCATAGATGACAGAATATTGATGTTCCCCCCATCTCCAATTCAGTTCAGGGCATTCCACAGTTAAACAGAAATGGGAACGTGGGGCTCTTATAAATGAAATGGGCGCTCACAGTTTTGGTTTTCAGCTCTTCATGTCTGTAAGTGTGCTTTGGGGGAGGCTATGTCTGTATGGTCGATTCTCAGTTATCACATTTGCCTCTCCTCCCACTACCTTCATGAACATTCAGTGCTGTTTCGCACTGCAGTTAGAGAGAAGGGACGGACAGTTGGTGACACTCAGCCACATTGCTACTTTTATCTGTTCTGGTAAGAAGTTAGATAGATGGTAGATTGAAGCAATTGGGTAGAATTAGTTGGGGGAATATTTATGAGTTGCTGTGTTTGTTGATTAGTTCCATCTCTTTCCCATTTTAACTGAGAATTGATTATATATAGCTCTAAGTATATAGGTATTTAAACAACCCCACAAGCGGCTGTATCAGTAACATTTATTAATTCCACTATAGTGAGGGAGGATTTCCATTCTAAATACCTTATTTTGAGGGATTTATAAAACTTAGTTGTAAAAGAGAAAGCCCACATAGTGGGAATAAATTGCTTCAGCCATTTTTAGTATTTGAGAGCACTAGGGAAGATGTTTAGTAGCTGTGTGGATGCCTTTTTTCACACCCTGTCTATTGAATGCTGCATCCATTCACGAAGTTAAATGTTACATGCAGTTAGTCCTTAATGTGGACTGGATCTGTACTTTTGTTTTGGATTAAAACATTTAAAGATTTTTGAAGTGCAGCTACTCCCCACGTGCATTTGATACACATAAAAGTCATACTGTGTGTGCACAAAGAGTACATGGATTTTCCAGCATATTGCTTTAAAAAATTATATAAACTGTTAAAATATTAACACCTCAGGCTACCTGCTGTATTCTGTCCCATTGACCCCTGGAATTGGATTTACTGCAAGTGATTGATAATTCAATTATGTGGCTTTTCCCCTTTAATCTTGCCATTTAAATTACAGTAGAAAGACAAAATCAAGTAAAATAAAGTGTTAGATAATAGAAAGAGTGTTAAGACCAGCCCACTTTTCTCATGTTTATGTTCTTTCATTTGGACCAAGAATCTCCGCATGGAGGTTGATTTGCCACTGGGGACTTTGGCTAAGACTATTAGGTTTGCTTTCAACTAGATGTTCCTGAGACAAGCAGAGGGACACTGCAATTCCCCTTCCATGCCTGCTGTTCTCCCCCATGTAAGTCTTCTTTGAAATTAACGGATGTGTCTCCTTTGGAACAGCCCCATAACAAAAGAGAACTACTGATCTGAGCATAGGAAAGTAGAGGCTCTACCACTTTTCAGTTGAAAAAGCAAGACTTTCTCTGTGTTTCTGAAACAAGGCATAATGTTGTCACAGAATCAGAGATCCAGTCTCACTTTTCCACAAATCTCCAAATCTCCAGTCTTATCTTGTGTGCTCTAATGGTTTGGTTCAATCCCTTTCCAACTCTTGTTTTCAAAGCATGGGGCCTGAGTGTTCTCCACTCCTCCTAAGAAAGGAGCTTGGGTGGAAGGGACCATGCTGACCTCCTCCATCAGAGGGCTCTTCCAGTAGTATTCTCGGATGCAACCTCCATTTCTCAGTTACCATTATTTCCTGTATCAGCTTTGTCCTTCCTGGAGGGATGCACAGTGATCCGGCCCACCACTGTTGTTGTCTTGTGCTTCTGCTCTTTCCTATGGTTTCAGGTTATTTTCTGGGTTTCCCCTATTCTTCTTTTATTTCTTTTTTTTTTTATATTTGCTTTCCTTTCTACTGCTTTTAGATTTGCAGGAGATGCAAGTTTCAGCTCAATGTTTGGCTTCTCTCAATATGGAAATTTCAGAAGGACAGAGGAGAGGAGGGAGGAAGAAGAAAGTATACTCCTCCAGAATTTCAGTGATCTGTTGTGGCAGTCCAGTGGAAGGAAGGTCTTTTGAGGTCACTTAGAAGCATCTTTTTGGGACATCCTTTTGGGATCTCTGTAGGCTAGGCATCTCATATCTTGAGACTCACCCCCAGCCTCCAAGCCTCTCTCCATTTCTCTAACCTATGCATTTTAGAGCGAGAGGACCGCCTCACTAGTGTCACCATCCTGCCTTTTCTAAAACATGCAGGCTCACACATTCTACTCCTGCTTAATGTCTGTGTTAAACGTTTTCTAACCATTTTTGTTTTATTTTTCTGAAAAAGTTAACCCCTCCCAACTCCTCACACATTGGCTCTTCCTCTTGAGCCACAAAGTTTTGATTCTTGCGATGTATGTGCCTTATTTTATGTTAATCTTGTCAATGAGAGGGACCAGTTGGTGTTGCCCAATCAGCACTCCAAGGCTGTGTGTGCACCAGCCAGAGAGCGCACGGTGGTAGCAGAGTCGAGGCTGTCTTGTATCCTGGTTTCATGTGTTGTTTTGAACTGATAGGAGGATGTTCTCTTCTGACAAGTTACCCTTGTGTATCCTGCAGACATGTAAAATAAAATACAAGTTCATTTTTTTCACCTTTTTTAGATTTTTTTAAAAAATAAAATGTGTAATCCTTTTTTTAAAAGAAACACATGTAAATACATTTAAGTATTGTAGGCATAGCGTTCAGATGTGACTGGCCCAGGCGTTCCTCGGACAAGCCTGCATTCCCCGTGATCACGCCCACCTCAAGCCCAGGGGCTGCAGCCCAGCCACAGATGAACTCTACCTTTGCTTTCAGAACCACTTAGTCCTTTTGTAACAAAGAAAAAAAAATGTTTCTTACAATGTCAATAAAAAATTCTTTGTATGGAAATTTTTATTGGGTTGTTTATTAAATGCATAGTTGAATGGAAAGATTGCTTTCTTTGAAAACATCCAGAGCCTGTAGCTGGATCCAGACCCCTCACGTAGAAGATGAATGGACTTTTGCTGTGAGATCCAGATTCCTTAGCCCTAAACTGGAGAATAAGATGCAAATACATACATGCTCATGGTGTTTTGAGGATGTGTACCCGGGGGGCACACCAGTTGCAACAATTATTGTGTTTCTTTATATTATTGCTTTCTAAATTCAGTGAGGAAGGATGGTGATGGGGTTTAACGTCTAACAACTTAATTTGTCCCTCTTTTGTATGTTATCCTCTCATTTCAGAGATGCCCTACCACATGTCAACAGAAAATCTGACACGATAGAAGCCTACTTTATGTGGCTTTTAGTAACTGACCTCAGCCAGAATAAATTGTCTCCCATGTTTTTCTTGTGTCAGTGTGCAATATTATTCTCCAGATTACCGTAAGCCACTCCAAAAGCCTTCCCTTCCTCTTTCTAAGTAGTAGTACATGTCTTTTGAGCCATCAGCTGAGGATAATTGTTTCTGGGAAGGGCAGGAGTCCTGGCTGTGGGTATCTCAAGGCTACAAGGATGGACACATGCATGTATACACACACAGGTACAACAGCATGTGTTCCCCAGGCCTTATATCCTGTGGGGGGTGTATGTTCCCTGTCCTCCAGCAGGGTTTCTTTGGCCATAGGGATGCTTCATGCTTTCCTGATTCTCGGGGAGAATTTCCCCCCATCCAATCCAAGATGCTTTGCTTTTGTAACTAGATCCCTTATATAAGGTATCCAAATGAATCCAGAAAAAAATAAGGAAAATATGAATTTATGCCCTGCCTCAGGTATAAACTGTCAGCTCACAAAGAGACATGCCATGTACCAAATCAAAATAAAAGAAATGAGAGAAATGAGGCTAAGAGAAAGGAAACTTAGGGAAGGGACACCCCCAGGAACGAGGTGGGTGATGTGCACTCCTTCAATCCACATGAGCTGGGGGTGGATGGGGCTCACAGCTTTGTTTGTAAAAATGCCTCTTGCACAGTAAATACAAAGGAAGCAGAGTTTGAGGTAAAAAGGTGGAGCTACAATCTGTTATTTCATAAAGATTTCCTTTAAGTAATTTTGGGAATGTAAAGACATTATATCTTACCCAAACAAGAATATAATAGAATGCTAAAATGAGAAGCAAAAATTTACCTACTGCCAAAATGTCTTATTTGTCCTTTTTTTTTCCCCCTCCCAGGTTTTCTACTTATTTTCTTGGCAGTCTTCCCTTTTGGTTTGACTTTAGAGTACATTTACTATTCCAAACATAATCTGAACACGTCTTTCCTTTCATATTAGCCTTTACTTTCTAAAATTTCATTTTACTAACATAGACCTTGTTCATGCCTTTTCTACCTAGTTATTCAAGCTCTTGACAATTTTCAAAACAGTAATAGAGTCTAAATTGTTTTTAGGCTTTTTTTTCTTTGCATACATTTTGTGGCCAGCACTCACCCAGCAGAGCCATGGAAATTCCATTCTACAACTTTTCTCACCCGTCCCCAAATCTCAAATGTCACACACTGCTTCCACCTTTCCTCAGCACCCAGTGGTAGGTTATCATGACCCCTGCCTTCAGAGACCTTGCACTGTCTGGGACATAGGGCAGTGATGACATGTTCCATTAATTCAACCTTGCTGCCTGAGTATCTAATATTCCATTCATATTCTCTTATAGGGACTGGAGATGAGGAGATGAATAAAACACAGTTCATATCCATGAGCTCCCAGCCCAGTGGGAGAGGCAGACAGGGAAACAGGATGCAATGGCAACTCATAATGGAAGATGTTCAAGGGGAAGTTCAGCTTGGGGCACTGTCCATCTGAAGTGCCTATCGTGGGGCTTCTTAGACATTCTACTACTGGCATTTGGGGCTGGATAATTCTTTGTTGTAGGGCACTGTCTTAAGTACTATAGAATGTTTAGTGGTGTCCCTGGCCGGTACCCACTAGATACCAGTAGCATTCCCCCACGTGGTGACAGCTAAAAACATCTGCAGACAACACGGGGCAGTGGGGAGACATCGCTGCAGACTGAGAACCCCTGGTTTATGGAATGAAAATACAAGTAGAGATATTCTGCAGGCAGGGGCCCAGAGAGAGATCCCAGTACACGCCCAGACTCAGCAGCCTTTAGTCTGCAGGTGACAGGTGAAGAAAGGGTAAGAGTGTCATTGCCAGGCACAGGGGTAGCAGGAGTAGAGGACTGAGGAAGAAATCTTGAGGATCACTGGCCCCAGGGACCAAGAGACAAGAAGGCCTGCATAAGAAAGGGAGGAGGGGAGGGGAGGGGAAGGGAAGGGAGGGTGGGAGAGGCAGCAGAGAGGGTGTGCTCTAGAAACACGGAGGCCGATTCTAGAAGGCTAATACTATCAAAAACAACATCCAGATCAAGTAAAACATGGACAGGAAAAGACAGGTTTTAAGAGTTAGGAGACCCTGGATGACCGCAGGGAAGTATTTTTCAGTGGCGTGGTTGGGAAGAGAAACTAGAACACAACAGATGAGAATTAAGTGGCACATGAGAAAAGGGGAATGCAGTGGCCTCTTTTAAGCCACATACTGCATTTCACCCCCTCTGAGACGCCTTCCACAGTAAGACACATGGTACTCCATGTTCCCACTAAGAAAGAACACGCACTGTCCATTAAACTATGACATGGTGCTTTTCATCCTCTAACAGGCAAGCTCCAATTTTAGTAGTTACCAAATTGGAAAAAAAAAATGCATACCTTGGAGAGTATGAAAGACATTATTTCCCAAGGAAAGGAAAGAGATAGTGGATCAAGAAGGGGTGGAGAGTAGGAAAGGTTGAACTTTTCTTGTAACTGTTCCTCTTTCTTCCTCTCTCTCTCCTCCTCCATGCAAGAGGCTTGGCTGTGCTACTTGGCCAATAGGAAAGAGGCAGCAGCATGGACAAGGTAGATGTTCTAGTGAACAGAGCCGGCATGGCAACTCCCTTGACCCATGAGATAGATACCTGTCCTGAGTGATGAGGCAAAGGGTAAGGACCAGGGGAAGCTCCGATTGATGTGCTGGAATGGCCATAGGTCAAGCAACCCAGAGAATGCAAAGGTGACTTAGACCTGTGAAGACAAGACCATCTGGCAATGTGTCAGGAAGGCCGCTGAGCCTGACCTGGGCCTCTGAACTGAATGGGGAGTGAAGAAGCGGTTGGAAGGTAGAGCAGGAAGCATGAAGTACCCCGTGAATCAGCCCGAGGATCATGCTTCACTGCCCACTGCTGAGTTCCTCCAGGACCTGGGTTGAATAGACTGGGGGCAAGCCTCAGGGGTGGTGGGGGGAGATTATTTTGATCTTTTCAGGAAAAATAATTCTGTAAAACACCCTTTGGCAATGACAGGAGTGGCATGCAAGGAGGGTGCTGGAGAAGGACTGGAGGTGGTTGGGGTGCCCTCGGACTCTCATGGGGCCCACAGCTGCCCTGCTGCTGGGTTCCTCAAGCGGCCAGACCCCCCTCCCATTCTGCAAGTTCCTCCTCCCTCCCTGCAGGAAGAAAGCAGGAGAGTGGGCAAGGGAGGGGCTGCAGAGGTCAGGAATGATGCACTCTTCCCTCAGCTTCCTCCCAGCCCCCAGGAGGCCGGTTCCAGCCTGACCCCTGCAAAGGAAGACCGTGACCACAGAGGTGGGATGCTGGGGAGAACTGGGGCCAAGAAGCAGGACTTGCCATCACCAGCTCTTCACCAAGTAAGGAGGGAACTGTATGTGGAATTCCCCGTGAGCAGGGCATGGACCTAGTTTTTTTCCTTTCACTCTACAGGAATATTGTAATGAAGTACCAGGTTAATTTCCTCACAGGTACCTCGACTTCCCACCCTGCCGCGGCTCTGTGGGGCTCAGCTCACACTTCCCTCTTGCTCCTGGTTTCCCTTCTCCTACTTGAGACTTCCCAGCCTGTGGCTGAGAAGTGGCCTGGCAAGTCTGCTAACCCGACTAGAAGGAGCACTGCAGTGCCGAAGAGCTGGCCAGCCTCACCCTGGGGCCCTCCGTTTGGAACCGAGGCTTGCTGTTAACTTCAGGAAGCATTTAGCATGCCTGGATAGGAGAATGTGCATGGATGGATTGGCTTTGCTCTCTTCCTGCGCCGCTTCGGCCTTTGTCCTCCTACCCCATCTAAAGAAAGACCCTCTAGTCACTCCAATTGGAAGAAGCTAAAACCTGATCACATCCCTACCTTTGAAAAAGATCCAGTTTTAGAATGCATGCTTCTACGCCAGCGGTAGAAGGGACATCTCAGCAGTTACCTCCCTTCTGTATGCCTGTTCCTGAACTATTGAAATAAAAACTCCAAATACGCATTTGGTCATACGTGGGACATGGTGCAACCGTCCTGGGGCTCTGCTCATGCCCTGACTGATGGCTGGAGAGCATATGCAAGGTTTACCTTATCTGAGGTCATCATGGAGCAGATACAGGAAGAGGACTAAGCACTCTTCTCCTACTTTGCTTCCCTACACGCAAAAACCTCTGCTCCTGGAAGGGTCCCTAAGAAAAGATGGGGAAAGAAAAAGCGCTCGCCCCCTCCCTGTGAACAGCCCAACCCACTTTGAATCCTGCAGTGCCTCCAGATGAGTGTTCTTCCCCTGCAGCTGGAAAGCCTCCTGTGCTCAGAAATTCCAGGGTCCCGACATGATCCATGCTCAGAAGTTGGGCTGCAGCTCCTCGGAGCTGGCAGGCACAAGCCTCCAGCCCTTCAGGGCTTGCAAGAGCCAAACGCGCTGCGGAGGTGTGATTCACTGAGTTCCCAGAGGAAAGGGAGGCAGCCAGCTGGCAGGGGATTACTGAACAGCCAGGCCAAGGCATTCCGTTGCTGTTTGGAGACAAGCAGCCAGCTACCTCCCTTCTCTTCCTCCCCCGCTGAGGCGCAGAGCTGGAGACAGGCCAGGGCCCTGGGGGAAGAAGAAAAGGAACTGAGCTGCCTCACTTACTACCAAGATAAGAAGGCTGTGGCTGCTATCCCCAGTGAGCCAAGACAAGAAATGCTTACATTTTCATTTGAAGATGATTCTGACGCCCCCAAATATTTATCCAAAATATACCTAGATGCATTGCCCAGAGAGAATTTTTTATTAAGCGGCAAACTGGGTAGGCAAGAAAAATTGTATTGGCTGAAGAACAAACAAAAAAGCCCAGTGTGTATGTCATAGCTCAAGGATTGGCTATATTCTCCTAAATAAGAGACTTCTTTCTCTCATGCCTTGGATATCTCAGGCTCTCTGGGGTGACTGTAAGTTACAGATTTATTGCTCAGCCATTCTTAGCCCTGATGCTCTTCAGAAACTCACTGCTTTATGAACCCAGGTCCCCGAGACACCTTCCATTTGATCCACATCTGTCCAAAGATGAAGTCATGAAATATGATAAGTATTTCTTCTGAAGTTCATGCAAAGAACAAAAACCAAAGATACAATCCAAGCTCCTTCCCCTTTGAGCTTAGATAAATGTGTCTTTTGAATTGAGATAATAGCCCAGACCCTTTCTCACCCACCTCTGCCTCATCTACAGGACAGTAACAACACTCTCTCAGAGCCTTCAAGGCAAAGGGGAGAAGAACATTCTGCTGACCTGCAAGACCGAAGGTCAAGGAACAGACTTTCCTTGGATTCCCTTGACCCAGAGTTTCTTCACTAGCTCTGCAGTTTTAGACAAGGTAATATGATTTCCCACTGTTCCAGCTGAACACCCGGCAGCTTCCAACAGGGTGATGATTCCAACTTTTTTGAAATGCATTCTGAGGCTATCCTAAATCAAGTAGATTTAACACTGAGCCAAAAGGAAGGCTTTGGAAAACAAGTTGATTTTAATCCAGCCTTACCAGCCCTGTGTACTAGAATTTTAGCTTCATTCAGTCACAGGGTTTCCACTCCTGAGAAGGAGTACAAAAAGGGTAAAGAAAAGGTGGTGCTCTGACACCAACCCAACTGGCTGGATTCAATTCTGCAATTCAGTTCTGGCATCAACTATGTGGAGGCTGGTGTCAGCGTAGACCCCATGAATTAAGAGCTCAGTCCTCCACAAGACAGTCCCGACTTCAGATGCCAGCCAGAAGTTGAGGGGGTTCCCAGGGCCGTTCATACTTCTGACCAACTGGCTACAAATTCAGAGGTTTCCCTAACCCCCTCAGGTTGATAATTCTTTGGAACCATTCACAGAATTCAGAAAAGCACCACCCTTGTTATTAAACTTTTATTATAAAGACTACAACTCAGGGACAGCCAAATGGGGAGATGCATAGGGTGAGGTCTGGGAGGGCCTTGAACCCAGAGCTTCCGTGCCCTCTCCTTATGGAGCCAGGGTCTTTCTCCCTGTGGGCAGATCAATATCTTCATCAACCAGGACACTCCACTGACTCTCGGGGTCCAGAGGTTTTACTGGGGCTGAATTATGTTGGCATAATTAATTAAATCATTGGCCACACGATTAAATTCCATCTCCAGCCCCCTTCCCCTCTCCAGGAGTCAGGCTTGGCCCACTGTCCCAGCCCTTCAATCGTATGGTTGGTCTTTCTTGTGACCAACCCCATCTTGAAGCCATCTAGAAGCCACCATGAGTTACCTCATTAGAAAAAACTCAGGTGCGATCCAAGGGTCTCATAATAACAAAGACACTCCTATCACTGGAGAAATTCCAAGGGTTTTAGCATCTCCCTACCAGGAACCAGGGAAAAAGGCCTCAGTCAAATTTCTTCTTATACAACAGTGGCATCTCCTTGGAAATAAACCAGTCTAGGACTAAGAAAGAAAAAGAGATGAGAGTAAGACATGCCTAGAGCTGTGGAGTCCCAGGTTACTGGAGAAGAGCTGACCTGGGCTGACATTTGGACAGAGCCCCAGCACTTTCTCCAATAACTAGATGTTCAATGTATTCATTCCTTGTAGCTTCAAAGTTCTCATCTGGAAAAGAGGACTTGAGATTGTCGATATAAAATGCCGAGCATATTCAGCACCCAGTAAGTGTTCAGTGAAAGTTTGTGTTGTTGTTCGTTCTTTTCCCTCACCCTGACAGGGACTGCACAGGACTGAATTGCAGGAAAGAAGGCCCACAATATGCAGGAAGAGGGACAGCTCCTGGGAGCCAGAAGCCCTCGCAAAGGGGTGCATTGAGGCCTATACTCTCCAGCCCATCCACCTGCTGTTAGTTCTGAAACCAAAGGCAGACAGATTTGTGCACTGTGTGTTAGGATGTGAGAACAGAACACTATGAACGTATCTTCATTCATCCAACCTTGTAGCAATCAAAAGTCCAAAGAAGCAAGCACTGGACATGGTATTTTACTCCAATGTCCAATGTATAATCGGCTCCTGACAGGAATTCTAGAATTTATATTTAATACCAAATTAACAAAAAAGGACAACCATTTTTAAAAGATATTTTGTTATCATACCTATATGTGATATAAAAATTAAAAAATAGGCCAGGTGCGGTGGCTCAAGCCTGTAATTCCTGAACTTTGGGAGGCTGAGGTGGGCAGATCATGAGGTCAGGAGTTCAAGACCAGCCTGGCCAGCATAGTGAAACCCCATCTCTACTAAAAAAATACAAAAATTAGCTGGGCGTGGTGGCCGGCACCTGTAGTCCCAGCTACTTGGGAGGCTGAGGCAGAAAAATCTCTTGAACCCGGGAGTCAGAGGTTGCGGCAAGCCGAGATTGCGCCAATGCACTCCAGACTGGGTGACACAGCGAGACTCTGTCTCAAAAAAAAATTAAAAAAAAAAAAAGAATAAAAGCCAACTGTCATTTGCCCATTCAAAAATACCATTTTGTGATCTAGTTCTAAGTCTGTTTTTTTATATATATCTATGTGTGTATATAGCTATAATACAAATTGAGCACCTCAATTTGAAAATCCCAAATTTGAAATGCTCCAAAATCTGAAACTTTTTGACTGCCAACCTGACACCAGAAGTGGAAAATTCTATACCTGACCTCATGTGATGGGCACACAAAACTATTAAAAATATCTTATAAAATTACCTTCAAACTATATGTATAAGGTATATATGAAACATAAATGAATTTTGTCTTTAGACTTGAGTCCCATTCCCAAGATGTCTCAGTATGGATATGCAAATATTTCAAAATCCAGAAAAATCTGAAATTTGAAACACTTCTGGTCCCAAATATTTTGGATAAGGAATACTTGCCCTGGATATGCGTGTGTGTGTGTGTGTGTGTGTGTGTGTGTGTGTCTACACTCAACAAATATATTTGCACAATCCAGACCCACTCTGAAACCTCACCAGACTGTAAGATTCACACCTCTTTTCACTGCAGTAAGACTTGAGGTCAAAGGCAATCCATATTTCACCACATAGAACCCTGTAGCAAATTTGTCTTCAATTATTTTATTGGCATGGTTTTGAAAATGGGTAATCATTTATTTTTTTTAATTAAAAAAGAAACTTTTTTAGGATAGGGTCTTGCTATGTTGCCCAGGCTAGTCTCCAACTCCTGGCCTCTAGTGACCCTCCCACCTTAGCCTCCTGAGTTGCCAGGATTACCCGCACTTGCCACCGTGCACAGCCTCAGGGGTGATATTTCTGAACAATTATTTTATCACAAAATTTATTGTTTAGATGCTTCAAGTATTTTGAATTTAAGATAAATTATCTTCCACAGCATTCAAGAATGTGACCCAGTGATAAGTCTGGTGAGGAGAAACATATAGTTCTGTGCAAAGACAGACACTCAATATTTTGCTATGTTTACTATGTTTGCTATGTTTGCTATGTCTTTTTTTAACGCATTTTTTTTTCAGAAAAATGCCTATTCATTTACTTATTATAGAATGAATACGCCAGGCATGGTAGCTCACGCCTGTAATCCCAGCACTTTGGGAGGCCGAGATGGGAGGATCACGAGGTCAGGAGATCCAGACCATCCTGGCTAACATGGTGAAACCCCGTCTCTACTAAACAAAATACAAAAAAATTAGCCAGGCGTGGTGGCGGGCACCTGTAGTCCCAGCTACTCAGGAGGCTGAGGCAGGAGAATGGCATGAACCCAGGAGGTGGAGCTTGCAGTGAGCCGAGATCGCACCACTGCACTCCAGCCTGGGTGACAGAGTGAGACTCTGTCTCAAAAAAAAAAAAAAAAAAAGAATGACTACATACTCTTTGTGGAAAATAGAGTAAGGCATCAAAAAAAATAAAAGCCACCTGTCATTCAATTACCCAGAAATAATATTTTGTGATCTAGTTCTGGGTCTGTTTTATAACATAATACATTTGCTAATGAATATTTTTTCCATGTCATTCATTAAAAATCCTTCAGAAACTTTTCAGTGGCTGAGGGAAAGGGAGGACCAGTGGTGGGGAATCAGGAGATTGAACTGCTTTTCCCACCTCATAGCTGCAAAGCTGGCTAGGTTCTGTTTTCTCTTTCCTTATGAAGGGATCAAAAACTCAACAACAGACACAGAAAGAAATCTTATCTGAACTTACCTTATCTGATTTAAGCAGAGCTTTAAGAGACTCAGCTGCCACCACAATCCCCCATACAAATCTGCAGAGGTCAGGATGGTGACTGACTTAGGCACCATGACATTCCAAAAAGGAAATTGTGTTAAGCCTCATCAGAACCTTCCTGCCTTTAAAGCTCTAAACTCTCCCTTTTGCTAAGCTGCTGCATAAACCTGTACCTCTGGCTAGACAGTGAGTTACTCTTTACAGGGTGCTCCTGCATGCAGGTAATCAGCCTTGTCTTTTCTCCTGTTTCTATATCTATTGCCAGTTAATTCGCAGGCTTCCAATCATTTAAACCTAATATGGTAGAGGAAAAGTTTTCTTCCTGACAGTTCTGACAATGAAGGTGATGTGGCTGGGACTCCTCGCTCTATGACCAAGTCGGATGAAAGATGCTTTCTCACCAGTCAGAACCTAAGATTTCTGTTCAGGGTCCAGCCCAGCAAGGGTAGTATGAGTCTCTCCCTGTCTTTTTCAAAATTTAGATTTACAGGAGAATGCTTTTGGTTAGAACTAGGTCTTTGGCTGTTGAGACCCCTGTTATAGATAGCAATGGTGTCTCTGCTCTGTTTTGTGTTGTGCTGTTTAAAAGTACTGTTTGTTATAAGAAAGTGAATGATAGGGCAGAACCCAAGTATTGCTCCTATAAGCCAATATTGCTTATAAATATTGCTTTTAAATATTGTAATATTTTAAAGTATTATTTGTTATAAGAAAGTGAATGATAGGGCAGAACCCAGGTACTGGTCCTATAAGCCAGTATTGCTCACTGATAGTGTCCTGAGAGCTTGGCTTTAGAAATCAGAGAGGGCATTCTCTCTGGTTTTCCACCTGTCAATGTTGTCAATTGCCAGATCTGTGTCTGGAGGTAGTGTCTAGAGGTCAAGTAGGGAACCTGAGACACAGGGCACATTACACTCCTACCCACCATTGCCACCTCTCAGGGGATGTCCGAATCTAAGCCCTTTCCTTGACCATTGCCTTCGATGCCTGTGACAACTTGGTTTCCTTCTTTCTGTTATCTTTGGGCATGACTTTGGATTACGAGGGCTGCATTTTCTGTGCCCCCTTTGGAGATGCCTCTTGTGTCTGTGGTTAAGTCATAAAAAGGCTTATTCATTTGAGTCACTTTTGAGACTGAGTATATTCTCTGAGGCTGGATTAGAGCACAGTATATTCTCTGAGGCTGGATTGTTTGAGAGGTACCTCTCGGGCTGGAAGCTCCTCCTAGCTTTTGTTTCAAGGCCTTGCTAATCTCCTTACTTGATCTTACTGCTTCCATGGAAACTTCTTAGTCGACTGGAACCCCGTTCTCAAGCCCCTGCTGCTGCTCCACTGCTACCCACTTCCTTTATGGTCGGCGTCATTGCACTAAGGATAATTTAAAATGTCAGTGGCTTCTTTGAGAAAACTTAAGATCTTCCAAGTTGACTTTTCTAAGACTTTTACATTCCATTCCAGCACTTCAACTCCCTGTAGTCACTGGGAATTTAGACCCCCTTCTCCCCTGATTTAGGAGCTCTTGAAAGATTCAGGGACCCCTAAAAGCAAGCACCTGAGGCTTAAAACACTAATCTGAGGCAGATTCAAATTTTATTTACTCAGATGGGCTTTGGAGACATACAGATGTATCCTCAGTCCCTCACCTAAAACTCAGTCCACAGCCCCCACCTAAAACTTAGTCCACAGCCCCCATAGGATTACTCAGCAGGGCAAAGAAAACTTTAAAATTTTAAAATATTTCCTCTTCAAATTTAAAATTTAAATTAAAAATTAAAAATTTTAAATTTTAAAATATTTCCTCTGCAAATATTGGTGGGAAGTTTTAACCCTCATATTAAGCAGGTAGCTCCAATTTGTTCTGTCTTCTAGAAATACAATTTGGATTAAACTATACAGTGGGGCAAAGACAAGAAACGACCCTTACATAAATTGGGAAGTTGTGCATTCCTCCGTTTATTTCTGACTGGTAGCTAAAATTTTTGAATGAAAGCCATAACATTTCTATTTGTGTCTGTCTATATGTTTGTGTATGCATGTGAGGTGCGGGGGGCCCTTCGTATCAGTGGGTTCCACATCCATGGATTCAAGCCACTACAAATCAGAAGTACATGAAAAAATAAAAATAACAAAACAATAAAAAAATACAAATACAATATAGTTTAACATCTATTTGCATAGCATTTACATTGTATTAGGTATTCTAAGTAATCTCTAGATGATTTAAAGTGTAAGGAGTATGTGCATAGTTATATGCAAATACTATGCCATTTTATATCAAGGACTTCAGCATCTGTGGATTTTGGTATCTGTCGGGGGTCCTGGACTAACCCCTAGGGATACTGAGAGATGACTATATATGTGATATTTTCCCACCTCCGAATGGTATTACTAAATTAATTTATAAAATTCCTTAAAGGAGCTCTATTCTAATAGGCTTAGATAGAAATAAGTAAGCACTTATATAAATTAAATATTCCTAAAACTTTCAGAAGTACAGGAGCTAATCCAGTGTTTTTCACTATCACATGATTTGGTCAATCTGGTACATAAGATGAGTTTGGTGTCATTAGTTTAATAAAAAACAGTCATGTCTTCTGAGCTCTCAGCATTAAGCATAATAAAAGCATGCATTTGTTTTCTGCTTGGGTTTGCTAGTCAGGATATGCTAAAGGTGGAGTCAGATGAGCACAGGCTTCAGAACTGAGTCCAGGTTACACTCTCCAGGCCACAGTCAGTTCCTGAGCTCCACAGGGGACAGACAGAGATGCATTTAGGTGGTAAATGAACTTTGCACCTTAGGCTTGTTGTGAGGCCAAGATGAATGATCCATGCAGAGCACTTAGCTCAGATCCTAGAGCCTGCAAGTATTTATGAAATGTTAACTAATGTCACTGTGTACTTGCTGTATAGCCCTGGACAAGCCACTTTATCCTTCTGAACCTTAGCTTACTCTTGCAGGCCATGTGTGGATACGTGAAAACATATTAGGTTGGCGTAAAAGTAATTGCACAATTAATTTTGTGCCAACCTAATAGTAAAATGTAAGAGGCCATGTAAGAGTCAGTTGCACATAGTGTCAGTGGCTGGGCAGGAGGACGCAATGTTGGCAAAAGAACCCGAGATCTTAGTGGTTAGAAACAAAACCCGTGGCTGGGTGCGGTGGCTCATGCCTGTAATCCCAGCACTTTGGGAGGCCAAGGCTGGCAGATCACCTGAGGTCAGGAGTTCGAGACCAGCCTGGCCAACATGGTGAAACCCCCATCTCTACTAAAAATACAAAAATATTAGCTGGGGGGTAGTGGTGCACCCCTGTAACACCAGCTACTCGGGAGGCTGAGGCAGAAGAATCACCAGAACCCAGGAGGCGGAGGTTGCAGTGAGCTGAGATCATCGCCATTGGACTCCAGCCTGGGCTACAGAGCAAGACGCCATCTTAAGAAAAAAAAAAAAAAGAATAAAACCCTTATCTCTCACTCCTGCTGTCCACCCATCATAGGTAAAGGAAGAACTCTGCCCATCACTGCCAGGCAGGCCCAGGCTGACCAGGCTCCAGCCACACTTGGTTTCATAGCCACAGTGGCAGGAAGAGGGAAGAGAGTGAGTGTCTGTACCATAACAAAACTAGTAGGGGCAGAGTATCCAACTGTCATCATTATTACTCCTGAGGTCAGCTCACGAGGTAGCTTGAAAGTCATCTGCTCTGAAGAGAGAGACTTTCTGTTTATTTGTTTTCCTTTTCTGGCTCCAGCAGGTCTGTACCGGGGTTTTGACTGTGGTAGGAGGGCAGGGTATGTGAGGACCAGGCAGCTGACAGTCTGGGGCTGGGGATACTCTGGCGCAAGGGTCTCCAGAAATGTATGCCACCTTGGACAGGTTATTTGAGTAATACTTGGACACCCGGCAACATCACCCTCTGATGGTAGCTCTGAGCCTCACTGCAGATGATCAGAAGGGGAGTTTGAGGGGAGGGAGGAGCCCTGTGGGGTATGGAATATTGGCACACAAGCATTGACACAGGGTCTTTTTTATAATGGAGACATTTTGAGATGGCCTAAAACCACAGTCGAATGGAAACATGACCCGCTAATGGGTCCGTAGATATCCTTGCCCCTCCATGCCTTCCCCAGATTCCACTCTGCATCCCATGGCTCACTGTCCTCTTTCACAGTCACCAGCCCCTCACCCTGACCCTCACCCCAACCCTTCCATGTCTCCCATGCCACCCTAGTGCTTTCTTTACTTGGTATCACACAGAGTTCCTACATGTTGACATTACTATGTCTAACAGCTGCCTCAAAGTGGTCCACATGGGGTCCACATGTTGAAACCACAGGGTCAGCTGGTCTGGTGCAGAGGCCTCAGGACTTCCAGAATTATCAAATCTGTAAGTCAAAAACTAGAACCCAAAAACACGATTGTGAAAACTTTGCTTGTTTGCTCAACCTGGGACTGATTTCCAGAAGATTCGGAGCTGCCCATGGGAATCTTGTGCGGGTAATCAAACCAGGGAGGTATGATTACCTACTGCCTCTGCCTTTCCTGTATTCTAGATTCTCTAGAAGAGATCTACTCCAAATCTTGTAAAACCAAAAGGGTCTCTACACTTCTTAGGAGTGGGTGGATGAGACAGTGAGAAGAACATGAGCTAGAAAGCCTGTGTGTATCCTGAAGTTCCATTTGGAAGGACAGAAATGCTAAGAAAGGGTGTGATGGTTGGTTGTTATTTTGAAAAGTCAGTTTGACAGATATTTACTGAATACTTATCACCAGTGGATAAAAAGGATGAAGGATAACTCTTCTCTTAAGGACCTCACAGTCCAGAAAGAAAAAGAGAAAAATGCAACATTGGAGGGGAGGATGGGAAGTATTGTGAGAGCAGAAGGCATGGGCTTGGAGGAGGAGACCTTCCCAACTGAAGCCTGTGGGGGTTCCTGGAAGATCTTCCTAGGATGTGGGTCCTGAGCTCATGCTGAAGGGCCATTCGCCAGGTGAGGCTTTAGAGGAAAGGGTTTCACGGTTTCCCAGGTGATGCAGGAGGCCCAGAACCTGTGGTTTACAGGGGAAAGGCTTGGGCTTGCACTCCCCTCGCAAGCCCCATTATAGCTCTAAGTGGGAATTGGGTGGCTGGAGGTGACCCAATCCACCCAGAGAGTGGGGCTCCCATGAATCAACTGGAGGGATGTGCAAGGGACTTCTATTGATGGCAGAAGCATCACCAGTGCCATTTACTTCTGTTTTTCTTCATGCAGAACAATGGCAGGGAAGGATTCTCCCTTCTCTCAAAGACCTACTTGGGATGGCAGGACACAGTGTGAGGCTGCGGACAAGATCACCAGTGTCCAGCACTTTCTCATCACAGCATGTTGGGGGTCTCTGGCTGCAGAGAGCTTGACGTCATAGTTAGGACATTTTTTGGTGGCAAGGAACAGAGGCCAATTCAAGGTAGCCAGGTGAGTGATGGTGCTGTAGGGAGATCTCCTTTGGGGAGAGCAGAACTGAGAGCTTACATTGTTACTGGGAGCCCTGGGAGCAACCTCTTCACATCTTTACATTCTGATTTCTCCATCCTCTCTTCACGCATCCCACCCAGCACACTTATTCTGCCTGGCTGGTGGGAAATGGTGGCCCACAGTGCCCAGGTTCTTCGTTCAGATTTACAGTCACCTACAGAGACTGGTTCTTCCTCACTCCCACCTCCAAAGTCCTGGGGTCTAGGAATGACTCTGTCAGGGTTAGATGTGACCAGCATCCCAGCCAGAAGTGTGGGGTTGAATCGTGCAATTGAGGGTTGCAGGTAAGTCCTGTGCATAAGGTGGGGTGGCGGGTGTCAGATTGGGGGTCACTGTGAACCAGTACACACCCTGAAATCAGGCTGCAAGCTCGGAAGGAAAATGGGGTCTGCAGAAGGAGAGTGTTCTCTGGAAATGAGAGTTGGGGCTTCTTGGGCCCCCTTGTGGGTCACAGCTATGGGATTTAACCTCATGTGGGATACATTGTCAAAGAAAGGGCCCTAGCTAATATTTCTTGGTAAGTTTTCATCCTTCAATTCTCTGCAGTTTAATACCTCCAAACACATATTTCTGAGTTACAGTGTTTATTTAGAAACCTCACAGAGCCTTTGGGAGGCCGAGGCGTGTGGATCATGAGGTCAGGAGATGGAGACCCTCCTGGCCAACACAGTGAAATGCCGTCTCTACTAAAAATACAAAAAATTAGCAGGGCGTGGTGGCAGGCGCCTGTAGTCCCAGCTACTCAGGAGGCTGAGGCAGGAGAATGGCGTGAACCCAGGAGGCAGAGTTTGCAGTGAGCTGAGATCTTGCCACTGCACTCCAGCCTGAGTGACAGAGTGAGACTCCATCTCAGAAAAAAAAAAAAAAAGAAAAGAAAAAGAAAAGAAACCGCAGAGCCATCCGGGTACGGCTGCATGTATTTGCATTTACAGTGACTGATGCTGAGTTCCTGGCTATAGGAGTATTCCATTTTATGGAATACTTCTGGATACTGCACTCACAGACTCAACTGTAAACTGAACACATTTATATTATATCTCTAATCTCTATTCTCATAATAGTCTTACTAGTATTACCACCACTTTAAAAATGGAGAGAGAGAGAAAGAGAAAGTGTGTGTGTTACCTTTCTGAAATCACTCAGCTAGCAAGTGCAAGAACAGGGATCCCAACCCTCACCACTTCTCCACATTCCTTGTTTTGCGAATCAAGATGTGTGACCCTGTTTGGGGTTAGGCACAGTGGCTCAAGCCTCTAATCCCAGCACTTTGGGATGCCGAGGAGGGTGGATCACCTGAGCTCAGGAGTTTGAAACCAGCCTGGCCAACATGGTAAAACCCCATCTGTACTAAAAATACAAACATTGGCTGAGAGTGGTTGTGCACACCTGTAAATCTGAGCACTTTGAGAGGCTGAGATAGGAAGATCACATGAGGTTAGGAGTACGAGACCAGCCTAGCCAACATGGTGAAACTGCGTCTCTACTAAAAATATAAAAATTAGCCGGGCGTGGTGGTGCACCTGTAATCTCAACTACTCAGGAGGCTGAGGCAGGAGAATCGCTTGGACCCGGGAGGCAGAGGTTGCAGTGAGCTGAGATTGTGCCACTGAACTCCAGCCTGAGTGACGGAGTGAGACTATGTTTCAAAAAAAAAGATGTTATGACATTGTTTGGGTCATAATCAGTCACAGAGAAACATAGTGGCAAAATCCCAGTCTCTGAGTTCCAAGGCAGAGAATATGTGAGTTTACTCAGAGATGACAATTTAAGATTGCCTCTTCCTTAGCTCTGGGACCTCAGGCAAGTTTATGTATCTGTGCCTCAGTGTCCTCATCTGTCCAGATGACTGAATCATTGTGAGCAGGAGATGAGTTAAGTCTTGCAGTGTTTGCAGGCACCAGGGAAGTGGCACAGGTTATAATTAACAGTTCAGACATCAGGGAAGGGTTCCAAGAACATGAGTTAAACACTGACTAAGGAGGGGCCCTTTCAGAAGAGGAAGAGGTGGAGAGGAAGGTACAAGAGACAGTATGAGGTGGGAGAGTGGACCTCTGTAGATGAGGGTCAGGAAGGAGGTTGACAGGATGTACATAAGGCACTGGCAGGAGTGAAAACTCGGGGTGAAGGTGCATAGGCCCCAAACACCCCATGAAGGAGTCTGGGCTTTGCCCTGGAGGACCAGAGCTGGAGGGGACACACCAGGGGGGCCAGTGGGTGTGCTTTTTGGAGAAAATTTTAGAAGAAGAGGGAGGAGGCCAGAAGTCAACGATGCCTGGTCTAGAAGTCATAGCTTCTGTGAACGAGGAAGTCTCATAGGCAAAAGAACAGGCCTGGTCTTATGGGGTTCTGGGTCCAAAGGCCAGACCTGTTGCAAAGTGTCAGCAAGAGAAAAATTCCTGGCCCTCTCCTGCCAGCTCTAGCTCCCCCTGTCAATGAGAGAAAGGACAGGCCTATTCCAGAACACTCAGCCATCAGGCACAATCTCCAAGACTTGACTGTCCACTGCCCTCCTTCCCTCCCTCCACACTCCCCTCACCACACTTGTGGAGGGCCTGGGGATTAATGCCCAGTTTGCAGGGCATTTAATAGTGGCTTCTCAGCGGGCGGAGCTGCAAACGCGTCCAACAGCCCCTTCAGCCCATGCTGCTGCTGCCACCGCGTGGTGCAGGCGGGGAATGACTGCGCACCGTCCCTGTTCAGCGGGAGCACCGGAGCCCATCTCCACCTCCGTTCTCTGCGCTGAAGAGGAAAGAACCACGCGGATTCAGCACGGGGAATGTTTCTTGTTTAGGAACTGTAATATAGGGATTGGACACTAGCTAAAAAAGAGCATCTTTGGAGATGGGGGTATTAAACAGTTCAAATATGCTTGGGATTCATCAATATGAGACTTGGAGAAACATCTCTGTGGCCACTGCTGTGGCTTTCTTGGATCTGAACCAGACACTGCCTTTGTTTTTTACTACATATAAGCCAGAGGGAGTCCTGGGCTGCCTGAGCTGGGGAGGCGGGTGCGGTGACAGCAGCGCCCCTGCAGACTGAGCCTGCGAGTCCCACGCGTGAAGCCCACGCGTGAAGCCCGCAGGGTGCGCCGGGTTGTGCGGGGCATGGCAGCTCCCAGCCCCTCCACACATCGGGTCGGCCACTTCCCTGCGGGGACAGAATCTAGCATTTTTTCAACTGTCCTAGTCTATGTATAATTCCGTTTGTCTTTTGAAAGCAGTTGTTTATTTTGAAAGGCACAAGCGGAATGCCTTACATCAGCGCCCCTTGACCCGGAGGTAGGAGGAGCGTGAGAGGAGCCACAGGGTGGACTTTAAACCACACCGATGTGCTTGAGTCACGGGTCCTCGGGTAGCAAGTGGCTCTGCACAAGTTGTTGAACTTTTGAATTTTTTTTTTTTGACAGAGTCTCACTTATGTCCCCCAGGCTGGTGTGCAATGGCACGATCTCCGCTCGCTGCAACCTCCGTCTCCCCGGCTCAAGCAATTCTCCTGCCTCAGCCTCCAGAGTAGCTGGGATTACAGGCGCCCCCCACCAAGCCCAGCTACTTTTTTGTAGTTTTAGTAGAGATGGGGTTTCACCATGTTGGCCAGGCTGGTCTCAAACTTCTGACCTCAAGTGATTCGCCTGCTTCAGGCTCCCAAAGTGCTAGGATTACCGGCGTGAGCCACCACGCCCGGCCAGTTGTTGAACTTTCTATGAGCCTCTGTTTCCTCATCTGTGGAATGTGTCCTAGTCTATGTAGTAGATTAGTCTCTCTTGTAGAGGAGTCTAAATCATCAAGGGCGGTGTGTTTGCCTTTCATTTTACCCCACTCCAGACCACTCAGCAGGGCCCCCTTCTCGTTACTCCCTTTAACTATTGCAGCGAGTTAGGCAGTGACCCTTATATTCATGTCCGGGCAATCACTTCAAACATGGATATAGATGAACTCTGTGCCAAAAGAAGCATGTAACTGATTGCCCCCCAAAAGGAGAGGGCCAGGGCTGGTCATAGCGATGACCATGTGCCCAGAGGTCTTAGCGTGTGCCCCAGAGGAGGCTCCAAAATGAGGAAATGAGGGATCTGAAGGGCGGAAGGGAAGAGAGGTTCAGGCAGGTGTCCAAGGCTATCTGCCTGGTCAGTGACAGAGCCTGGACTGTGTGAAGGCAGATCCCATGCGTCTACCACTCACTGGCTGCCTCCAGCGGAAAGCAGAGTGGGCCCTGGGGTCACACACTCAGCTGGGAGGGAGTCCTCTTCCACGGAGTCAGTGGGTGACAGGGAATAGCCAGAGGCAGGGAAAGGAGAAGAGAGTGAGCAGAACAAGGTCATGGCAAAGTCTGGGTGAGAGGGAGGCTCCCAGGTGCAGGGCATTGAGAAGGGAACCCACAAGGGGAGGGGCCGAGGGTGGGGAGCCGCGGCTGGGGCACACTGAGGGTGAGGAGAGCATCCCATCCATGTGAAAATACCCAGGAGCTTGGGGATTTTGAGCTCCTATGAGTGGGCGTCTCATACCCAGAGTTCATTGCTGATGCCTTGACTGATTTCTTAAAACAGAAAAGATTTACTTGTAGGTGAAAGGAAGGAGAAAGACAGAAAAGAAATGTAATAGAGTGTCCCAGACAGGACTCAGTGCCATCAGGGATAGGGGTCAGGCACCTCTTGCCCAGAGATGCTTAAGGAGCTATGGTTCTTTGATGCTCTACCATTCTAGGAGTAGTTCAGGCAGCAAGAGAAACATCTTCCTGCCGCTAAGAATTGCTCAGACTTCAGCTGTTGTGGGCACTTACATTACTTAAGTTCAGTTTTTGTCACTCAAGGAAAGTCTTGTTGACAGAGGTGACAGAGGCTCAGAGTTAGGACCCATGTAGCAGAGATCAGCTTTACTGGGAAAAACTGCTTTGAGGCTCTGTAGGGAGCGGAATGAGAAACGGCAGTCACACACTGCCCCCTGGTGTTCAAGAGCATTTACTGTACCTTGGCTGCTTCCAAAGAGACAGGCGGAGCTCAGGCTTAGTCACCTTACAAATGTCCTTCCTAGGTGTTTTGGGTCTTACACATGTTCTTTTCACCTGTCAGTAACGAGGACCAGCTTTAGTGTTTACCAATCTATTTGCGCACTTTTTGGCCATACAACCCCGTGCAGGAAAAATAATCACAGGGAAAGAGAAGTGGGCTCTCCTCCCTGCACCCTTCCCTGCTCCCACAGCAGCCCACCTGGGAGCTGGCATATGTGATGGTTGAAAAGCATACTGCTTTTTACGTGTCATTCCTCAATAAAGTGATTTTCAAAAACACACAAAAAAAGCGTGGACTTTGCAGACAGATCATATTCAAATCCTGGTGCCCTGTGACCCAGAGGGTGGATAAGTCACTTAATCTGTCTGCGTCCCAGAGCGCCATGTGCTAGGAAGTGAGAATTAAAATACAAATGGGTCTGATCTCCAGCAGCTCAGAGGTGGCTGGAGGACTTACAGAGAGGAGGAGGTTTTCAATACAGCACCAGAAAAGCTTCAGAAGAGGTCAGTACTGGGAGCAGTGTATCTGAGAACCAGAGATTGAAATGGCTGTTTCATGAGGGCGATTGTGAACATTAAATGAGAGAACATGGATAAGGTTTTTAGTGCAATTCTGGCACACAAGGAACCACAAATTATAGTTATTAGAGTTCCAAAGGGGCCTCAGTGATTAAGAGCAGTAGGTCTGGGGACAGGATGGAGGTGTTGCTCCGTGTTCTGTGGCAGGGATTGACTAGACCTGGGCAGCCCAATGGAGATATAATGCAAGTCACAAATTAAAGCCACAAATGTAATTTTAAATTTTCTGGTAGCCTTACTTTAAAAAGTTTTTAAAAAGTGAAATCAAGTTTATACTTTATTTAAACCTATAAATCCAACATATTGTCATCTCAGTATGTAACATCAACAATTATTAATGACGCCTTTGACATTTTTTGATTTTGCCAAATCTTCACAATTCCATGTCTGTGCTACATTTGCAGCACATCTCACTTTGGACTAGCCACGTTTCAAATGCTCAATAGTTCCTGTGGCTCATCTGTATTGAACAGGGCAGCTGTAAAGGGCCACCTTGGCAAGGAAGAGGGACAAGACAGACTAGGCACATCCACCCTGCAGTTGAGCTGGAGAGCTTCATTCTGCTGTGTCTGCCTGTTTGGTCTAGGAGACATTAAATCTGTGCTTGTCAAAGAGTGGCTAAGAGATCACCTGCTTCAGAATCTTCGGGGCTGCCTCTTGTTTTTTTTTTTTGTTTTTTTTTTTTGACATGGAGTCTTGCTCTGTCGCCCAGGCTGGAGTGCAGTGGCGCCATCTCCGCTCACTGCAAGCTCCACCTCCCTGGTTCACGCCATTCTCCTGCCTCAGCCTCCAGAGTAGCTGGGACTACAGGTGCCCGCCACCACGCCTGGCTAATTTTTTGTATTTTTAGTAGAGACGGGGTTTCACCGTGTTAGCCAGGATAGTCTCCATCTCCTGACCTCGTTATCCACCCGCCTTGGCCTCCCAAAGTGCTGGGATTACAGGCATGAGCTTCCCCGCCCGGCCCTGGTCTGCTTCTTAAATGAAAAATCAGATTCCTTGTCCCTTTCTTACTGAAATCTCTGGAGGCCAGAATCTGCATTTGAAATAGGCTTTTTAACTGATTTTAAAGTCCAACATCCCATCCCCTTTCAAGTGTAGACAATGCATTACTTGGCACACAAGAAGGCATGCCCAATAGATGCTTCTCCTTTTGGATTAAAAGTCTGGAACCAAGGATTGGGGGTTAATAATTATGGAGGTGGTCATAACTACATTGCCAGGTCTTACCCTTCCTATTTAGATTCCCTTCACCTTGAGTTTAAACCTGGCCCTGTTCAATAATTTTCTCTAACATTCAGCATTCTCCTCTGGCCTATGTGATTTGGTGCAGGCACACAAAGTAAATTCTCCATAATATCTGAGAAGGTGACTCTTACATCCAGTGGAAAACTCAGCCTGTGGTCCATCCATGAGCATGAATGTCCCAATCTCATTTCCCCAGCATGTTCCCTCACCCTGCCCTAACTCCCCAACCCAGAGGAGCCAGAGGGAGAAATTTCTACTTATCTCGTTGTTATGGCCTGAATATGTCCCCCAGGATTCTTGTGTTAGAAATGTAATATCCAATGCAATAGTGTTGGGAGGTGGAGCTTTTGGGAGATGTTTACATCATAAGGGCTCTGCCTTTGGGAATGAATTAATGCTGTTTATATATAAAGGGGCCTGTGTGAAAGAGCTTATCCCTTGTATTCTTCCACTCTTCTGCCATGTGAGGTCACAGTGTTTCTCCCTTCAGAGGATGAAGCGAGAAAGTCCTTGCCAAACACCAGATGCCAGCCCTTTGATCTTGGACTTCCCAGCCTCCAGAACTGTGAGAAGTAAATTTCTGTTCTATATAATTTACCCAGTCTGTAGCAATCTGTTATAGCAGCCTGAAGCCGACTAAGGCACTAGCACCCTGTCTGATTTCTCTCTCCCTTTTCTAGAATCTGCTGCCGTGAAAGCTCTGTGTGGGGAGACAGAAGGATGAGAGCTAGGACATGCCCTGGAGAAGTTTTCCCCATGGTCTTGGGGATTAACATTAGGCTCCTTACTACTTATGCAAATTTCTGCAGCTGGCTTAAATTTCTCCTCAGAAAATGGGTTTTTCTTTTCTACTGTTTAATCAGGCTGCAAATTTCTGAACTTTTATGCTATTTCCCTTTTAAAATGGAATGCTTTTAATAGCACCTAAGTCACCTTTTGAATGCTTTGCTACTTAGCAATTTCTTCTGCCAGGCCAGACGCAGTGGCTTACGCTTATAATCCCAGCACTTTGGGAGGCCAAGGATCACCTGGGGTCAGGGGTTCGAGGCCAGCCTGGCCAACATGGTGAAACCCCATCTCTACTAAAAATACAAAAATTAGCTCAGTGTGGTGGCAGGCTCCTGTAATCCCAGCTACTTGGGATGCTGAGGCAAGAGAATTGCTTGAACCTGGGAGGTGGAGGTTGCAGTGAGCTGAGATTGCACCATTGCACTGCAGCCCGGGTGACAGAGCAAGACTCTGTCTTAAAAAAAAAAAAAGAAAAGAAAGAAATTTCTTCTGCCAGATACCCTAAATCATCTCTCTCAAGTTCAAAGTTCCACAAATCTCTGAGGCAGGGGCAAAATGCCACCAGTCTCTTTGCTAAAACACAAGAGTCACCTTTGCTCCAGTCCCCAGCAAGTTCCTCATCTCCATCTGAGACTACCTCAACCTGGACCTTATTGTTCTTATCACTATCAGCATTTTTGTCAAAGCCATTCAGCAAGTCCCTAGGAGGTTCCAAACTTTCTCACATTTTCCTGTCTTCTTCTAAGCCCTCCAAACTGTTCGACCTCTGCCTGTTACCCAGTTCCAAAGTCGCTTCCACATTTTCAGGTATCTTTTCAGCCGTGCCCCACTCTACTGATACCAATTTATTGTATAGTTTGTTTTCACACTGCTGATAAAGACATACCCAAGACTGGGCAATTTACAAAAGAAAGAGGTAAAATTGGACTTACAGTTCCACGTGGCTGCAGAGGCCTCACAATCATCATGGAGGGCTAAAGACACTTCTTACATGGCAGCGGCAAGAGAGAATGACAAGAGAAGCAAAGGCAGAAACCCCTGATAAACCCATCAGAGTCAGATATCATGAGACTTATTCACTACCATGAGAATAACAAGGGAAAGACAGGCCCCCATGATTCAATTACCTCCCCCTGGGTCCCTCCCACAACACATGGGAATTCTGGGAGATACGATTCAAGTTGAGATTTGGATGGGGACACAGCCAAACCATATCAAACATACATCTTTAAGCTTCTCAAAACCGAACTTTTCTTTCCTTGACAACGTGACAGTTGAGCCAGGTGGATTGGATCATCTCTTTATTTGAATATTCGTTTACCCATCTGTTGTATTGCAAGTTTCCTGGAAAACAGACTCCACAACCCTGAGCTTTTTATGCAAAATATTTATCGAGTAAAGATCTTGAAAGATGAGAATGGGGCAAAGGGAGAAGCAAAGGCAGAACTTGGCAAATGGAGCAGTTGAATTGCAATACAGTTTCAACAGAGGCTGACAGGGAGCTCTGGACTTGAGACAGCCGTGAGAATTGTCTCAATTGAGACAAGGGAATCAAGTCTTTGTGTCCCCAGAAAGACTAGTCATGGGTGCAGCCTGTGCCCAGGGAGGGGGCAAAATTTTAGATGAGTCAGTTTCCCTTGGCTGAGGATATTTCAGGACAGGGAGTCATCTGAGAGCCATCACTACCCTTCAACAACCCGGGCAGCTGGATGAATGGGTGCCCCAACTGTAAGGGGGATCTTGACAGCAGCCCAGCATCTACTACTGTCCTTCCCTCAAGTTGTTCAGGTTCATGCACTTCATCTAGTGCATTCACCTCCGTCTAGGAACAGATACTCCAGAACTGTGGCTGGCGCTCTTCTTGAGGAAACCTACAAGATGAAGAAAGCTAGTAGAAGGATCTACTCCCTCACCCCTAGCCAATGCAGCAGTCTTGAGGCTACAATATGTACTCACCATCTCTCTCCCCTACCACCTGTTCTAGATGACTCTCATTCTTGATTAGTACCTCTGCTTGTATTGTGGCTTTCTGGTGGGTGACTGAGACCTTCATCTCTCTGAGCCCCTAGTACCATGACATTCTCAGGCCACAGTTGATACACTTACCTATTTCTTGTCAAATTTGGACTGGAGCATACTGAGAGATGTGTCACTGGATCACTTGGGGGACCAAATTTCTTTTTTGCCCTCATTATGTAATGCCTGTTCTACCTCCCTCAGTGACCAACGTCAATTACATCTGCAAGTATGGTGATTCCTTCCTTGATTGCTGGAATCTAGAAACAAAGAGTCTAAAGTTACCAGGCTGCAGAAATGGCTTCAAGTCTAATGCAATGTTCCTTGTGATTGTCCTCTGGGAATTAAGACTTCTAGTTATGTAGAACCTAGAATTTCAGGAATGGGAAGCACAGCTTCTTCAAGTGCACATTTGGGAATAATGATAAGCAGGATCATGCCTACTCCAGTCTCTTGGTTCGTGGACTCTATATTCTACTTATCAGGGTCAGAGCATCATATATGATCGAGCATGTACACTGTACCTGGAGGATGACGTCCCATCTCACAGGACATGATTTTCAAATGGGGCTTCAGGTGGTCATTTGGTACTCTATCAGGCTAGTAGCTTCTAGTGGTGTGATATAGTTCTGTGACCCTCTGATACACTTCCTTTGCCACATCTCCTTGGTCTGAAGAAATATTATGTGGAATTCCACATCATGGATCAAATACTTTGCAAGCGTTTGGTAGTGGGGCTGGCTGAGCCCCTGCAAGCAAAAAAGGCAAACCTGTACCCGGAATATCTGTTGCTTCCAGTCAAGATGAATTTCTACTTTTGAGTGGTAAAATTGGTGCAGTGTAGTCAACTTTTCACCAAGTAGCCAGTTGATCAACTTGAGAAATGGTGCCATATGTGATGGCTCAGCACAGGTATCTATTGCTGGTAGACTGAAGATACAGATGTAGCTAATCAGCCTTAGTGAATGGGAACCTAGCTGTGGGACCCACACATAGCCTCCTTCTTTGCTATTCTCCATACACTGTTCATGAGCCCATCGTGATAGATATGAGGTGGTCAATGACAGAGACTGGATGGTATCAACTAATTTTGTCTGCTTAGTTGCTTACTGGCTCTCTAGTGGTAGTTGCTTTCTGGTGAACCTTAAAACGTGATACAAAAATCTTCATTAATTGTGTCCACTCCACAGACTTAGGCACATACATCTTCTACAGACTGCTTTATTCCCCATCTTCCTATCTTTCTCCTTCCAGGGTCATGACAAAAAACAGAGGCACTCACCACAGACCATAAGTCCATACATATTCTTAAGTTAGATTACTTTTCTTTCTACACAACGTAAGTGATCAAGTGCACTATCCAAGCTTTGCCCTTTGAGAGGATTTAACCTCACCCCTGACTCTCAGAACCACCAGTTGAGTAAGGCTGTATTTCAGGACAGTTTTTCAGCTTGCACCTACACATTCAGTAGCCCATTTGTGAAGCAAAATTGGCCTAATTCCTCCTCTGTCAGTAGGTTACAAGAGCTGAGGAAGAGATTCAGGATGACAGTGGTGAATGACATGAGGGTCTGGGACACATGTTCATGCCCTTTTCTTGTGTCCTCCATCTCTGTGATCATCTTCAATACAACACATCTAACTTACAATGCATTGTTGGTAAGCCTACCTGACCTTACGGCCTTGTAGAGCTAGCAGAACTTATGGCCTCACAGATCTAGCAGAACGGATAGGCACCATTCTAGCTGAATGGTCACTTGAAACCCTAAGGCCCAGCCCTTTAAGAAATCATAGCAACAGGAGCTATTTTTCAACTAGCACATAGTTCTCTACTGCAGATAGTATGGCCTTGCTCCAGAAACTTAGGGGTGTAGGTTGGAATTTTACTATCAGGGCTTGCCAAAAACTCTATAGCACATTGTCTTTCCCATGACAGGTACTACTGAAATCCTAAGGTCTTTTATGTCATATACCTTATGTGGAAGGTCTGTTTGCACTGCAGCCTAGTCTGTTATAGAGTCCTGATCTGCTCTTGACCCCACTTGAAGAATGGTATGATGCTTTACAGAATTATATTAATGAGCCAAAGACAGCATCTTTATGTAAGCATCCCTTATTGCAGGACTTGCCTAGAGAAGACAGTCATCCCTGAGCTTAATGGTATTGCTGTCCATCTTGCCAATAAAATGATTGATTACCTTAGTAAATGGAGTGACTCCAGGCCTTCATTGTCTTGTAGAGTTTTGGCCTTATGAAGTGTATCTACAATACTATGCCCACTTCCCTGGGCATTGTATTCTTTCTCTACCATTTGACTCAGCATTTCTCCTCCGGTTAGTGTGCCTAAGCTTCCAAGGTCTGACCTAGCAGCATGTCAGGAACCTTGCCACAGTGTTAAATCTTGGGTCAGGGGGCAGGGCTTTCACAAAGACTAACTCTTCCTTATTCTCCTTGATCTAGCACCCCCAGGATCCAGGCCCATAGATACTCTCCTGGCCTCTCTTAGTACAGGTTGATTATGTCTTATAGCTCTTCTAAGGTTGTTCTAGTCACCTATTGTTGCATAACAAACCATTCCAAATTCAGTGGAGTATAACAATGGTCTTTCATTATTACTATCTTTCCACAGCTCTAGGGGTTGACTGGGCTTGGCTAAGCAGTCCTTGTTCTGGGTCTCATGCGGTTAGGAGTCAGACACTGGCTGGGGCTGGGTTCATCAGATCACTGCACTATTCTTTTATTTATCAAATATTTATTGACTCTCTATTTTGTGTGAAGCGCCGCTAAGCGGTGAAGATACAATAGTTATTACAGCATAATTCTAGTCTCCTTGGGACAGGATGCCATCTTTAAGAATCTCAGTAGGTGGTAAGTGCTAAAAAATAGTATGAAAGAGCATTATGGACTCATGGAGTCAAACATGGAAGGCTTCCTGGAGTTGGTGACTTATGAGGGGACTCAAGTAAGTGTTGACGAGACGGGGAAAAAAGGATCTTGCTAAGTAGTCTGGGGGTGGGTGTGGGGGGGAATGCTAATGTGAGAAGATCTTAAAGATGGTGACTTTTTCCAGGCCCTTCAAGTTGTTTGCTGTGGTTGGGACACAGGGAGTTCATGAAAGACAGAGGTACTTGGAGCAATACCCAGGGACAGGAACACAAGGGGTTTTTAAATGCCCTCCTAAGGAATGTTGACTTTATTCTGCAGATGATGGGAGCCATGAAAGGATTGTGAGAAGGAAAATGACATAATAAGCTTTCTATTTTTAAAACGTCAGTGCCATGTGGAAGGAACAAAGGAAGGAGTGAAGGCTGGAGAGGAAGGAGGCCAGGTAGCAAGAAGGTCATTGCAAAAGTCTAGGTAAAAGACATAAGGCAGCTTTGGTGGAAATGAAGAGGCAAGTACAGATTTAGGAGCTGAGGGATTACACGTGTGGGGTGACCTCCTGATTTTTGAATTGTGTATTGTTAGATGGTGGTGGCTTTAATTAAGATAGCAGTCAGAGGAAAATAAAATTTTAGAGTACTTTGTTTTTGACATTTGCATTTGAGGTATTTGTAGGACACCATGGTAGATATGTCTAATAAATAGTGAGATGTATGATGCCTGGGTATATTCATTTAGGAGCTAACATTTTGCTGATTGTTGAAGCTAAGGACTTGAATGGTGTAACTTAGGCCAGGTCTTAATTCTGGAGCAAGGATCTGCAGTAACATAGAATCTGTGTGTCAATGTTCTCCAGCCAAAGACCACCAAAGGCTTGGGTTTATTACTCATTGCAGTAAGGAAAAACATGTATCCTGGAGAACTGTGGGGTGTCTCCATAAGATGGTATTAGAAAGGACTTATGATAAGACTTTGGCTGTAGTTGGGTGATTTAAGGTGGGTTTAAGAAAGCAGGGGTTTGTTCTAGATTGGGTGCTGTCAGAAAACAAGGGCAACCCAAATGTCTATCAGTTAATGAACGGATAAACAAAATATGGTATATCCATTGAAATAATATTGAAATACATGTTGAATACCATTTTCCCGTAAAAAGGAATGCTATACTGATAAATGCTATAACATGGATGAACCTAAAACACTATACCAACTGACAGAAGCCAGCCCTCCCTCTGTCCCCCACACAGAAATAACATGTATTATTAGATTCCCTTTATGGGGAATGTTCAGAATGGGAAAATATACAGAGAGACAAAGTTGATTAGTGGTTGCTTAGGGTTGGGGGAATGAGCCGATTGGGGGTTATTGATAAGGGGTGCAGGGTTTCTTTTGCAGGAGATGAAAATGTTCGAAAATTCATTCTTATGATGGTTGAACAATTCTAAATATACTGGAAAAATCATCGAATTGAGCACTTTAAATAGGTAAATTGTATGCTGTATGAATTATTAACATATCTTAATAAAGCTGTTACCAAAAATAAGTGAAAAGAAAGCAGAGACAATTCTATGGCTGAGTATCTAAATAAATCTTCTCTATAGAAATGGAAGATGAGAGAGTGAGGATCCAGCTGTAATTGATAAAGAAGTAATTGAAAACATCTTTCATATTTGCTGGGGTAGGGGGTAGGTGCAGCATTTTGTTAGTTACATGGTCACCTTGTTTTTGTCTGTGATTATTATGGTCTCAAAGTGCTCTTGTCTGATGTTGGTGTTTCTGGTGTTCTGTGAGATGGTTCATATACGACAGGAGGATAAGACATCCTCCATCTTCCATGTGAGCACCAGCAACCTTCTCAGCACAGAGGCCCTGCTCCGAGAGTCAGACAAGTTCCTGAGTCTCACGGGCTGCTTTTTTTCTTTCCCACACAGATCCTCTGGGGTGCTGTGGGGTCATTACAGTGGGCTGGGGATCCCCCGAAGTCGTGTGTAACATTTCAGATGTAAGAGTGTGAATTTTACAGTGACAAAATCCATAGATTCATCAGATTTCTTGAATTGATTGGTCGCCAGAAAAGATTAAAAACCATTGGTTAGAATTAAAATGTGAAAAAGAATAAATATGAAACTCTGAATGTCCAGGCATTTTAGAAGCAGTTGTAGAAAGAGGATCTATTAGCAGTGGAGCTGAGAAACTGTGGTGAGGGAAAGAGGAAAGAAACCAAGAAAGACTAGTACCTGAAGCCCCGGGAGGAGGGTTTCAAGATGGAGCCGATGCCTGCCTTGTCAAGAGCCACAGAAAGGTCAAGAAAGGTCAAAACAAACTTATTTGAATTAATTAAACAGTTATATCTTGAGGATGAGCCATCAGAGTGGAACACTAACCCAAGAGATATTTTTGTTAGAGAATAGGGTTCCATTTTCCCTGAATGGTTTAGTCATTGACTTGCACGAAATACCTTATGCTTTTCAGAAGCTTTGGGTCTGTGCATTTAAGGAGTCACACACCCTTACCCAGAGCCAGAGTCAGAATGCAAAGGTCACTGGTCTCTGTGAGTTACTACAAAATCAAGGAAGAGTGTGGAAGCCTCCCCCAAGTCTATCCCCAAACCAGCTCCCTGACTCACCCCATCCATTCTTCAACGAGCTTTGAAGGGTGACAGCAAATGGAAAAATTTTAAATTCCCAACTGAGTGTTTTCTGAAGCATTCACCAAGGAAACAGGAAGTTGCACACCTCATAGGTCTGTGTCTTTGGCTTATGAATGTGTTCCTTCCTTACAGCCAGAAAAAATTTGCTCACAGCTCTGTTTGATCTGAAAAAAGTCAGAAATGAGTTTTCCCAAAAATTAGTGGTCTCTGCCAGTTCCTCCTAATTGACCACATGGTTCTCTGCTTTTACCTGAGTTCATTTCACATGGGGAGTAGTGTGTGTATGTGGGAGGATTAACACTTGGAATATTTTGGCACCAACTCTGACTACAACTAACGACCCAGATGCAGGTGGGAATCTATTACTTGCTACTCAACTTTTCTTAAATCCAGAATATTAGAAAGATTCTGCAGAAATAGTCATATCAATAAATAATATTTACTGAACACTTACTATTTTCCAAGCAAGTTTTTACAGATATCAGCTTATTTAATCTTTAAAACTCTATTCTGTACATGCTATTGTTATTGCCATTTGGAAGATAAGAAATTGAGGGATGGAAAATTTAACTATATATACTATTATCTATTTCATAAGTATTATAAAACAACCCAATTGTCACATAAAAATGATATTTATGAGTTTTTGAATAAACATGGAAATTGACCTTTCCAGTCTTTAAACTTGAAACTTACACTTGTTTCATCTGAGTTTCTTCCTCAGGAAACCCACTCTCAGGCAAGGGACTGAAACTCGCCAGATTGCTACTCCCAGACAACGAGAAGACAGACCCCTCATTTGTCGTGATTACTTCCTTATCTCTCCTTCAATCCTTCCTGCATGTAGCTACCTTCCTTCCCCCACCGTACAAACCCCCCAAGTCGGGGGGATGAATTTGAGACTCCTCTCCCATTCTCCTTGTTGACATCACCTGAACAAAGCCTTTCTTTCCTGGCGATACTCATTGTCTCAGCGATTGGCTTTCTGTGCAGTGAGCAATGGGACCTAGACTGAATGCCTGGTGCTCTGGTAACAATTACATAAGTCTATTCTATAAGAAATGCCATTACTATATATTTCCATATCATCTATTTAATAAATACCATTATTATTCCATCTCCTGGTTTCTTATTCCCTCCAGCCACTTGTCTATGGCTGGTTGGGAAAGGATGATCTATGACCTAAAGAGAGTTCTTTGATATTCAAAGACCTGAAAGAGGATTGTTCTCATGGTGGGAAGGTGTATGAGGGGCAGTGTTTGTGGGGTGGATGGGCTGGGAGAGAAGCTGAGTTTGCTAAGAATTTCTGATCTGACTTATGGATGGACAGACACTCAAAAGCTGACAGGTGTGGTGAGGGCCGGAATTGCCCACCGGAGCCCAGAGCCACAGGTTATCCAGAACAGGTCTCTGTGGGTGGTGAAGAAGGCAAGGAGTGCCTCAGGCTCTTTGGATTCTGCCCCCTTTTTGACCTCCCCAGGACACTTGCTCATCTGTTCCCATTTTAAGTCCCCACCCCCAACCTTTGCAATTTTTCCTATAGTTTGTCCTCTTCTGGGGAAATATTCTTAGTTGTTATCAAACTGGAAAGGATCTGATAAAGCAGTTTACATTAGCAGACCAAATTTGGCTCCCTCAGTTACTTACTCTCTTAGTATTAAAACATTGCTAATTCAAAGGCATTCCTATTCCTCACAGCAGGACCACAGACATCTGCAATGGGTTGGGCCAGTGGTATTGGGGAGTGCAGGGTGGGAGGAGAGAGCCCCAATTAGGGGATCTTTACAGCAGCCTCCTTTGTGCCTCACATCCTGGAATCTTCTTGTTCTGGATATCACATCCTGGAGCCAGTGGGAAGAGGATGGTTACCATTCCAGTAAATTTTCCGTTTTATTTTTCAATCTGTTGTGGGTTTCAATGATGTAAACTCTAACTGAGCGTCTAAAAGCTGTTGTTTATAAATCTGCCAGACATAATGATAACACTGACAGCTGAATATCTACATATATATATATGTACACACAGATATATATATATACACATATACATACACATATATGTGCGTGTAAGTATTATATAACATGCAAAAACACCAGTGGACCTCACTTTGGGTCTGAAAGTGCTGTGGGGTTAACTGTCAGCTGAAGGGACTGGGATATCAGGATGTGGGCATAGATACCCTAAACAGATGCCTTTTGGAGATAGAGGGCATGGATGAAAAATATATATAGATATATAGATATACAGGCTAATAGGGAAATACAGAGAAAAAGTAAATATCTCCCATATTACTAGATGGGGAAGTGAAGATGTTTCCCAGGCAGAAGTAAGGCACTCCATAGCAGCTGACCTGCCAAGGGAGAAGTTTCAATGGCAAATAGAAGTAGGGAAGAAAGACAGGACTTCCATACAGCTGAGCTCTGGGTTTGAACAGGAGACCTCACTTCATGTACCATTAGCTACTAATTCGAGAAAATGTGATTGCTAAATGTGTCATGGGGCTTCCATATCTCCCTAGTGCATTTACTTTAAAGACATATTAGTCTGAAATGTGATGTTTAATTGAAATGTACTTAAATGTTAGTTAGAACCTGAGGCCTGAAGCTTGTATGGTCAGGATCCTCAGGTGGACTACAGAGCTGTTCTGCATATCTCAGGAATAGTCCCCTCCTGGGGCTGATGTGCAAAGGAAGAGGTGTTAGTTGCACACCTGAACTGCACAAACAGCAAACAATGACAGCTCCCTCAAGACAGGCCACAAACGGAGGGGCAAACAACCCCCATGACCACAAACTAATTTTACTTTCCTAGAGTAAATTTGGCATTTTGCATTTCACGGGGGAAGGAAATGGTGGCTTTCCAAGGTAGGAGCAGGCCAGCCTCGTCAGGAGGTGTGTGTGGCATTGCTGGGTGATGCTGAACCCAGCTTTGCTTACGTAAGGCTAAGTGGATGTGTGGTCTCTGGGATGGGCTGTGAGGAGCCAAGTGAGAAAACTGGAGTGAACAAGACATGCAGGACCAAAGAAATGCACTCTCTAAGGAAGGGCAGAGAAGACCCAGAAAATCAGCTGGCGAGGCCTGCGAGTGGTGCTTGAGAGCACAGGCTGGAGAGAGCAGAAGGAACAAGCAGGCTTCCTGGAAGAGGGAGAGGACAAGGGTGGCGGGCTGGGTGGTGGGAAGACAGGGAGTTCCTGCCAGAAACCACAGTAATTATTCATGGAGCCCAGGAAGTCAAGGGTCTGCTCCCCTGACAGCCCACGACAATGACAAAACCAGATAGGCTGGAGGACGCAGGCACAGTATGAGAGCTGTCATGGTCTCAGGGTCTGGGACAGGGCTTTCGGGCTCCAAAGAGTAGTGAAGGCTGGGTGCTGTGGCTCACACCTGTAATCCCAGCACTTTGTGAGGGCAAGGTGAGAGAATCCCTTGAGGCCAGGAGTTCAAGACAACCTGAGCAACAAAGTGAAACTCCATCTCTACAAAACTTTTTTTTTTTTTTTTTTAAGACAGAGTCTCACTCTGTCACCCAGGCTGGATGGGACTACAGGCGCCCGCCACCACGCTTGGCTAATTTTTTGTATTTTTAGTAGAGACGGGGTTTCACCATGTTAGCCAGGATGGTCTCGATCTCCTGACCTTGTGATCCACCTGCCTCGGCCTCCCAAAGTGCTGGGATTACAGGTGTGAGCCACTGCGCCTGGCCCTCTACAAAACTTTTTTTAAAAAAGTAGCTGGACATGGTGGTGCACACCTGTGGTCCCAGCTACTTGGGAGGCTGAGGCAGGAGGATTGCCTGAGGCAAGAGGATCGCCTGAGCCTGGGAGGTCCAGGCTGTAGTGAGCTGTGATCACGCCACTGCACTCCAGCCTGGGCAACAGAGCAAGACCCTGTCTCTTTAAAAAAAAAAAAAAAAGTGAAAGAAGCAAGGGAAAACCAGAAAGAAGGGATGCTTGGGACTTAAAATCTTTCTTCGATCATAGAGAAAGTTCAAATTATCTAGGGTTTCCTGGGGGCTCCATTTAGCATGTACCTAACACTCTGTCCACTGTGGCACCCTTCAGATTTGTATTTGAACCAGCAAATGTTAGGCACCGAAGTGAACCAGGTGATGACAAAAGAAGAGTGAACATGTCAGGCCTCAGTGACTGGAACATCGACTTCTGTCATCAGCAGGATTGGGCTCTTGGCACTTTAGGTACTCAAGTTCATTCTTTTCTAAAATGAATCCAAAACAAGGGGGTGCAGGGGAGACACAAAGGCCTATGGAGGTAAGAAGGGATGAGATTCGTGAGCTGGTTACAGAGTTGGAGAAAATCCCTAAGAAGGAGAAAATTCACCGTGGCTGCAGTGGCGATGTTCTGTGTCTGGGAACACGGCAACCAGGAGAAGGCCTGTGTGCCTCTCTAACCCGCTCATCTGTGCAGACCCACCTGGCTTTTCTTTTTACAATGAGACCATCCTCTCCACCTCATCAATGAAGGAAGGGTTTCCCTTTCCTCTAAGCTAACCTCAGATCCTGGCATGTTTGTGGTGTTTTGGTCACAGCAGTTAAACACTGGTCATTGCCTGAGCCAAACAATCCTGATTCTATAGCAACAGCGACATCAATGACAACATCACAGCAGCAAGTACTTATTAATTGCCAGGCACTATTCTGGACACTTTGAGTGTAGTATTTACTTATAGAATCCTATAACAACCTTAGGTGAAATTCATATCCCCATTTTATAGTTGAAGAAACTTGACATACAGAGAGGTTAAGAAACTTGCCCAAGGTCACACAGCTTAGACTGTGTGTTGGAGTCAGAATTTGAGCCCAAGCAGTCTGGCTTCAGAGTGTGTGTCTTTTGCCAAATTGTAATTTGGGTATATTCAGGTGTTGTCAGGTCCTCTCAGAAGAGTGAATTTTGTTGCTGAGCAACAGTGCCCAGGGCACTTCCACCCATAGATCCAGCTTGAAATGTACGACACAGCCAAAAAGAGTGTGAGAAGAGGGTAAGAATTTGAGTTAGAAAATGTCAGTTTTAATTTTTACATCTCCAGAAAGCCGTGTGAAAATCAGGATATCGCTTTTAATTCTGTTAGTCTCAAATTTCTCAAATAAAGAGGATAATACTTCTCTTGCCTATATAATAAGATTTGGGGTCATATCAGATGACACCAGCTTAGGAAAAGGCTTGGTAAAGTGTGAGGGCGGTGGGGATGTAAGTGGTTGTTATGGCTCCATGGAAACCTCTTATCATGGCACAATGAACGTCTAGCCTAGAGTATGGCCATAGCATCATTGTCACTTATGAAGGATGGCATATTAATTTCTCTATGTTTCTGGGAAAGTAAAAACAGGCAGCATTCCAGCCCAATAGTAGAAGCCTGGAGAGATGAGTTGAGGTCAGAAGACACATATGGCCTGACCCGTTCTGATAACTTAATTAGGTTCTTTTTGGAAAAGACCATAAAAGGCTAATGGAGTCAGAGATAGTGACGGCATTCAAGGGCACTGGTGAGTGTTTGTCATTTTCGGGTTGATTCTACGACATTCCTTGGACTCTCCCAGGAAGAGTTCCAAAGGGCACGAATAACCTCCGGACTTGCGTGTCTCCCTCCAAAGGCAGGGAGGGTCCCAGACAGAAACTTTCTTCTTCAGAAAATGAAAATGAGCACCTCTGAACTCGAGGCCACAAGTTGAAATTCAACTCACATCAGTGTGACTAAATCTTATTACTGACGACTGTTCAAAGGCTGAAGAGGAAGACATTGGTCAAGTTGGGAAGCTCCCAGGAGACGCATCAGTCTCAAATCACAGCCACAGTAGACACCATCTGACTGGCTAGATGACTCTTCAGTAGACACATGGAAGACATAAGTCATAGAAAATAAATCTGAGTGAAAAATAGGAGAAAACGTGTCAAAAGAAGACATGTCCTGAGAAACCTTAGTTTAAAGATATATCATTTAAAATTTCCAAGCATTGTTGAAAAAAACACATATATTGGTTGGAAATATGGTTCCATATTATATCAATCCAGGAGACCAGATCTCTCTGAGGTCTATTAATAGAATTTTTCAAAAGTTTTCTCTCCTTACTTCTGATTTTTAGGCTTAAGCAATCAGTTTCTAATACAATTGTGTTAAATTCTTCATTGGCTTGTCAATTATCTCCTAATTTTGTTAATTCAGGATTTCTATATTTGAGGTTTTGGAGTTAGGCCCGTACAAATTTATGATTACTCTAACTTCCTGATGATTGTTCTATTATGATCATGTTGTAGCCTCTGTTTATACTTATTAACATGCTTTGCCTTAATGTAAATTTTGTTTGATGTTAATACTGTTGTATTATTTTGTTTTGGATTATTATTAAAACATATTTATTCCTCCTTTCAATTTTAGCCTTTCTGTGTGTTTTTACCGTAGAGGCATATCTTGTAAGTTGAATCTTAGATCTTATTTTATTTTACCTAGCATGATAATTTCTGCCTTTCAATTTTCATGTATGATCTGTATATATTTATTATGATTAATAATATATTTGGATTTATTTCAACCATACAGTTTTATGTTTCAAAGAACATTTTCTTTCTTTGCCCTTTTTTCTCCTTTTCTGTGCTCTGTGGAACTAAAAAACATTTGTTTTTTTAAAATTTTTTTCTCACTTTTAATGTTGGATTGGAATATATATGGATTGCATTTTTATTATTTTAGTGGTTACTTTAAAATTCTAACATATACATTTAACTGTATATTATTCTAGTGAAGTTGAAAATTATTCAGTATACTTTCCTAGTTATCACTATAAGAATCAAGAATCCTCACACATGTTGGCCGGTTGTGGTGGCTCATGCCTGTAATCCCAGCACTTTGGGAGGCTGAGGCGGGTGGATCACTTGAGGCCAGGAGTTCGAGACCAGCCTGGCCAACAAGGTGAAACCCCGTCTCTACTAAAAGTACAAAAATTAGCCAGGCATGGTGTTGCACACCTGTAGTCCCAGCTACTCAGGAGGCTGAGGGACAAGAATTGCTTCAACCTGGGAGGCACAGGTTGCAGTGAGCCAAGATTGCTCCACTGCACTCCAGCCTGGGCAACAGAGTAAGACTCTGTCTCACACACACACACACACACACACACACACACAAATTTTTACATAACTTGACATTCTATTTCCCACTCTTGTTATTGTTGTCTGGAGTTTAATTTTGTCCTTTAAAAATTAGTATTTTTTCAATTAAAATATCCTAATCATAATAAGTTAATATGAACAGCAAAATAAAATAGCAAAAACAAATAATAAACAAAAAGTTTAAAAATAAAAACATTTAAGAAGACATGTTATCAATATTATTGGTTAAATTTTATTCCAACACCTCTATTTTTGCTTCTTTTCTTTCAGAAACTCATTTCTTGGTAGCTTTTTTGGGAACTGTGAGGATGGTAAACTTTCAAAAACTTTACAAGTTTGAAAATGTTGTTATTTTTCCCTACTCTTTAGTAACAGTTTATTTGGCTGGATATAAACTCCGAGCTTGATGGTTGTTTTCCCTTTACTCTGAAGATATCTCTGAGAAGGCTGCTATTTTCCATTCTTGCCTAGGTAATTTCTTTCATCTGCCTCAAAGCTTTTAAGAGCTTCTCTTAATCTTGTTTTATTTTGTTTAATATGCTATACTGATATTGATATTTCTGGGTGTGAATTCATGTTTATTCATCCTTCTTAGTGCTTGGAATCCATTTTCAATCTATAGACTTTTTAATCCTCATTTCTGTAAAATTCCCTTCTATACTGCTGCTTTTTTCCCCTATTTCTTCCATTCATTTTTATGGAACTCCTTTCAGACATGTTCAGTATTTAAATTATCCTCCATGTCTCTGAGCTGAACTGTCTTTTGTAAGAAATCTTGTGTCTTTCTGTGATATATTTTAGTTTTAATTGTGCTATATGCAGAAGGTAGTGCTCTTGTTCCTTTATAGATATGGGGTCAGCATCCTAAGACAGTGGTATTTTTCACACAAAAAAAGTGCACATCTCTGTTGAATAAAGTCCTAAGCTGAAAAGTAAAATCCCTTATTTAAACAAATATTGCATTGCATTAGGGCTCAAGTATCTCAGCATGCCATGCAGGAACCCTTCCAATCTGTCCTAAGGGCTCTGGCCACACCTTCTGCAACGTGTACACACTTTCCCTTTCTTGGTGTATGGTCACAAAATTCCTTCATGAATCCAAATCTTTGCATATGCTATTTACTTATTCTGGGATGCCTGAACATCTTTAGAGACCTTCTTTAAAAACAACAATTCCGCAAGATCTTTCCCAATCTCACCAAAGTCAGCATTTCCCTCCTTGCTACATTAAATTCTATAGAATCCCAATATATTGTAATTATCTGCCTGTAAGTCTATTTGCCTAGGGAGACTTTAGGAGCTGGGTGAGAGCAAGAAGTAACTGTCTGTGTATATCAAGCATCCAGATCATTGCCTGTCAAAAGTTGTCATGAACTATTTTTTTTTTTTGGATGAGCTTTCAATGACAAAGAGAGTTCATTATGGCTTAAAACTAATCTCTCTCTCCTTTGAAATTTTTATTTTGGACTGCCCTCCGCTGACAGTTGGAGCTGCTTTTGATTTGGTATTGTTCATTTTTTTTTCTCCCAGAAGGTTGCAGTCATATTCTGTGAAAAGGAACAAGCAAACTCAACCCTGTCCTCTTATGATATGGACTCTGACATTCTTTTGTAAATGACTGGGTTCAGCAATTCTCAACCATATTCAGCAATGGCACTTCCCCTGCCGCATTTTGAAGCCAACATGGGAAAGACAATCTGTCTGTTTTTGATTGGTTAACACTTAACTCATCAAAATGTGTTTTGTAACACATAGTCCATGTCCAAGAGGTCTTGCAAGATTTCCAAAGCTTTTCCCACACTCCTTTTCTTCTCACCCTCAAAAAAAGAAACAGTGTTTTGCCAAAAACAAATTATCCCAATTCTCAAAAAGGACTGTTCTTGCACAGGAATCTTCAAACCCACAAGAGTTCATGTTAGGCCTAATCTTGGCCAATACTCCCTGCCATGAAGTCTGTGCATATCTAATTTGCCTCCTGCTCAAGTGGCCAGACAGCACCAGCACATCTGCCTAACCCTAAGGCTGCCTGCTCTGAGTCAGAATGGATCGGACATAGCTAGGGTGCTGGATGGGGAAGTGCATCTGGAAAATGTTTTAGGATTGACATACTGTAAATTCTCTCCAGTGGCTGCTGAGATCGGAAGCTCCATTGGCCACAGGGCAGAAAAAGATACTTTTTTTTTTTTAAGCAAAATGAGGACTTGATTAAGTTTCACCTCAAATTGTATCTGGTCACCAGGTTGAACTGGAGTGAAAGCAAAGAGAGGTGACCAAATTCCAGAATAAAGAACTTCCTGTTTATTAACAACTGGAGCAATTTCATATAAAACCCGAGTGACTTAGGAGACATGTCAAATATATCCTGTTAAAATCAGGATGCTGAACGCTTCTTTTTATCTGAGGAAGGTCAAACTGAGGGACATCCACAATGTCTTTGCCATTCTTTCCACCCATGCTAGCCTCACTGATACAGTCAAAGATAGATCTTTTCTGGAACATTACAAGAGTCTCCGGAAATCTGATCTCTGCCTACTCAGAATCATCGTACCTACTATTGTCAGAGAACTGTATCCTAAGTGCAGATCTGGTCATACCAGTCTGTTACTAAAAACTCTTAATAGTTCCCTGCTTACAAGAACTGACTTTGACCCGTAGCACCCATCATGACCAGCCACGTCTCCCACAGCACCCCTACAGGCACCCCAGCTGCACTCCTGCCAATCCAAGCAAAGGGAAATGGTTTATACACAAGATTATTAACAAGTCTACCAGTAGCATTAAATAAATAAAGGAAGGAATATAAATATAATTTTAAAACTGGACACTAAGAAATACATAGGTATGTTTATGGAACCAGAAATCAAAAGTATAGTCATTAAAAGGAAGCCCTCAGTAGAGAGGTAGAGGGATGAAGATTATTGAGAGAATTCATAATTGAAGGACATAGCAGGGAACTCACCCAGAAAGCATCACAAAGAGATGAAGAAAGATGTTAAGACAGATGGGAGACAGCAGATGCAACATTTTTCTGGTGGGAATTCTCAAAGGAACTCATATAGAAAGGTATTTTTGAAGGGAGAGATACCTTTGAAGGGATTATGATTGATAATTTCCCAGAATTGAAGGAATATACAAATACCGAGATTAAAATAACCACAGCTTCCAGAATGAAAACCAAGACAAGTTAAAAAGAAAAATTCACACATTTATATATTGTAATAGAACTGGAGATTACCAAAGAGAAAAATCCTAATGACAATCAAAGAGAGACAGATTATCTAGACAGGAAGGAAAATTAGATAAACAGAAAATTTCTCATCAGAAAAATCAAACAAATTAATGGGAGGAAGACTTTCTAATGCAAAGGGAAAATAGCTATCATTTTAGAATTCTACATACTGTGATATTATGATTTAATGTGAGAGAAAATAAAGGCATTTCTGGAAAAAGACTATGAGAATTTAGTACTCATAGACTAATTACTGAATGTACCTGGGTAAGAAGTAAATTTGGGCCTGGCGTGGTGGCTCACACCTGTGATCCCAGCACTTTGGGAGGCCAAGGCAGGTGGACCAATGGATCACGAGGTCAAGAGATTGAGACCATCCTGGCCAACATGGTGAAACCCCACCTCTACTAAAAATACAAAAATTAGCTTGGTGTGGTGGTGCATACCTGTAGTCCCAGTTACTTGGGAAGCTGAGGCAGGAGAATTGCTTGAACCTGAGAGGCGGAGGTTGCAGTGAGCTGAGATTGAGCCACTGCGCTCCAGCCTGGCGACAGAGTGAGACTCCATCTCAAAAAAAAAGAAGAAAAAAAAAAAGAAAGAAGTAAATTTAATTCAAAGGAAGCAGTGAGATGTGGAGATGAACTGGAATGATATTTTAAAGGTATAATCTACATTTCCTAACTCCCAAGCCAGGGCTCCGATAAAAAGTAACGTCCTTTTAGAAAGAGGGCATATATACCCTTGGGGGAGTTTATTAGAAGTTCTCACTTCAGTTTTCTACTATCATTCCTTCAGTGTTTTCTCAATGCATATGCTAAGTGAATACTTCTTTAGCTTGGTTTACTTATTTTAAGCAGATAAATACCTTCGGTAAGATTTTGGAATCTAGTGAAAACACGTATTTTGTGTCAAGATAGAATTTGGAGGGACTCTGATTAAATTTTGGAAATCTCTTAACAGAATTCATTTATGGCCAGAACTCTGGTTCTTCATTTTCATTTCTGTGTTCTAAATTTATAATTAACTTATAAGTTTTGCAAGGATTGCTTTGGGGATCATTTTGTCATTAACATGATGTAGAGAGAGCATGTCGCAAAATAAGGTTATTTCAAATCCCCACATACTGGCATTATGACCATGGGCAAGTTACTTAACTTCTATCAACTTCAGCACTCCTCATGTGTAAAATGGACATACTAATCATTTCCCCTCTGAGTTAATATAATGATTAAAGGACTATTTTTGGTCCACTTCTTCCCATCTACTAGAAAAGATAGCATGGCCCCCAGGAGGATTGTTTCCTGGGACACAGAGTGTAGAAATATGAGCTTGACACTTGTGTGAGTGTACAGCATCTCCCCACCCACCCCAGCCACCTCTTTCATAACCTGAGATTTCAGGTCATGAGAATTGTGTCCCAACCCACCTAAGTTGACTGTGTGGAATCTAGAACATAAGGTATGGTCATCGAGTGTACCAGAAGGAAGACCACCTCTGGAGCGAGTGTCGTCAGTTTCTGGTCATAGGCATCATTCATCCTAACCTACTGAGTTTCCCACCCACTGGAGTGTGTCATAGGAGAGTGGCTTTCCTTCTGTTTCTGGTCAGTTTCTCCCATCGTATCTGTGACTCATATAAATAGCACACGTGTTCCTTTCATGGGAACTAAAGTTCATTCACAACCCTCAGTTCATACTTTGCCTAACCTGATAAAGATTTTAGCTTTCTGAGCAAAAGCAAGTTTTGTAATTAACTTATTTTAGGAGAAAGAAATTCCCCTGCATCATCATTTTGCAGTATAATGCCCTGTACCATGGTGAAACTGTTTGGAATTCACTAAATTTTGTGTCCTCTCAGAGTATAAATAGGACTCAGGTGGTCCATTTGCCGCTCTTCTCCAGCTTTGCGGTGAGGAAAGAACATGTGTTTCCATGATATAAAAGGACGTTAAAAAAAAAAAGTAAGGCAAGGAATGAAGGAAAGGAACCTAGCATGTTCTTTGCATGTGGTGGGTTCTGTGCAGGTCCTATCCCATTACACTCCCATGTTATGGATGATAAATCAGCTGCTCAAAAAGGTCAGGCAGCTTTCTTAATGCTATAAATCCCATGGTCTTTAAACAACATAGTTCAATTCCTCCTTCTCTAAGAGCATCCAAAGTCCTCCAAGAAAGAGGTAAAGTGCAGTGTTACCTGGGAAACCATGACTGATAGACACTTGGGGAGGGTGAGCTCCTCACCGCAGCCCAGAGACCACCACTTCTACTCTTGCGATGCAGACCATGGTCTCATCTCTCCACAAATGCATTTTCATGATGATTGAAGACGGGCATCATGCATTGGCTGATGTGCCAATTGACCCCAGCAATACAAGGATCTGTTCTATGAAGAATTGAGTGGAAAGTGTGGGATGTTTGGGGAAACGTCCAGCAGCTTGGGTTTTGGTAAAATGTTGTGGAAGAGATCAGCAGCATTGTTGTGGCAAAGTCCAGTCTGAGCATGGAGAAGGGAGAAGTGCATCAGAGCTTTATAGTTTAGATTTGGAAGGGACCTTGGGTGTTTATATAGCCCTACATTTCATAAAATATTTCTTAGAACTCTAGTCCTACAAGATGCCTGATGATATTAAACAATTCTCTAATTAATTATATTTGGGAAATACAGAAAACTACATTTCCATAGGGAAATACATATGACCAAATTGGAGCTCAAAGCATTTGGGAAATTCTATGGTAAAGACAGCTGTTACTTATCTTTTTCCAAATAGAATTTGACTATTAAACACTATTTGTCATCTCCCAGAACTAATGTTCTGGAGAATTCATTTTGGGGATCAATGATCTAATTTTATCACAAAGAGTAAACTGAGGCTCCTAAGGGCTCAGGACTTATTCAAGAAAAGAAACAGAGCTAAAGACCTGACCCTTTGATTTCAATGTACTTTATAAAGTGGCTCTTACCACTTTATAAATTAAAAAAAATATATATATATATAATTATTAGGTATATTACAGAATTTAAAACTATGTATCTATTACTATTAATGCACCAAAGCATTAAACCCATACACTTGAGAAGAGTATTCAAAAGCAAAAAGATTTTTATAAACTAACTTTCAGTTATGCAGCAATCATGCCTGTGTGGTTCTGGATACTGGAGACTGAAGTTTAGAAGAGTTTACTTTTTCTCTCAACCTTGAATTTTAGCACATATAGTTCTATATTTGTGGACTTGTCATACAATAATTAACAATAAGTAAGCCTGTTATCCCAGGCACTATGTGAAGGGCTTCATATGCATTTTTCCAGTTAATCCGAACAGTTTTCTAAGATAGTTGATGGTATCACCCCATTTAAAGTTGGAGAAACTGAGACTTAGAGAGGCGAGAAATTGGCCAAAGTTGCAGAGATCATAGGTGATGGAGTTGTTTGTGACCCAGGTCTCGCTGACTCCAAAGATAATAATCTTAACCACTATGTTTTCATAATATTCAGGAAGCCGGGTGGATTTAGAAGATTCCACACTGACATCTTGAAGCGTTCCAACTCACCAACCCCCAGTAGGAAAAGCAAGTGATTCCATAGCTCAGGAATTCATACTCAGGCAATGACAACATGTTGAGCAAGGCTCCAGCCTGATATTTATTCTACAGCCTCCTATAAATCATGAAGACTTAAGAAAAAGGCAGGGCTTTGTGCAGTCAGCTTTGAACAAGAACATAGAGGCCAGAGTTTCATCATGAGGTCTGTGACTTGCCACCTACTTTGCCATCACTTGAGAGGTTGAGTAAGACAGGCCATCAGAGAAGACGTTGAGGTGGAGAATGTGAGACCCACATGCACACAAGCCGGCATGCTCTTCCCTGCCTCCTCTTTCTTTTGTGACCTCTTATGGAATGCTGTGGGAAAGCACTCAAGTCCTGAGGTTCCATTGGCTACGGAAACGAAGAAATTTGAACTAACTCTTGCTAAGAAACTGTAATTAGGACATGGACCCTGACATAATTATCTTTGTGAATTTCATTGTGTTTTTTTTTTTATTTTTTCTAAGTGAAATTGCTTCAGAAAATTGGAGAGCCATCTTACATTCCATGTGGAGAATTTATTAGCTATGAAAATAATTCATGAAGTTATGGGTAGAAACATGTTGTTAACCTTGAAGGAAAATTAAAATCAGAGTAATAAAATCTTCCATTTGCAGAGTGTTCCATCATTCTAAGCCATGGTCGCATCTACTTCCTCTTTGTGGTCCTCACAAGAGCCTTTGAAAGCTGGCAGGGCACCAGTTTGAGCCCCTTTTATATTTATTCACTTATTCATTCATCAACTATTTATTGCATGCCTATTTTTGTGCCAGGCACTGGTGATGCACTGGTGAACCAGTAGGCAGGTGTTTTTTTTTTGTTGTTTTTTGTTTTTTCCCTCCCTGAAGCTTGTATTTTGCCAGGGGTAGCAGACAATAAAACAAAGAGTACATAATAAACAATTAAATGAGGAAAAAGTAACTGAAGAGTCCTAAGTGCTATTCAGATAATTCAAATAGGTGGCTGTGGGATGGACAGCTAGTTTAGATGACATGACCATCAAAGGCAGCTCTGAGCAGAGGACATTTTAACCTGAGACCTGAATGACATGAGCTATCTCTGCACAGACTGCAGAAAAATATTCTTCATAGATAAGAAAATTGAGACCCAAATAGATTCAGTGACTCAAAGACCATACAGATGGTTAGGCCATGATGGACTTGAACTTCAACCTTAAGTTTCTGAGTCCAAGACCAGTGGCATTTCTATTCACTATTTACTTCACTAGTAGATATGGAAGAATATATAAATAATGCTCAGCATTGCTTTCGCACACTGGGAGAGCTAGGTTAGGTTTTATCAATGGTAATTTTGATAATTTAGTACTCACATGTTGATTTTTCAATTATTTCTAAATGAATAAGAAAATTGTAGTTTGAACTTTTAAAACATATGTAGAGCTAATCTTGTAACAGTGAGAGAAATCTAATACAGCTGACTCCTTCTTGCATGTGACCTCACAAGCTAACTGCCATTGCCCGTTTTTGCACGTAGGCCAAGCTAACTATGGGAGGAATTTAGTTTCCAGTTTAACTTTATTTTTAATTTTTATTTATTTATTTATTTATTTATTTATTTTTTTGAGACAGGGTCTCACTCTGTCTCCCAGGCCGGAGTGTAGTGGCACAAACATGACTCCCAGATTCAAATGATCCTCCCACCCCAGCCTCCCAAGTAGCTGGGATTACAGGCACACACCACCATGCCTGGCTAATTGTTTAACTTTTTCTGTAGAGACAGGGTCTCTCTTTGTTGCCTAGGCTAGTCTCAAAATTCTGGGCTCAAGCCATCCTCCTGCCTCGGCCTCCCAAATTGCTGGGATTACAAGCCTGAACAAACACATCCAGCCTATAGTTTAATTTTAAAGCAAAGATGATAACAGTGCCTGCCCCAAAGTAACCCTCGAGGAGATAAGGAGGACATATGCACAAGTAACAATGTTATGTTGAAGATTTATAGGAGCATTGTGACCTGACCAAGGACAAAGAAGTTTTGCATCCTCCTTGGACTTCTGCTGATGCTCAGATGTCTGTGGTCACCAGCCACCTCCTTCTTCCCTCTTCCCCAGTATAAAAAGAAGCTTGAGATTCATGCATTCTAAGATAGTTATTTAGGACGCTGTTCTGCTGGCTCTCTCTGAAGTAAAGTCGTCTTCCAACACCTTGTCTTTCAATGTGTTGGCTGTCGTGTGGTGAGCAGTGTGAGCTTTGGACTCCACTACAATCTCAACTCCTGCATGGATGATTTCTAGTCAAAATGGATGACATTCTGGTCAAAAAGAATTAATACCAAGATAATTGCAACAATTTTGTTCTCTCTCTTGCTTTCTGTGCCTTCCTTTCTCTCCCTCCCTCATGTATCTGAGTATCTTTCCTTTCTAAGCAGTACAGTAACACTGCGAAACAGGCTTAATTGCTGTTAGGAATTTCTTAGGAAGTGCTAGGATTTATCATTTCTAGCTGCCTCTCCACTAGTAGCATGCTGGATAATTCAAAGTATTTGGAATTCTCTTTTTTGCAAATATTTTAACAGGATTACAAAGGAAGCCCTTTTGGTGGAATAATGTCATTATTATAGCTTGAAAAAATACCTTAGAGTTCATGGCCATGGTTGATTAAGGAGTCTTGTAAGAGAAGTGTTGACAAAAATACTTTCCAGAATGAATTAAATAAAACCCATGAAGGAATGTGTACATATATCTATATCTATATCTATATCTATATCTATATCTATATCTATATCTATACATACACACACACACACACACATGCACACACACACACACATATTTTAGAACTAGCATTCTTAGAGGCTTTTTTTTTTATTCTTTGTAGGAAAAGAGCCAATTAATGTGTATACATTTCACAAAATCATTTGGTAAGGAACTTGAAACTAGGACAGATGCAAAAATGTCATGCCAAAAAAAAAAAGGAAAAACACCCCAACTAAATGATGATCAGAATGGACCAAAAATTGTTTAATTCATTATTATTGATGTATAATTCATATACCATACCAAATAACCATTTTAACATGTATACTTCAGTAGCTTTTAGTACATTCACCAGGTTGAACAACCATCATTATTATTTAATTCTAGAACATCGTTACCATCCACTCCCAAAATCTCTTACCCGTGAACAATCTCCCCATTTTCTTTTTTCTTCAGCCCCTGGCAACTACTCATCTATTTTCTTTCTAAGTGGATTGGCCTATTCTGGACATTTCCTATACATAGAATCAGACAATATGTGGTCTTTTATGTCTGGCATCTTTCACTTAGAATAATGTTTTCAATATTCATCCTGTTGTAGCATGTAACAACTTCATCCCTTTTATGGATAAGTAACATTCCATTATAATGATATACCGCGTTTGCTTATCTACTCATCAGCTTATGAGTCCTTTTTATTTTTTAACTATGAAATATAAAGCTGCTATGAACATTTGTGTACAATTTTTTCGTGTGGGTATGTTGTTTCATCTCTCTTGGGTATATACTTAGGAGTGGAATTGTTGGATCATTCGGTAACTCTCTGTTTAGCTTTTTATAAAGCTGACAAACGGTTTTGCATAGCAGCTGCACCATTTTACATTCTCACTAATGAGGATTCTGAAATTTCTCCACATCCTCCCCAACACTTAATATTTTCTGTTTTGGTTTGTTTTTAATTATAGCCATCCTTATGGATATGAATTGCTATCTCATTGTGGTTTTGATTGGCATTTCCCCGGGGACTAATGATGCTGCACCTCTTTACACATGCTTATTGGTCATTTATATATTTTCTTTGGGGAAATGTCTATATGAATCTTTCACCTATTTTTAAATTGATTTTTATGCCTTTTTAATTTTTCAATTGTAACAGTTCTTTGTATATTCTAGGTACTAGACACATCAGTTGTATGTTTTGCAAATATTTCCCTAGTTCCCCGGGTGTTTAGTTTGTTATAGATCATATACAACTATGAATCTGGACAGTCAGTGTAGTATATCCACAGTATTTCTGTATGCACATCACTCCTTCACCGCTCTTTATCTGAAAATAGCACCCTCCTCTTCTCCTCTGTCTATGAGTTTCTAGCTAATCTTCTTTGATTTCCTTCCCAGTGTCCTGTCTCCACATGTCCAAGATGGGCATGCAACTCACATTAGACCAAATTGAAACCGGTCACCAGAATTCCTCACACTGTTTGGGAGTGAAAGACCTTTTGTTCTCTCTTCTGGCAAACCTGTAAGTTTGTAACAACTGAACTGCTTACATATGTTCTTCTCATGGAGAAAAGTCCTTTAGCAGTAGGAGAGAATGAAATTCACAAGCAGAGAAGCAAAGCAGAAGGGGACAGAGAGTGGCTGTGTCAAGATCCTTGTTCCATTTTTCCCCAGCTATACCCCTGCCCTTCTTTGTGATGTGAGCAAATGAAGTCCTTTTTAGGCTTGATTGAGTTGGAGTTAGATTTCTGTCACTTGAAATTGAAAGCTTCCTGACTAATGCAGTTAGCATATGGCTTCTCAAAGACTTTACTGGCAAGTCTTGTGATACTTTTGTATTACAAGAGTTTGTAATACTTAGTCCGTGGGAAGAAATGCAAGAGTAACATAACAACTGAATCAAATTTGGAAAAATATAGACTAATACTCCTTGGGAAACAGGATAAAAATGGTTGAGTTTATGGGAAAGAGACTTGCAGAGAAAAAGAGTCATTCCAAAGTTAGTTGCAATGAATGGAAGATGACAATGAATCACACCATATGAATCGATGATGTGAAATGGCAAGTAGAATGGCCTTTGAGATATGGAATAATAACAGTCAAAGGTATTGTGAGTCAGAAGCCATTCATGTGAAACACACTTTGCAGAGCCCACCATGGAGACTAATTGTCAGACCAGCTTGCACGCAACACATGGGGATGTAGCAGGCTTTTCTCCATTTCCCTTCTGTGTCATCTCTCTGTACCTTTCTCTGTTCTTCCATCCTCTCCTAACAGTCTATTTTTGGCCCTTGCAGACTGTGTAAATATTAGGAATCTCTGTAAGGAAGTTTTGGAATTGTAAACAACCAAAACAAAATCTTTTATAAATTACACAGACAGCAAGTTCTGCCTTGGTACTAGTTTCCATGCTATGACCTGAGGAGCATTCCTGACCTATAGCCTTGCTGTCCCTTACAATTCCTTATGTTTCCTCCTTGAGGGTATAATTCAGGTGTAGGGAGGATCTTGATCAATGGGCTATTACATAGGTAAGTAAATCAAAAGAACGGGGAAGAGAAAAATGTAAAACCACTAGCAGTTAAGCTGTTATATTTTAACTTGCAAATGACTTAAGGAAAGATTCTAGGGCCTGAATAAACTAAAATAAATCTTATGCAAGTGTTAAGTATTCTTGTAGTGCTCTTTGCATAATCTGTGCTTCTAGGGTGACCTTCATTTCAATCTGGGAGGAATTCTTCATCATCTCTCCTTGATGAAAAGTGTTGAATATCAACGTCTCTGGAATGGAATTACTTCTTGAGAAAAGGCCAGATGGACCAGATCTATATTACTTTCATGGTGTATTAGTTATCTACTGCCTGTAAGAAATTATCCCAGAACTAAGTGGCTTAGCACATCAGGCATTTATTATCTCAGTTTCTGTGAATCATGAACTTGGGTGTGATTGAGCTGGGTGGTTCTGGCTCTGGGTTTCTCATGCACTTGCAATCAAGGTGTCTTCCAGGGCTGCAGTCATCTGGAGATGTGAATGCAGCTGGAGGGTCTGCTTCCAGGCTCAGTCACGTGGCAGTCATCAGGAGGCCTCAGTTTCTCCTAGGAGACTCTCCATAGGTCAGCAGGAGCATCCTTCCAATACGGCAGCTGCTTCCCCCAGAGTGAATGACCCAAGAGAGAGAGTAGAATAAAAGCCAAAATACCTTTTATGATCTGTCATCCGGAGTCGCACTGCTTTATTTCTGTCACACTTCAGTGTCAGCACGAGCCCACATTTAAGGCGGGAGAAAAATCAAAGAATTTGTGGAAGTGTGTTAAAACAGCACAGATAGTAAATATTAAAGATAGTTAAAATGCAAATTCAAAGAAAAGAAAAACTATCAATTTAATAGAATAACATAATTTTTATTAAAAATTAAAAATTTAAATTTTAAATTTAAAATATTACTTTAATAGAATTAAAGCATAAAAAGAAAACAGCTTTAATTAGCAGTAGAATAAGCCATCCAATGGAAATGAGAGAAAAATCACATCTTTGATTATTTAAAGACCATAAGAGATGGTAGAGTTTTCATGAGCTATCTTCACAGCTTCCTCTCCCCATCACTTAAAAAATTATTTTACTGAAGTAATATATGCACATGCTTAAAATCATTAAGTGGCGCCAAACTCCGATAATAGTGTCTTTTGCTCCAAGCCTCCCCAGCCAATAGTCCTACACTCTAGAGGCAAACACTTTAATTCCTGTGTTGATTCTTTATATGTTAACTCTCTATCTCCACATACGTCTCTGCTATTATTTCTAGGTTTACCAATTTGAGATATTTTCTATTTACTAACCGTTACTGTTACCGGAAAGGGGTCCTGACCCAGACTTCAAGCGAGGGCTCTTGGACCTCACACAAGAAAGAATTTGGGACAAGTGCATAGAGTAACGTGAAAGCAAGTTTATTACGAAAGGAATGGAATAAAGAATGACTGCTCCATAGGCTGAGCAGGGAGATGGGTTGCTCAACTGAGTATACTTATAGTTATTTTTTGATTATATGCTAAACAAGGGGTGGATTATTCATGAGTTCTCTAGGAAAGGAGCAAGGATTTCCCAGAACTGAGGGTTCTTCCCTGTTGCAGGAAGTCAGGGACCCTGAACAGAGGGACCGGCTGGAGCCGTGGCAGAGGAACATAAATTGTGAAGATTTCATGGACATTTATCACTTCCCAAATAATACTTTTATAATTTCTTATGCCTGTCTTTACTTTAATCTCTTAATCCTGTTATCTTCGTAAGCTAAGGATGTACGTCACCTCAGGACCACTGTGACAATTGTGTTAACTGTACAAATTGATTGTAAAACACGTGTGTTTGGACAATAAGAAATCAGTGCACCTTGAAAAAGAGCAGAATAACAGTGATTTTTAGGGAACAAGGGAAGACAACCGTAAGGTCTGACTGCCTGTGGGGTTGGGCAAAAAGAGCCATATTTTTCTTCTTGCAGAGAGCCTATAAATGGACGTGCAAGTAGGAGAGATATCACTAAATTCCTTTCCTAGCAAGAAATATTAATATTAATACCCTGGGAAAAGAATGCATTCCTAGGTGGAGGTCTATAAACGGCCACTCTGGGAATGTCTGTCTTACGTGTTTGAGATAGGGACTGAGATACACCCTGGTCTGCAGTGCCGTCAGGCTTACTAGGGTGGGGAAAATCTCCACCCTGGTAAATTTGTGATCAGACCAGTTCTCTGCTCTTGAACCCTGTTTTCTGTTATTTAAGATGTTTATCAAGACAATATGTACACTGCTGAACATAGACACTTATCATAGTTCTGCTTTTGTCCTTTGCCTTGTGATCTTTGTTAGACCTTTACTAGTAGTTCTGCCTTTTGCCCTTCGAAGCATGTGATCTTCGTACCTACTCTCTGTTCTTACACCCCCTCCCCTTTTGAAACCCTTAATAAAAACTTGCTGGTCTGAGACTCAGGCGGGCAGCACGGTCCTACTGATATGTGATGTCACCCCTGGCAGCCCAGCTGCAAAATTCCTCTCTTTGTACTGTCTCTGTTTATTTCTCAGCTGGCCGACACTTATGGAAAATAGAAAGAACCTACATTGAAATATTGGGGGTGGATTCCACCAATACTCCCCTTTCTAGACTATATAGGAGAACTTCCAGATGTTGCCATGGCATTTGCAAACTGTCATGGTGGGAGTGTTTTTTAGTGTGCTAATGCATTATAATTAATGTATAAGGAACAGTGAGGACAACCAGAGGTCACTGTCATTGCCATTTTGGTTTTGGTGGGTTTTGGCTAGCTTCTTTACTGGGTCCCATTTTATCAGCAAGGACTTTTTGACCTGTATCTTGAGGCCGACCTCCAATCTCATCCTGTGACTGAGAACACCTAACCTCTTGGGAATGCAGCCCAGTAGGTCTCAGCCTTCTTTCATCCGGACCCTATTCAAGATGGAGTCACTCTGGTTCAAACACCTCTGACATTACCATAGATGAAGATTTAGCTCTCTTACATGTCACCTACATGATTTCTCACTACATGATTTCTCATTTTTCCCATGTATTATAGAGACCTTCTTACCAACATAATCATGCCTGGTAGTTGATTCTTTATGTGAAAATAGTGAGTTAAAGCAAGTATCATATGAATTACATATAAAATTCCTGATTATTTTATCATAACAGAAAGCATATAATCCTTTGAAGTAGGGCCAAGGACTTCTTCTTTAGTATGGGCCTTGCAAAAACCAAATGCAGAGCACATCTTTAGGATGGAGTTGCAGTTTTGGTCTCTTTAAAGCAGTGCAAGAAATTAAAAACCTTTGCAAAGCAAACTGAGAACAGAATACTTCTAGAGTTTGGATTATTCTCTTTAGTCATTACTAGTTATCGCTCTAATTTTTAACAATATTTTTAGTGATTTGTCATTATGAAAGCTTTCAACTTAGCTTCCTTAAAAAGAACTCTTTGTCTCACCCTAATTTCGTTAGTTTTTGTAATATGAAACAAAATCAAGTAATTACCATAACAAATACAACATAGGTTTGAAAACAAAACCCACAGAATTTTGGGAAGCATGGAGCTCACAAGTGAGCACCAAGTATATGGTGTTAGATTGGGCTCCCACCCCTGCTCCTGCTGTCACAGTGGGCATTTATTAAGTACTGACTGTATGCCAGGATCTGCCCTCAGTGCTCAGACATATTAACATATTTTAAGCTCTTAATAGTCCTATCTCACAAGTCCTGTTATTATTCCTCTCAGAAAAATAATGTGAAATTTGAAATAACCAAAAGGGATTCCTGGGTCCTCTTTCAGTACACCACTGGGATTTGACTTTCTGTTGACTGGACTATTTTACAACCATGTAGAGGAAGAGGCTAATTTATATATTTTTGTGTGGTAGAGATGCAAATAGTTTAAGTGTGAAAGAAGAAGTAACCCCAAAAGGTATGATTTATGACTGTGTTGGATATTATCAGTCTTGCTTTTGACCTAGAAATCTTATTCTAATTATTAAATTATATATATCTTCTCAAATGCTCTTTGTACTGGGTTAACATCTTACTGCTTTACTCAATGAGCTGAATACAATTTTTGATACATATTCATTTAATGTTTCTTAGAGAATCATGATTTTGTCTTTTTGGAAAATAAACTTTTAACATCTCATTTTACAGATGAAGATAATAAAGTGAAGAGAGGTTGATGCTTGCCCATGGAAGTGCAGTAGTAGAAAATGGTATGCTAGAGGCTTGCATTCAGTGTACATGGGAATCCGTCAATGTAATTTGCAAATGAAATGAAGAGTGCCGTTAATCTGGCAAGTCAATTATATTGAAGAGAACGTCTATTGTAGTTAAATTGTTGTTTTTAGTTAAATTCAGTGTGAATTTCATTAAAATCAGTAATATAAATGGTATTTATATTAATATGGCTATGAAAATATTACTTGTTCCAGATTGAATTATGTTTTCTTTAATATACAGATTTGTTACTCTTCTTGATATTTCTTTTTTTCCACATCATTGTTTTCTTTTATTATATTATTTTATGACTAAATATTTTCAGCAACTATTCAGTGCCAGATAGGTGTTAGGGATATCTCAGTAAGCAAAATAAGCAAAACCCCTGACTTCGTGGAACTTATACACTAGTGGGAGGAATGCAGACAATAGTCAAAACAACTAAGTGAATTGTGCAGTTTGTTCCAAAGTAAAAGTGCTTTTGGTGAGAGCAGTGTAAGAGGCATGCCAAGATGGAGGGAATGCAATTTTGAATAGCATGGTCACTGAATGCCTCACTGGGAATGCACATTCTGAATATAGACCTGAAAGAAGAAAGAAAGCCATGTAGACTAAAATGGGTAGAATAGTCCAGGAGGAGCCAATGTGAGGGCTTTGCCTGGTCTGGTGTGGCCAAGGAATGCCAAGAAGGCCAATGTGGCTGGAGCAGGAGATTCAGTAAAGAAGAGAGGACGAGGAGGTGAGTTCAGAGAAGTAATTAGGGGCCACTATATGTTAGGCCTTTGTGGTAAATGAGATTATTTATTCCATCCTGCACTCACCCCTTTGTCACGTGAGTTTGCAGAGCTTCCAGCTGGAAATAGAGGGCATGTCTCTGATCCATAAGTCTGAACTCAGCTATGTGACTTACTTTGGACAATGAGATGACAATGCACCAGTTCAAGCCTGGCCTTGAGACACATCCCATGTTTCTGCTTGCTGTCTTGTGCTTCTTGTGCTTCTTCTCACATCACTGTGAGAAGAACTTTCCCTGACTTCTGCTGACCCTTCAGACTTGTCATCAGAGAGCCATTTATAGTAGACCTAAGCCTAACCCACAGCAAAGAGCCAAGTCCAACCAGAAGTGCTGCTTAGAGTAGAGCCACCCGAGCCCAGACTAGATCAGCCAATCCACAATCAATCTGAAAACTCATAAGCAAGTCAATAATACTCATTATTATAAAGTACCATAAAGTGGTTTGTTATATAGCATTGTTGGATATTTTGATGATAGACCCAAAAGATTTGTTATTGGTCTGAGTGAGGATGTGAGAGAAGAGGAGGAGTTATGGGTGATGCTAAAACTTGGCCTGAAAAACTAGAATGATGAAGTTACCATTAACTGTGATGAAAAGACTGAAAATCAAGGAGATCCAGGTGTCAGGAAGATCAGATGATTGACTTTGGACATATTAAGAAAAGTTTTGGGAAGTTGTGCTTTTCTTAATAGTGGAATAAATAATTCAAATCAGCCCTGTTACTTAAGACATATTTAAAGCTTGACAAAATATTAATAAAACATGCTTGAAGGTGCCGGAGGGCAAATAAGATCATGAAGAAATACTGGGCCATGATATGAAGGAGAAAAAGGCTCAACACTTGGAAGATCCTTTTTCCTGGGGAATATGTGCCTATCTCACAATGGGCAGCTGGGAAGTTGAGAAATTCTGAGAGCCTCTCAGAGTTAGTGGTACAGGGATTGAAATCCAGGAACCAAAGAGAAACAGTGAGTAAAACTTCTCACTTGGGTTGAGACCATAGAAACTTGCACAGCAGGACTAACAGTAAACTGTGGGTACTCTGGTCTTTGCATAGATTGAAGCACAACTTAATCTTATCTTAATCTCTGAAATTTGAATGAGGTGATTCTGATAGAAAAAAATGTAAATCCTTTCTAATGGAAGATCATATCATTCTAGATCTGAATTTATGTTTTGAAATAATTTGCAAATACAACATGTGATATATGGCAAAAAATAACTAGGAACAACAATAAATAAGGTAGCATGAACAAAGCTCAGCAGAAACAATATATAGTAGAAATAGACACATAGAGGATGACAATGTCAAAGTTACCAAAAACCAAATTTTTGAAACTATGCTTCTGATGAAATTATTGGTTATTTATTTATTTATTTATTTTTGCAGAGAACTGGAAAATACAAAAATTACTGAATGGGAAATCTGTGACTGGAAAATACACGAACTGAAATTTGGAATTCAATGGACAGCATTTTAGACACAGCTGGATAGAGATTTGTGAATTGGAAGATAGTTAAGACAAAAACTTTCAGAAAGAAGTACTGAAAGAAAAAAAGGATGGAAGGTACAAGATAAAAGTTATGAAAATTTCAGTGAGAAAGTCTTATATATAAGCAGTTGAAGTATAGAAGGAGAAGAGGGAAAATCGTTTGCAGAAGAAATATTTAGATAAAGGTGAGGAATAGTCCCAAACCAATGAAAGGCTGGTAATACACTCACATCAATTATATAGCCTTTTCAGCCTGGCTTCTTTCATTCAGCATAATGCTTTTGAGATTCATCTATATTCTTTAATGTATCAGTAGCTTATTTCTTTTTAATGCCAAATAGTATTCCATTGTATGAGTGTACCACAGAATGTTAATGCATGCACCAGTTGATGGGTGTCTTAGTCCATTAGGGCTGCTATAACAAACTACAATGATCTGGGTAACTTATAAAGAGCAGAAATTTATTTCTCACAGTTCTGGAAGCTGAGATGTCCAAGAGGGCCTGCTTTTAGATTCAAGATCGCGGTCTTCTCACTGTGTCTTCACATGGCAGAAGGGGCAAGAAAGCTCTCTGGAGTCCCTTTTATCAGGGAATAACCCCACTCACGAGGGCTCTTCCCTCATGACCTAATCACCTTCCAAAGGCCCCACCTTCAATAGTATTACGTTGGAGATTGAGTTTCAATGTCTTAATTTTGGAGGGATACAAACATTCAGTCTGCAGCAACGGACTTTTGTGTTAGTTTCAGCTTTTGGTGACTTAAAGTGGTTATAAACAATTATGTATAGACTTTTGTGTGAACATATGTTTTCATTTCTCTCAAGTAAATGCCTAGGTGTGAGACTGCTAGATCATATGTTACATGGATATTTACCTTTATAAGAAGCAACCAAACTGTTGTCAAAGGGGCTCTTGTAACATTGTGTATTTCCGTCAGTAATCCATGAAAATACACGTTGTTCTGCATCTTTGCCAACAGTTGATGCTACGATCTCAATGTTTGTGTCCCAGCAAATTAATACGTTGAAATCCTAACCTATAAGATATGGTATTAGAACTTGGGGCCTTTGGTCTTGATTAGGTCATGAAGGCAGAATCTTCACGAATGAAATTAGTGCCTTTATAAAAGAGGCCACAGGAAGCTCAGTCACTCTTTTTATCATGTGAAGACACAGCTAGAAGGTGCTGTATGTGAACCAGAAAGTGGGCCCTCACCAGACGCCAAAACTGCTGGTGTCTTGATCTTGGACTTCCCAGCCTCCAGAATGATGAGAAATAAGTTTATGTTGTTTATAAGGCACCCAATTTGTTATGGCAGCCTAAATGGACTAAGACAGTGTGTTTTCAGATTGACTAATTTCTATTTCAGCCATTCTAATAGGTTTATAGTGGTATCTCACTGTAGTTTTAATGATTAATGATGTTGAGCCTGTTTGCATGTGCTTATTTTATACCCATCTATCTTCTTTGCTGAAATATTTGCTCAAAAATTTTTTTAATTTTTTAAAATTAGGTTTTTAAAACGTTCTTGTTATTGAGCTGTGAGAGTTCTTTTTCAGATCTGTGTTTTGTAAATATTTTCTGTCTATGACTTGCTTGTAACAGTCAGCCATTGCTGCATAACAAAACCCTGCAAAAATCTTACTAGCATACCACAATAGCATGTGTCTTTTTTGTGTGTCTGTGATTGGGCTGAGGTTTGACTGATCTGGGCTGGGGTTGTTTACATGTCTCTAGTTCTAGGTGGGTTCTGTGTTTTCTCTACATGCATCTTGAATCAGCATGCTAACTTGTGTGTAAAACAGCAAGCAGAAACACATAAATCCTCTTGGGTGAAATGGGGAGTGATTGCTAACGGGTATGGTTTTTAATTTTAAGATTATGAATACTTTCTAAAAGTAGTTGTAGTGATAAATGCACAACTCTGAATAAATTAAAAATAATTCAATTGTACAATTTAAATTAGTCGATTGTATGTCATATAAATATATCTCTATAATGTTTTTTAGGGAGGAAAAAAAGCAAAGAAAAATTCGCATTGTAATGATGCCTTTGCCTCCCTGAAAGTATATTGGGTCATGATGAATATTTATTCAAGTTTTTTCTCTTTAAGTAACTGTAGATTCTGTCTTCTTTTTTCCCCAAGAAAATAACATTTTGAAAGCATTTAAAAGGAAAGAAAGACAGATAAACAGGTGTGAAGTTTCTTAAGGCCTAGATTCAGAACTGGTGCATTGTTCCTTCTACATACATTCTGTTGGCCAAAACCTGTCATATGGACAAGCCCAAAGTCAGTGGACCAGGTAGTATGACTAGCAAAAACCATGGCTACAGGAAGGGATAAAAAAATGAAAGTGATCATTCAATCTATTATGCATAGCATGTTCTTCAATAGTTGCTTCATTTAGTATCATTTGCCCATAACATTGATGAGAAAAAAAGTTGATTCCCAGCTGGGGCCACTGTCTGTGTTGAGGTTGCATGTTCTACTGATGTGTACTTGGGTTTCCTCCAGGTGCACTTGAGGTCCATGGGCATGGCTATGTGGTCCCAGTCTGAGTGAGGGTGGTTGGCTGTGAGAGGCCCTGTGATGGGATGGCGTCCTGCACAGGGCTGGGCCTCCCTTGTGCTCTGAATTGCCGCAGAGGCTGAGGCCATCGGTGACCCTGAACTCAAATAAGCAGGATGAAAAATGAATGAATGAGTACAAATTACTGTCAAATACAAATTCATAGTCTATGATAGTTATACAAATGCACAACAATAAACGATGCTGTAGAAAGCTCTCAGTGAGCCTGCCCTATTTGTGATTGTTTGAACTACATGTTTATAGGAGGTGCTCTTTACAATTTTCACTTCACAAATATTTATTCCTTGATTTAGGCCACCACTACTAACACTGTCACTCAGTGATTCACCAGAAATTGAGTAATTATTTTCTTTGTTTTTATTAATCTTTCTTAAATGTATATGCAGCTCACATTTATCCCAATGTTTGCTATTAGAAGTGTTTGGGGTCTTTGTTTAGAAGTTTGGTGATGTTTTTGTAACCAGAAATATGCCAGAGGAATTTGTATCAGTTAGCCTGTGGCAAAATTTGTTTTATTAGAGTCCTTTTGCTTAAAGTTACAGTTTCCAAGAACCTATCTGTGTCAAGTGAGAATTTACTGTATATGTTTAGATATTAACATTTTAAAGAAAAGCAAGGAAGTGAGTGTCAAAAATCAGGACAGTGGTACCTTAAGGGTGAACAACAGGCAGTGTTTGGGAGGGGAGGATACTGAGGGGTTGTGGGGAGCGCCTTCTCTTACAGGCTGTAGCACTTTGTTGTTTTAGTGTCACAATTCTCACATCATCTTACATTTTTTATTAGCTTGTCTATTTATTTCTTTTTCAATTTCTCTGTTTCCATGTTTTAAAACCTCATTTCTTTCCACACTATCTCCTACTTATTATTTATATTTTCTTATATACTGAGAAGTTCAACAGCCTTTTAAAACAGTTTCTGTGAAAACGAAAACCAAATGTTTCTTGGGACCCTCCTTTAAACTCTAACCTACTGCTGTCAAGCCATGGCATTTTTTTTATTCTTTCTGAAATAATTTTTAAGGCCTGCTTTTCATTGAGAGATTATCTATGATGCTGAACAGGATTTAATAAAGGATAAAGAAGTTACTATCAGCTATATTTTAGAATCTTAGGATTCAATTGAATAGATACCTCTTACACCTATGAAACAGTTAAGCAGTAACGCTTTGCAGAAAGAGAGACAGACGGGGCAAGAACACTACATCCCCTCCAGCTCCTCCTTCAGAGCTTCTCAATCTTGGCTGCACTTGGAGAACTTTAAAAACAATGTTGACTCAGAGCCCCACCTGCAGAGATGCTGATGGGATTGATTTTGGGTGGAGAGTGGGCATCAGTATTGGTTCAGTATCCCAGGCATTCGAATGTACCTCCAGAATGGAAAACACCACTCTGGTTGTGCAGTGTCCTTCAGTGGCTCCCAGAACTCAGCAACACCAACTTTTTTATTTTGCAAAATACAAAGATTAAAACACCAATGAAAACCCATCCTCTACTATCATCAATATACTATTAAAAATATATTTTACCACCCTAACATAAAAAGTATTTAATTAAGGAGTAAGGTAATGATCTTTACACAGAATAAATTGAGCTTTAAAAAAATCCCCTTTAACTGCCATTGTATTATTTTCTCTCTCATTGCGTTGCAAACAATTGCAAACTTTTTCATGAGTCATCACGAACCCCTAGAGGGTCATTTGAGAACTCTTGGAGCCAGGTATACTGATGGTTATTTTCCCAGATCAGAAGTAGGCAAGGGTTTGTTCCTTCCTCATCCAGCCCACTGTGTCTGTGAAAATGAGGCCATCTTTCTGTCTTTCCTTTCCTTTTCTAGTATTACAATCTTGCAAACACCTGGAAGTGGTAGAGAAACACATTGATTTTGAGAGCACAGTATCCTTTAGTGAAGTTTCAAAGATTAATTATGCCATCTATGATAACCCCTTTTGAAGAGATGGCACTTATACATTCCTGATTGACCCATGTTAGTGTGTTTGGTAAAAACATGTGTAAATACCAACATATGTGTGGCTAGGTTCAAAAAACAGCTGAGGGTGAGCTCTCTTACTGTTTCTGTGTTCTTAACTTTCTGAATATTCCTTCCTGTGATGAACCTTGATATGATGACATAATCAGTAGACAATTAATGGCCCTCTAAGATGAAATATCCAGATAGCTTCTTTGTTTCATCTTAGAGATCCTGAGTCAGTGGGCAGCGTATGCCATTAAGTTAAAAAAAATCAGTACTTAAAAGGCAAATTCCTCAGACAGAAAATAAAAGAGAAACAAATATAGTTTGTTTGATCATCAGCTTCCTGTCAAAGCTGGCGTTTCAAATTCCGAATATTGCATTGTTTCTTCCCCACTCTGTTTGTCAGCCAGTGCACTTTGGGGACTGTGTTCCTAGTTTTTCAGAAGCCTTGGCTGAGCCCTCTCACGCTGATCTTTGTTGGACTGAGAAGTAAAGAAAATAATTTTTCTTGTACAATGGCAATCATCAAGAATGTCTGAAAAGTGTAGCCTCTATGGATTTTTGTATTCAGACATGAAAATAACAAAGCATTTTATTTTCTACATATGCCAGGCACACTAAATCACCTCCTACTGTTTGCTAAATTTTCAGTAAGCACCAAAGGAAAAAAATATTTTCTTTCAGGCGAAGTACTTGAAATATAGAATTGTGATGAAAATTTCAGGCAAACCTGAAAAAGAAGGGAAAAATCATACTCTTCCAACTGTGCATGAAACACTTGGCTCCCTGGCTAAGTGCCTCGTTTTCTGTGATGGTAGGTTTGGGGACCCATGAACTTGGTCCCAGAGAGAGATTGTTGAAGGTTCAGTTGTTAAACTCTCCTTTGAGAGAAGAGTTAATACTTTTCCTAGGAAGAAAATATTGTTTTAAACTTTGGGACACAACCATCTGAGGAGAAATGACAACTTATGATCTTAAATATCAAGTCCAATCCTGTCAAGGCCCCCAGTCACAGCCCTGATGGGTTCCTGTAGAATGCTGAGCGGATGGAGTGCCAGACGGTCCTGGGATGAAGACAGTGATCCCAAGCTACCAATGAGAGTGCTCACAGCTTGTGACCTAGGGCAACCAGTTTTCTGTTTCCCCAACAGACAGCCTCTGGGCTATCCATTGAGACTTATCCTGCATCTCCGAATTTGGTCATGTAACTCCGTGTTTAGCTCTCTGATCTTCTGTTCTTAGACTCTGCCATTTTACATTTAGGCAGAATTCTAGGATGATTATGCAAATACCTTTCTGGGTGCTCCTTTCACTTATCTCACTTGTATTTAGTACAAATGATTATCCATATCAGAGGGGCTTTTCCAGAGTCTGAGATAGGACTCGTGTTTTAAATAGGGTTGGATAATTTTACAACAGTTGATAAGTAAGTGAAATGTAGCCAAAATCATAACTACACAATTGGTATGTTTATTGTTAGGATGTGAGGGGACAGATTTCTTTCTATTTCCCCACATTTGCCCCTTAGTGTGGACAAGGAAAAGGCTTGGCTTCCATGCTGATGCTTCAGAACCAGTTGTCATGATCAGAGTTACCCTGATCATTTACCACACTGTCTCAGGGAGTGGTTCCCCATAATACATACAGTACTCTGGAGTCTAGAAGGCATTGAATTTAAATTAATCAACAGGTAGTCTGGAAGAGAGGGAAAAGGAAATGGAACTTTAGGAGAGTAATCTGCAGGGCATGGTGGCTCACACTTGTAATCCCAACACTTTGGGAGATTGAGGTTGCAGTGAGCTGAGATCAAGCTACTGCACTGGGGGACTGGGTGACAGGGTAAGACTCCGTCTCAAAAAAAGGAAGAGTAATCTGTGTTGACATGGGTTTGGAGGGTTGGGAGCTAGGGATGGTGTTATTGGTGAAAGCATTTGGAGGGCTTGACAGATGGTGCCATCTTCCATGGATTTTAATTTTTAAAAGAGCACCCACAGGTATCTTTTTCCTTTTTTTCTGCTAGTAATTTTCTTTAGTGTCAGCATGTTGTCCCTGCAAGCCCATATCAGAGTGGGCATTAAATGCCTAAACATTAAAAAATATCAGGAGACAGACACTCAAATTACACCAGAATACATTTGACTCAACGGGGGAGTAGATGGGTGGTGGCTACAAGACATTAGAGCCATTTTATTCCAGGAATGAAAACCTTCAGTTAATATCCCCAAAATATCACCTATAACACACGTGGATCTGTGCATAGTTGAGATGGAAGTGGCAAAGCTAACCCTACATAAGAATAGTTGCTCAAGGGTCCATTCTTCACATGTGAAATTTAACAATTGTAGATAGTGCTCAAGTATAGTACATTTCCTAACCTAAGAGAGGATACCTTTCAAAACATACACGATTGTGTAATGAGAGGTTAGTTCAAGAGGGTGCAGACTCAGAAGAATGATAAGAAATACCTGACACAGCCTTCTCAACCCAAACTCATCTCACTACAATGGAGAGACTCTGTCGGGTTACTCTATTGTCTGTAAGTTGCTTAAATTAGATCTTTAAAAACACTATATATTTTTGTTTCACAAAAGATAATAGTTACTATCAATGTTTCCTATTCAAAACTAAGAGTCAAATTCTCCTTAGAGCATTTCTTTGTTGAGTTAGACCCCTGGGACCAGGTGGAGCACATCAACAGTTTTAGCTGAGATTCTGGGTTCGAGAGTGAGAATAGAGGAAAGCAGTGGCACCATGGTCTGGGACGTTGCGGAGTATATTTTTGTGTGTTGGCGAGGAGTGGGGCAAAAGATATGTCTGCTTCAGCATAGGTCTTGACCTACTAGTTTTTTTTTTTTTTTTTGGAAAATTTAGAAGATATAGAGAAGCCCAAAGAAAAGATTCAATATACCTGTAGCTTCGTCCCTCCAAAAGTATGTCTGTTAATATTATAGTGTAAATCCTTCCTCTCTTTATCCATCTTCTCTTCCTCTTTCTTTTTTCTTCCTCATTCTCTTCTCTCCTCTACCTCCCTGGCTGCCTGCCTTCTTTCTTTCCTTTCTTCTTTCCTTTTACTTATTTTACACATATGGGCTTATAACATTAACTTTGTTCTATGATCTTACACATCTCCAACTCCATGGGGATGAACTATGAATCATTTCACCCTATTATTGAACTTTTCATCTATTTCTGTACTTTTGCTATTATAAGTAATGCTTTATTGAACATCTTTTTAGTTATTATTTTGAAACTGCTGGGTCAAAGGGTATAAACATTTTAAGGTTTTTGACATAACTGTTAAAATTGTCAATTGACTTACAAATGGGTTTTACTATTTTTTCTTCCACTTTGTAGAATTTGACAGTACCCATTATTCTGAGTCTTAAAAGCACTGTATTTTATCTTTTTTAAAAAAATTATTTCTGCTTGAATTTTATTAAAAATAGAATAGTTTTACTGAGTTTTTTTTGTATTACCCATTCTCTTCTGGTAAGTCATCTCAAGTACCAAGGAGAACAAGAAACAGATATGGAAATCTGCTTTTGGGTGAAACCAGGAGACAGCTAAAAGCCCAGATGACAGAATATTTGAAAGTGCTGCCAAAAGCAGGGGTGATCAATTGACATATGATACATAGAGGGCAGCTTGGAGAAGATGCTGGAGAGAAAGGACACTGGAGCTGCAAATCTCAAAAAGAGTCATCAAAAACCTCGTTTTCCAAAACAAGGTTGGCAATAGTGGGAACCTTGGTGTGCTACGTCTGCAGCTGCTTCTCTCTCCCGACTTGGTGCTGAAAGACAGGGTAGGCTGGGCTCTTTGAGGACATATAGAAAAGCCATATCTGCAGAAAACAACTTATTTATGTGACTTTGGAGAAGAAAGACTTTGCAATGGAAAAATTCAATAGCTGCTCATTATCGTGAGCTGAGAGAGAGTAAAGGCTAAACTCATGGAAAACTAGGAATCATGGGAAATGTTTCTACTAGTGTGGTCCATGCCCCCGGCTCTTAGGCACATGAACTTCCTGCAATTAGTTGTTTAGGAAAATTTCAGCTTTTAATGATGAATGATTAAAAAAAAAATAGAACTAACAGAGGATCTAAACCAAAATACCATAGCAAAATGAGAAAAGAGATAGGAAAAAATGGTAGATAAAGAACAATTTCAGAAAAACAGCTTGCCATGCATCAGATAAAGAATTTCATGCGAACTTTTTATTACGAATAATGGTGAAATGCTAGAGCTGAGGGAAGGGACTGCAGGAACACCAGAGAGGGTGAAGGGAGGATGTGGAAGAAAATCAAAACTACCATAGAAATGCAGGTAAAACCCAAAGAAACACAAGGAGGGTTGGACATTGCTCAAATCCCAGCAGGAGACAGAAACAGAAATGACAAAATTGAGTAAAATGACCTGAAATAAAGCATTACAAAAAACTGAAGGGAAAATGATGAGTTTGGAAGACAGCAAAGGTGATCTGACATGCTTAATGAGAACTCCTAAAGAAGAAACTGAAGGAATGCAACAGAACCAATATTGAAGTTAGAACTCAGGGTAACTCATGGCCGGGCGTGGTGGCTCACGCCTGTAATTCCAGCACTTTGAGAAGCCGAGGTGGGTGGATCACCTGAGGCCAGGAGTTCGAGAGAAGCCTGGCCAACATGGCAAAACCCATCTCTACTAAAAATACAAAAAATTAGCCTGGCGTGGTGGCAGGCACCTGTAATCCCAGCTACTCAGGAGGCTGAGGCAGGAGAACTGCTTGAACCTGGGAGGCAGAGGCGGCAGTGAGCCAAAATTGTGCCATTGCCCTCTGGCCTGGGCAACAAGAGCAAATCTCTGTCTCAAAAAATAATAATAATAAAATAAAAATAAAAAAGATAACTCATAAAATGAGAGGAGTTAAATTTAGATATTGTAGGGGCACTGTGTGCCACAAGGAAAACAGATCCATTTCAAGATTCTGGCAAACTTACTGGGCTTCAAAAAATATCTAAATCAGCTCACTCTCTCCCCCATAAGGTTATTTATAAGGGGACCAATAAGGCTGGCTTAGTCCTCTTCACAGTTTCATTCACTGTTAGAAGCAAGGCATCATACTTACAAATTTACAGTCAAACCATTGTTTTTAGCATACAAAAAAAAAACCCCAGATAGTCTTTAGCATACTCCAAAAATATTGATCTCATGAGCTCTTGAGGAAAATCTATAGGAGAAGTTTTGGGAGTGACAATTGAATCTACTTATTTGTAGTACAAAAATATGGAAATTAAGTCAATAAAACAGAATTTGAGGGATATAGAGCCAGACGATATAGAAATGGTATAGCAAAATTTGAAAGGATAAGGAGGATCTCACCTTATGAATACTTGTACAAAATAAATAAAACACTAGTAAAAGAATCCAACAGCATACTCAAATATAATATATACTATGACCAGTTTCTGGAGTTACTCCATAGATACAAGGATGATTCAATGTTAGATTGTCTGTTAGTAAATATCTTGTTAATAGATTTAAGGAGAAAAGCCATATGATTATCTTCAGAAGTACTAAAAAGTTATTTTACAAAATCAAATACCTTTGCTTTTCTTCCCAAATACGTTAGCACTCAGAAGGACTTTTTTTTGCCCCCGAGACAAAGTCAGCTCTGTCACCCAGGCTGGAGTGCAGTGGCGCAATTTTGGCTCACTGCAACCTCTGCCTTGTGGATTCAAGCAAGTCTGCCTCAGTTTCCCAAGTAGCTGGGACTACAGGAGCACACCACCATGCCCGGCTAATTTTTGTATTTTTTAGTAGAGGCAGGGTTTTGCCATGTTGGCCAGGCTGGTCTCGAACTCTTGACCTCAGGTGATCCACCCGCCTCTGTCTCTCAAAGTGCAGGGATTACAGGTATGAGCCACTGCGCCCAGCCAGGACTTCTTTATGACACAAAATTTAGAGGCCACAAAGGAAAGACTAATCCACCAATTGCATCAAACCAAAAATCTGCATAGTCAAAATGTCATATAAATGAAATCAAATGAGGTGTGTCCCAAACTGGTATCTCATATTATAGACCAGGGCTTCTTTCTCTCCTCCTGTGGAAAGATCTCTACAAAAGAACAAAATATTAGCAACACCATAATAAAACAGGCAAAGACTGTGACAGATTTTTCACAGAAAAAACATATAAATGGCTCTGTAAAAACAGGAAACAAAATATCCAATGTTACTCAGAACAAGAGAAACTCAAATTACCATACCCTGAGTGACCATTTTTTATCTTTCATATAAATGACAAAAGGCAAATAATTTGATAATGTTAATGAGGGTGTGGGGAAGAGACACTCTCTTACACTACTGGTGGAAGTGTAAATTGAAATGATATTTTTGGAGGATAATTTGGTAATAACTGTCAAAATTACAAATTTTGCACACACCTTTTCACCCAGCATTTACTTCTAGGAAATTATCCCACAGATAAACTCATTCATTAATGGACTGACATATGCACAAGGCTATTCACTGAAGCATTGTTTGAGTAGCAAAAGATTGTATACAATGAAAATACTTATAAATAGGCCTTGTTAAAGAAACCTTTGGACATTCACACAGTGGAATCATATTATGCAGCTATAAAAGAGAATAAGGACATCTTTATGTAACAGTGTTTTTGTTCTTTTGGGCTGCTATAAAAAAGTACCATAGACTGGGTTGCTTATTAGCAACAGAAATTTATTTCTCACAGTTCTGAAGACTGGGAAGTCCAAGGTCAGCTTGCCGGCGGATTCAGTGTCTTTCTGGTTCAAGAAGCCTTTTAGCTGTGTCTTCATATGATAGAAGAGGGAAGGGTCTCTCTGGGGCCTCTTTTATAAAGGCATAATTCCAATTCATGAGGGCTTCTCCCCATGGCCTCATCACCTCCCAAAATCACTTACTCCAAATACCATTATCTTGGGGGTTAGGATTTCAATATATGAATTTTAGAGAGACACATTTGGACCACAGCAGTCAGTATAAAAATATCTTCAAGATACATTCTTAAATGGAAACAGTACAGTGTAGAATTTGGTGTAAATATGCTACCATTTGTGAAATAAAAGGGGAACATATGTATAAGCATTTGCTTGTATGTGTCTCTTGAAGGATATGCAAAAACAGTTAATGTTGGGTGTTTATGGGGAGGAAACTGGGTGTTTGGGCACAGAGACAGGAAACATTTATTGTACACTCATTCATCCATTTGGAATTTTGAACCATGTGAATGATCAACTCCGAAAGTTAAATACAAATACATTAAATATTCTTTAAAATGCACCTCCTCTTACTCCTCTCTCCAATAAAATAATATAAAATAAAATAGACCATTAGCTTGTTACCCTTCAAGATACTTTCTATGTAGCCTTGGGCTTCATTTTCACTCCCTGCTCATGTTTATACTCACTGCATCTTATTTCTCCAGTTCTTTTGCTAGGTCCTGAGAGGAGAGTCCATATTTCCCCTTCCTTCTCATTTCTCCAGTCAGAATTCAAGCCCTCACTGGGCCTTCTGGCTTTTTGGCCTCCTCCCCATTTGTTTTCCTTCATACATACACAGAAGGCTTTCTTCTTGCACTTGAGAAGGGGTAAGGACCAATGCTGTGAGCAGGCTGGGGCCAGAGGAGAATGAGAACAGCTTGCTTCCTGGCCATGCCTGGTCATTGTGGGGAGAGGGAAACTTAGAAGCTGATAGAGCTGCTTTCAAAGTATATTTTGTGAGGTTTTGGGAGTAAGCATCACCTCTCTGGACTAAGATGATAAAGAGAAGGCCACTCTCCCACTCTAGAACCCACCCCTGAGCTGTTGCCCCAGGAGCCAGCTGGAAGCTACTTCAGGCAGCCTGGAGTCTGCAGGGGCCAGGAGACCACTGAATGAAGCAGCAGCAGATGGCCTGCAGGGGGCATGTCAGAGGTGTCCTTCAGGGTCTCCAGGGGTAACAGGGGGCACTAGCCTCAAGGGAAGCTTCCCACTGAGAGCCGGGCCGTGTGTTGTGGGTGGTGAGGCTGTTAGGACAGAGGAAGACTCAGAGCCATCCAAATTTGAACATGAATTTTGATCTGATCCATGTTTAAATCTACTGACCAGGCGAACTTTAGGTTATTAGTTCACATTTGTTGAAATAATTAATTTTTAACTAAAATATCTGTGAGAATTAGAGATATTTTGAAGGCAAAATTGTCCTCTCTGTTTGGAAAGATACCATTCTTAAATTAGAGAGGCCTGTCTGATCCAGCCGGCCTTCAGTGTGCAGTGGTCGCCCCCGCAATTATCTGCAGCGTCCCAACTCCTTCTCAGCTTTCTTGCCTCTGTGCGTATGCCCACGGCTTCCCTCTTCCTGGAAACCCCACTCCGCCCACCCTCTGACCTGGAAAATTCCTATTCATATTTTAAGACTAAAACTAATTCCTTTTAAAAACACTTCTTGCCCTTTCCTGTACACAGATGGAGTTTTCATTTCTTCCCTGTGCGCCCAAAATATACTGTGTCTACTTCTGGATAGCACTCACTGGGTAGCATTGTAAGTCCAAGCTCATGGGACACTCCACGGTGGGCTTTTAGAGGTAAGAGTCAGGCTTTCCTGGGTTGTACTCTTAGCCCTGAGCACAATGTGGAGTACCCAGCAGCACTGCATGAAGGGGGCATACATGAGTGGTTCTTTCTCCATAAGATGCAAGGGTAGTGGCACTGAGTGAATGAGATGAAGTTCTCATCTTATGTGTATGCGTCTAACAGGAACTTTTTGGAAGTGAAAGGGAGGACAAAGTCAGAGCAAAGGGTGCAGATGGAGCAGCACAAGGGTATGGGAGGTTCTGGAGCCTCTGCCACCTCCATCCCACTTGAAAATGTCTAACAGACGACACATTATTGTATGTGCTGTTCACTAATAAAATGGCATTTGAAAAATTCTATACTTTGGATTTTCTTGCAGCTAGTCTCAATTCATGAGGTTTTGGTAATTTGAATCTGATAGTTATTGAGCAGTTAATTTCTCAGCACTACTGAAACAAGCCTTAGTAAGAGAAAGGAAACGGGAAAGTAGACGCTCTCTTTCTTCTTCCATCTATTAACACCCTTTCAGTAACATGATAAAAACAGATCCACAGAAGCAGAGGAGGCTGGAGCCATCAGCGGCCATGGTCACAGAAACCCCCTAGCTTTTTGCTGAGCCACGTGGACAGTGTGTACTGAAGCTAAAGACAGCCTGCCCTTCCCTTGTCTAGGATTAACCGCGAGAACAACAGCTCACAGTCAACTCAGCTTCGTCCTTTCTAATGCATTTCATACTGGAGCTAATGCTATGGGTGTCCAGCCAAGATCTCCTTAACTGACCAGTGTGCCTGTGTCCCAGCTGCTGTGGCTCAGACTGTCCCTGTCTCTGCAGCTGCTGGAAGCCTCTTGACTTGAAGCTGTTCCTCTCTCTCTCCTTCCCACCCTCTGAGTGTGTCTGACCCACAGGGATCCTCCCTCATGCTCCCACTCTTGTTACTTCAGTCTCACTTTTCCTTTTCCATTCACCTTTTTTTTTTTTTTGTCCAACAATCATAAAACACAGAAAGGGCAGTGATTCCAGCTGTGTGTTAACGTTGCGTGGGAAGTTGTTTCTAGTACACATTCCCAGGCCCCACCCAGAACTCCTGGACCAGCGAATCCCCTGGTGGGCTCTGATGCAGGCAGCCTTGCCTTGATCTGCACATGTTCACCTGGCATCTGCTGTCCTGGGCATGAGTACCCATTCCTGCTGCTCCCCCTGGGTGACCTCGGTTGAGTTGCCTAATTTCCCTACGCTGCCATTTTCCCATCTATAAAATGGATGCCACTCACCTAACAATATGGTTGTGAGGATTAAATCCAGTAATCAGGAAAGCATGAGATCTGGTTAGAAAGTTTATTCGTCAGATTATGAGAGAGACCAGACAGCAGTGAATTAAATAAGAAGAAAGTTAATTTCCATCCCCGGGCAGAGAAGGTAGACACATCAGATCTGGGATGTCATCAGTGACCTTGGCTCTTTGTAACTCTCTGGTCTGATATTACCAACATTACTTCATAGTCCCCAATAGTTTCTAGAACTCCAGCAATCACATTCAGGCTCCAAACAGGAAGAAGGAGGAGAAAAAGAAGGGCACACCACCTCCTTGTCAAGGAAGTGTCCTGAAGTTCCCATATCACTCTGCTACTCATATGGCAGAGAGCAGAGCTTATTCATATAGACACATCCAGCTATCAAGCAGGCTGAGAAACGTCTTTTACTCTAAGAGACAATATTCTGGAGGAAAATGGGTGTTCCATCACTAAGGAAGGAGAGAATAGTTATAGGGACAACTATCAGTGTCTACCACAGAAAAGGAGCTTTGATGCCAGCCTTCTTGGATTCAAATCCCAGCTCCACCAGCTACTAGCTTTGGGAAAGTTACTCAACAATCTTGCCTCGGTTTTCTTATCTGTAAGTAGTAAGAATAATGCTACAGGCCTCAGAAGGTTATTATAACGATTGGATACTCCATTATAAATTGTTTGGTGTACAGTGGGTGCTCAATAAGTGTAAGCCATTACTATCACCTTTTTGAATTTCCATCTCCATTGTGTGCCATATCCATTGCTAATATCTGAGAATCCAAAGAAAATAAGACAGTCTTAAGGTGATTTCGCCCCCATTTGAATCTAGTGCCACAATCCTCCCTGTTGTACTTGAGGTTCCCTCCGTCTGAGTCACTTCAGTGCTTTCTGCCTAGATGATGGGACATGACCTTCAGAAGGCTGCTACTCATTCCTGAGTCCCTTGAGGGCCTCAAGTGTTCTAGCTAATGAATACTTAAGTCACTCAATGTTTACTGACTGAGTGCAGAGGAGCCTGGCTCCAGTGGAATCAGGAGATGGGAGTGGAAGGGTATGAAGCCCAGCTGAAATAGGCTCAGCGGGACCATGCGCTAATGAAGTGGGTCCCATGCCAGGGCAGAGGGGGACTGTGAGAGGAGGGGACACTGAAACACAGGGCTTGGGGTGGCTTTCTTTGCTGGCTTTGCTCTCTTGCTTGTGGCAGCCCCTAGACGACTGATTAGAACAGGAAGGAGGTGTTGCTGCTTAGCTGATTGATAGACGGATTTTTTCTTCTGCAGGCCGATTGTGTGTGCTGACATGCACCAGGCATGAAGGGCCCTGTTCTAGCCAGGAGAGGGCCATGCTCTGCAGTTCTGATCCTCAACACCCCACCCATTCTGGGTTGGTGGTGTGTGTCTGGTCTACAGGGAGCCCTCATGTCTTAGGGGGCAGATGATGGCCCATGCACACAAGTGGAACAGAGAGCTCATCACCCAGTTGCGTTCCACCTGGAAAAACACTTTCATTTTCTGTCTCTGTCTAAGGGTAAACTACTGAACATAGCAGGAGAAGTTTTTCGTAAGGTAGCTCCTTGCATTTGGAGTCTAAACTTTCAGGTTTAGGAAGGAGAGCTGGAACTGCTCACTTGGCCCCTGTCTGGTCATGAGACATTTGGAGTGGCTTATCACTTTTTGATCAGTTTTTCATTTATGAAAAGAGAGTAACAATATATTCTGTTGGCTTTGCACTTTTTTTTTTTAGGGAAAAAAACCTGAAAAGTAGAAGAGAAACCTTACTTTTTAGTTTAGTAGGAGAGAGGATTAGTTACATTTCCAGAAGTTAGTGCTGTGGATTTTCTTGGTTTAGCTACTTGTAAGAGCAAGTGAACCATCGTACTTGTATGTTTAATGACTTCCTACTTCTCTGATATCAAATCAACCTTTCCCTGCCTCTCATAGATTTTCCCCTCCTTCATCAATGCTCAGGGGAGTCGCCCCTTCCATCAGAAGCCCCAGTATTCGAAATGGGGATAGCTGAGAACTTGGCACGTCTATTCTATTCTGAGTATGAAATACGTGGCAAATTGTGTTTGTGTAGATACATTTCTGGATACGGATGTTGTGGCACAGGGAAGGTAATAAATGATGTGACCTTTACCCCAAAGTAGTTTAGAAAATAGTCAGAGAGACAAGACACACATCCATAGAGAACCTTAACAAAAAGAAGGACCTGTCAAGAGAGTGGGGTATTTAACTGTCAGGGAAGAGTAGTCAGGTCTGCCCACCTCTCTGGACTGATTGAGAGGATCGCATGAAGATCAAGAGGTTGTGTATATGAGGCACTTTGTAAACTGTAAAGCCCTATGCCCATATTGTAGTTTACTCTTGGTTAAGGAAGGCTTCACAAAGGAGGGTGGGGGTGGGTCCAAGCCTGACTTTGAAGCACAGGTGGATAAAACATGAGGAAGGGCATGGTCAGGAGAGATGCAGGCTCTGCTCACATTACATTTGGGAGTTTGGTATCTGTGGCTCCATTTTACAGGTAAAGACACTGGGAATCCAAGTGTGAGCAGTTTGTCAAAAGATACAGTGAGAGACAGAGCAGGTCTACAGCGCTTTCCATGTAGTTTGTGAGAACCTAATGTGAGGTTCAAGCTCAAAGTCACAGACCTAGGTCAACCAGCTCCAAGTCTAAAATTTATATTCTGAAATTGCTTCCTTCAGTGCAGGGTTAGGAAAGGGAGAGTATAAAGAAATGAGGCCAGGAAGACTGATCTCAAAGTGCTCTACAGAAGGCTTTGGGGTGGGTGGGGAGCCTGGGTGCTAGCGGACTAGACTGATTAACTGGGTGGCTGATTTCCAGCCTTGTTGCTAAAAAGATTTTAGAGAAGCACAAAGGACCCAAAGCAGCAAGATAAAATTAAGTTAAAAGAAGTGAAGAAATAAGGCAAAGAGAAGATAAAAATAGGAGTGAAAGATGAATCCAGAAGTGAGGCTATTGCATAAAATGCATAATGTAATTTCCTGTGCATTTGCTGGAGATGGACCACACATTTGGCTCTGCACAGCACGAACAGGGAAACAAAATCAGTCCTACGATCTGCAGCATCCATAAGGGGAAGAAAGGACCCTGGAGAAGATTCCCCTCTTAGGGTAGAGCTGGATTGAGAGCGTTTCTGTCTCTTGAAGTGAAAGAACCCCTGATAAAGACCTGGATTTGGCCACAGGAAGGGCAGGGGAAGGAGTCTACTATCCCGCTGTTATGACAGCATTTTCCAGGTTGCTTAGTGGCAGGGATGGGTTGAGGGGTGAAATAGGAGCTGTGGCAGCACCTCAGAGACCACAGGTGGCCTACAGAGTCAGTGAACCCAAGCAGAGAAGCCATCAGATAATTAACAAGCTGCCTAGTTCTCCAAGCTGGAGACAGACAGCTGGCCAGGGCTGCAGGAGAATCTCAGTGCCCCTGGAGAGGTTATTCCCGGCAGGGCCCGGCAGGGGCTAGTCTAGCTTGCAGCCCCATGTGGGAGCCTTCCGGGCTCTGCTCTCAGAAACTGCCCCATCCTGGAGGGCCCAGAGCCAAGGGGCTGCCTGCTCTGCAATACACATTCCTGGGTAGTTACTTGTTCATGGAGACACGTTGCATGAGAGGAGGCCTTGCCAAGGAGCCGGAGCCAGGGAAAATGGGGGCCCCACCCAGAAGCTAAGGCAAACAAATCAGGAGCAATTTAGGACCTACACCTGCAAAATATGAACTGTTAAAGTGTTTTGTGATCAGAAAAACATGATTTTACTGCCTGCCTTTAATTCCATCTTGGAAGCTCTCTGAATGTAATGCTGAGATTTAATGTAGAAGACAAAGAGGAAGAAATAATTATTCTCTTCTCTCTACTGTTTTCCTACTTTCTATGTTGTATGCACAGACAGACACAGACACCACACACACACACACACACACACATTTTAAGTGGTAATAGTGTCCTCTGGAAGCAGCCCAGGGTGCAAGGGTTCATAGAAAGCATCCCCGAGAAAATCTCCACTGCTGTGTTTGAGGGTCCCTGGGGAAGTCGATTGTGCATCTTCCCAAGGAGCTGTAGCTTCTTCTCATTCTTCCCCTGTGTCGGCAGCTTCCCCTCAGCCATTGCCAAAAGCACTTAGCTCCTGACAGCGCCTGCCGGGGTTTCACACAATCTGAGTCATCCTTTACAAGCCTGCATGCACTCAGTGGTCCTCAAAGCCCTGGTTAAATTTGAGCCTGGGGATTCTGGAAGCATAATGCAGGTTTCAGGGCATGACGCTCCCTGCTCTGTGGGGGCCAGGATCCAGGAGGAAGCCAGAAGAGGCTGGGTTCTGGAATTCTCCTTCTTGTCATCGGAAGCTTGCAGTGCTGTGCTGGGGCCATTTGACCTATTAGTGCTGCAGGTGATAGGATTTTTATTCCAGATATTCAGCCACACACTGGGAAGGACCTGGTTGTGCTCAGGGAGCCATTGTTGGTCAAAAGAAGGTAGCGGGATCCTGTGTGTTTTTTAACATTTTTGCACAATATATATGTCTTCAGCTGAATAAATTCTCAGCAAAAGCAAAAGCTGAATATTTGGGGCAAGAGTTCATTTCCATTTAGCAAGTGGAGATTTAGGACCTGGTATGTCGTCATAGCCCTGATTATTCTCAGGCCAAAGGAGATTAGGTCGTCCAGCCTATCTCCAGTTTCCTGGAGCAGGAAGGAGAAGTGAGAAGAGAGAGATAAACAGGGATGAAGGAGGGACGTCTGGATGGCTCTCCCCTGCCATCATACAGAGATCCCTAACTCAACAAACGCAAAGTGCATTTACCGTCTTTATCCCCCAAATTGCTTCTTCCTTATGATTCCTCCCAGTCCCCAAGCCCATAAGCCAGTCACCTGGTCTGGCCAAGCCCACTCTCACCTGCAATTACTGCCACCTAGCAGGTTTCCTGGCCTCCATCTCCCTCCCCTTTCCCAACCTTCCCCTCACCCTCAGCAACAGTCACATTTGGCTGGGATCTTAGAGAAAGCCATAGTCATCTTTGACTGTGATGCTTCCAGTGTTTTCTTCTTACCCTAAAGCCTTAACAGACCCTCACAGGCTACAGAAGGAGAGCTGGCACTGCTCACTCCCAGACCTGTCTCTCCCTCTCAACCTGGGACCCTGAAAGCCTCAGGTTTAGTGGGTTACCTCCAGTTTCTCACTCTCTCTCACCTCTGAATCTTTGCACACACACAATTCCTTCTGCCTGAATCACCTTCCTCTTTCTTATTTGACTAACTCAAGTTCACTCTCAAGGTTTCAACTTAAATATCTACTAATTATCCCACTGTCAATGAGTTGGCCCTCCTCCCTGCTTCTCCAGGAGCTGCTACTCTGACTGCATCTTGGAAGTGCAAGTTTTCTTGGCAGTCATTCCTGAGCTCTGTGAGGGCAGGGGCCATGTTTATACTGTTCTGGTGGATTTCTAGAATTTAGTACAGAACCAAGGACACAAGAGGTACTTTATAAATATTTCCAGAATGAATGAGGGAGTAGATTAAGCATAGTGTTGTTAAGTCTCTGTCAATCATGGTAACATCCAGGTGTTAGGAAAAGAACATGAGCCCCGGAATCAGACCAAATTTTACTTGAATCCTGGGTCCAGTAGTGGCATGGTGTGTTAGAATTCTCCAGAGAAACAGAACCAATAGTAGAGATAGACAGATAATAGAGAGATAGATGGATAGATAGATGGAAGATAGAAAAAAAGAAATAGGATATATACAGAGATCTGTTTATCTATTGATGATGTATAGATAGATAGGTAGATCAATTGATTGAGAGAGACTGAGATTGAGATTTATTTCAAGGAATTGGCTCACACATGATTGAGGGCTGGTAATTCCAAAATCCACAGGCCAGGCCCAGCAGGCTGGAGACCCAGGGAAGGGCTGGGCTTGCAGCTGGAGGCCAAACGTGATCTGCCACAGAATCCCCTCTTCCTCTGGGGCTTCTGTGTCTTGTTCTATTCAAGTTTTCCACTGATTGGATGAGGGCCAATCACATTACGGAGGGACATCTGCATTACTTGAAATCTATTCATTTAAGTGTTACTTGCATCTCAAAAGTACCTTCCCAGAAACGCCTAGACTAGTGTTTGACCAAATCTGGGTACCGTGGCCTAGCCAACCTAACATAGAATTAGCCCTCACATGAAGTGATCTAGGTAAGTTATTTAAGATCTCCTAGCCTCTGTTCACTTCACATTGATGCGATAATGCCCGCCTCATGGGGCGGTGACAAGGATTAAAACAGACAGCATGTCTGATAAACAGCTGTGACATTGCTGGCTCATGGTAGACAGTCTCACCTTCTTACCTCGCTCTCATTCCAACCATGCTCCTCCCCAAAAGGAGGGCCACGTGGTAGCAGAGCTTCGGAGTGTGGGACATTTTCTGCTCCTTCTACACCCTTCTTAGTGGAGGGGATACTCCTGAAGGAGAAGGACCCTCTTTTCCCTGTTCCTGGAGGCTGGCTGCATGCAGCCCATTCATTCTATTTCCACAGTCACGGAAAAGAGGGCTCAAGGAATGAAAATCTGCTGAGGTCAAAGCCCCATATAGACTACTGAATAGAAGTAGGGGTAAAACCCAGACTGGAATTGAATTCTGTGTTCCTTGTAGATTTTATATCCCCCTCACCCCGCCCAGCCTCTGGGTTCCACAGGAGCTCTGGAATCACAGAAAGTCAGCAAACAAGATTCTATTTCTACCAAGGATCCACTGAGCTCCTTCTCCCTGTCCACAGACATTGCAAATGGATGTGCATACAGACCTCCCTGTTTGGCTTTTGTTCTAATTTCCTTGAAATAGTTAGAGATGATTTTGTGTGATTAACAAAGTTTATTTCTTTGGTAAAGGCAAGACCCATAGACCTCCTACTATTTTAAGCAAAATTAGCTTTCTTTCTTTGTAAAAAAGAAAGATAAAATATTGCCTATCATGTGTGTGGCCTGAACACAACCTTCAAAACATCTTAAAGGTTATCCATCAAGTTTCTTAAAAGGAAATATATTGGTCTTAATTATTCTTATCTTATTATATAATATGCTGTGGATTTATTTTTTAACCTATAATCTTATGCCAAAAGAGGCCATTTAGGTTTATTTTTATTTGTAGAGTGAAACAGAAACAAAATATACGGGCCTATGTTTGCTGTTTTAAATTCTACTCTCTATTACTTTTCCTTTCAACTTGGAAAGGAATTTTGTGCTACAGGACGTTTGGCCCAGGGTCAGCGGCGCTCCCTGCAGGCCGGTGGGGATGGCCTGAGAGAATTCTGGGCCAGCAGGCGGCCATATATTTCTTCCATAATCCTGTATGCGCGGGCAAAGTATCAGGCAAAGGTATAAATAAAACGTTCTGACTCCACATATGGTATTTTGGGTTTACAAATCCTTCATAAACTTTTTCCATTCCTATCAGCAGTTTTATTCATTATGGGACATCCAGCAACTCTCCTTTCGGGATTATTTGAGAAGCAGTAAAGGCTTCCTGTGAAAGGAGCACGTTAGCTGTAAGATTTGTGCAAAGATCGAGTGCCTGGCGGGGAGTAATCCCTAGACTGCGGATCTCAAATGTTTGGTGGGGTTTCCCCTACTGCTGGCTTTCATGTTCTCAGGGCATCATTACTGCGGTGGTGCAGCCGTAATGATGGGAAAGTGCCTGCTTTCTCTTTTCCCCCAGGGCCCCAGGGTCATATCTATGGGCTGGCAGACATGTTTTCTCCTTTCTCTTTCCTGTTTGCATTCACCTTGTGATTTTACTGATTTGGGGGTTCAGAGTGGGAAATCAGGCCAAAAATATATACATTCGAGATTTAAAAACTGAGTTATATCCAGCTTCCCCTTGCAATTTGAAATTATACTCCTCTTTCCATCTCTGTGTAAGTATGGGTTTTGACCAGTTTACGGAAAAAGTATATATTGGATCAAAAAGAGGCAATAGTTGGGTGTGACCTGGGAGCCAAAGTATCTAGACACATCTTAATGGGTGGCCTCATTCGTAAGAACAAAGAGAAAGATCCCTTGCTGACTGAGTAGAGGAGAAACAGACATCCTCTGGAGCTGAGGCTGGCAGGGGACGCTACAGCGAGCCGGCCAGTATGAGTTCACAGCCCAGGTCACACACCCTCCCCTCTGCTTGGCAGCAAGCACTATGCCTGGCACAAGTTATTAAGTGTTGTTCAATGTTTTGGATAAATTAAGAGGGGCAAGTGCCAGACTAGATGGTGCCACATTTTTAACTCTGTCCTCTTCCAAACTGTAATCATCTTGGTTCCACCTGCTAATTACCATTCGAATGTATCCCTTCCACTACAATGGCATTGCCTCGCCTCTGATCCTTGGCTTCTACAGCTATTTACTATTACTCCAGATTGGGGTCCTCAGCTGCAGTCAGACCACCAGATAGATCTGTGAGTCCTCAGAGAAAGATCTACCTGTTAGCTAATAAACTAATAAACTTCAGCTCAGGGCCTCACTTGCACGGTCCCTTACAAGAGCTGGGGGAAGACCTTGCAATGTGTTCACATGGTCATATATTTTTGTAAAATGTATTAAAAGTGAGCTATATTTAGCCATAATTGGTTAAGACTGCTTCCCCTTTCTGTTTCGACTTCCCCTCTGTGCACCTACTGTTAGGGTGTCAGCGTCGTCACCAGCACTTTGGGGCCCCAGCTAAAAGGAAGTTGAGTTGCGAATATATTTAGTTTGGGTTCAGTAGGGGATATTTTTGTGGTTGGTAGTTGTTTCTGAATGCAGTTAAGTTATTACTAGTCATCCTGGTGTAGGAACGGCTTCTAGGAATACTCCTACGGCCCCCTGCACTGACGCACCCAGCCTCGTGACAGGAAGTGGAGGGTCAAACGTCATCTGGTGATATGAATTTGTCCTGCAGCATCTGACACCAGACGTTTATGCAGAATCAAGGAGAAGCAAAGTTTGAAATATACAAAGCAGGAAGCTGGTCTCTGGAAAATTCTTCCAAAGTCAGATATGTAAAATCGTAAGCAGAGGACTTTGTTTTCAATGACAGCTAGTCAAAACAGAAGTTGTCTCCTTTCAGGAATATAGCACGCCATGCTGTGTATACAATTATACAGGCCTCATACATTTTCCTTTCCTCCTTGATGAGAATTCTGCAAAAGAGATTTATTGGAATTCTCATGTTTTAACCTATGGTTGTGGTATTTATCATCATTCTAAAGTTCTATTTTTTTTGAGGTTTATCTTCTCATTCTAAATAACTGTTCAGTTTTATACCTAATTATATATTCTTGGTTTTGAATTTTTTTGCTTAAGAAGGGCTCCTCAAATTGTATAACATCAGGTTCCAGAAGATCTGTGTAAGCCACTGACTGTCCCTGGGGTTGTAGTCAGCCTGGTCTTCTCTTTTTTCTAAATTGAGACGGAGTTTCACTCTTGTTGCCCAGGCTAGAGTGCAGTGGCTCTATCTCGGCTCACTGCAACATCTGCCTCCCAGGTTCAAGTGATTCTCCTGCCTCAGCTTTCCAGATAGCTGGGATTACAGGCATCCACCATCACACCCGCTAATTTTTTGTATTTTTAGTAGAGACAGGGTTTCACCATGTTGGCCAGGCTGGTCTCAAACTCCTGACCTCAGGTGATCCACCTGCCTTGGCCTTCCAAAGTGCTGGGATTACAGGCATGAACCATTACGCCTGGCCAGGCTGGTCTTCTTAAAGCAGAAGGCTAGTAGGTGACGGCCCCCTAATTGGAATACTTTGACAACCTTTATCCTTCATAAACTGACATCCACTGCCCTCCTCCTACCTTTCTCATGCTATAGACCAGCCATGTGCACACTGACAGCTCCTGGGACACACAGCTTCATTGTTCGCCCCTCACCTCCTTTGACCATGTGGATCCCTGTAATCCCAATGACTACTTCAGTATTTGTTAGATAATCTTCTGTTTGTCTTTCAAAATACAGCAAAGGCAGAAAATAATGCAGGTGAGGTGAAAACCTGCCAGCATTAGAGTTGGCATAGGGTAGACTGCAGGGCCATGAGTGTTCACAGCTGGCCTCCTTGAGCCAGCCTTTGTAGGCTTATAGGGCCTGGAGCTCAACCATCAGTGGGAAATCTGGCATATACCCCTGGTGCCTGGCCCCTTTCTTGACAAAGAGTGAGTGCCAAATCCGTGTTGTGAAAGGCATCCATGAGACATCCCACTGTGGGTCCACCACCTAAAGCTCTGCAGCAGGAAGGATGTTGGTCTGGACTCTGTCCAGGCCTCTGGACTTTGCTTTTCCCTTCCCCCGACCTTCTGGTTTCTCCCCAGTCTATGTCACACGGTGCTCTGCAGTGTCTGTCTGGTCTGGTTATGGAATATCTCCAGCCACCTCCATTCTCATGCCTGCAATTCCTGACATTCCTGCTTTGCCCCATCTTTCAAGGCCAGAGCTCTGGGAATACCCTGGAGAGAACCATTTGTTTCTCCTTCATTCTTCATTTATCAAAATTTTCTCATTATCTTTCTCATTCTTAATTAGTGTCTGCCAAAGGAAAGGTGTCTGTAAATAGACTTCATCTTATATTTGTGACTAAAGGGTCCAAATCACATGTGGAAAAACAGAGCAGTAACTGGAGTTGTAGATATTCTTTGATTACATATCTAGTATTATTGGCAGGGACATTTATGACAATAAAGAAAAGGCCAGTTATTGTTGACAATATTTACTGAAAGCCATTTCAAGCAAGCACCTTTTCATTATTTAATATGTGCTTTATTAAATCACAAGACTGTTATACTAAATTAAGTCAGAGTTTTATTAAAATTTATAGATGATTGTCCCCTCTTTATTTCCCTTCCCATCATCTTCTCTGTGTCAGCGTATCGTAGTCTTTCGTTTCAGTTTAGGGATTTACATGTAAGGAAGATTGTGCCAAGTTACAGTCCTCCCTTGCCTCCCTTAGAATGCACATTATGTATCAAGAAAAGATATAAGGAGACTCTGGGAAACGTCCAGGCCAAAGAAAGCAAACGTTAAATCTATCATTCTCAAAGCATGCCCTTGGCCAACTTCACAGAGCTCTCCTGTGATTAGCTTTTTGGGGAATCATGAAAACAGTTTCCTTTGCATCCCCAAAGTTATGAACTTTATTTCTTCTTCCACATATCCAACTGGCCAGTGTGAAAGTCCACCAGTTTCTCTGGCTGGAGAGGGATACAAATGCGGCTCCACTCCTGAATCCCAGAAGCTGCAAATCTGCAGAGATAAATCAGCTCTTCACATTTGCCATCTCTAGGGTGAGCAAGGGGAGGGGTCCTCAGGACAGAAAGTGTATGTACCTTTTCTCAAAGCAGAAGCTCACCATTGTCCTGTTAACTTGACCGCAAGGAGTGACTCAGGCAGGACAGCCCATCTCCCAGCCTTTCCTCTCCAGGTCCAGAACTTTACAGATGAGATCAGCTTGAAAGTTCCTTTATCTGAAGTGTACTGTACTCAGTGGGGGCTGAGAAGTCCCCGAGGACTCCAGAGCTTCCTTTAATTGCCTACCAGATGAAGGGGGCTTTGGTGACACTTGAAGACTGGCATCAGATAGATGATAATTTCCCAGATATAATTTCATCCAGCTGGACTTGATACCAAATGCCAAATACCAGAGAATCATAATAAACCAGACAGTCTTCATGAGTGAGACACTTTCAAGGACGTTCACTGTTATTGCAACAAAACTACAGTTCAATTCCCAGCTCCACAAAATTCTGATCTTGCTTTCATCTTTTGCAAATAATAAGGGTTACAGTAGGATCAAGAGTGCGGGCTGGGAGTACAAGATAAATGACAACTCACCACGCCTTCTTGATAACACCAAAAGGAGACTATTTATTTTATGCAAAAATAGTTATAATTCTTATGTGTGCTCAGATCTATTTTACCCCAAAAGATAAGTAGTCTTTTTTTTTTCTTTCTGGCAGATAATTAATAGTTTCTTATCTACATTTCCCTTGTCCAAACTAAGCTGCTAGGCAGGGTAGAAGAAAAACATGGGCATGTTCAATATGTTAATTATAAGGTTATGACATTATAAAATGTAATCTAAATACAGTGGCCTTAAAGATCCTGAAATCTGTGCCAAAAACGAATCACATAAGGACAGAGTCACCACAAAATGTTTGAGAAATGACCAATTACATTTGTTTCTTCCGTCATTTCTTTGAATAGAGCTTATGTTACTTTGTAACTTTTATTTGTCCAATATTCCTGTTGAATATTTCAAGTGTGAAGTGAAAGGGTTTGGGGACACAACTGTGACATGATATTGTCAGGCTAAGATGTGTTCAGTGCTTTAAAAAGGAAAAAAAAAAAACCACTTTCGGAGGCCGAGGTGGGCGGATCACGAGGTCAGGAGATGGAGACCATCCTGGCTAACACAGTGAAACCCCCTCTCTACTAAAAATACAAAAAATTAGCCAGACGTGGTGGTGGGCGGCTATGGTCCCAGCTATTCGGGAGGCTGAGGCAGGAGAATGGCGTGAACCCGGGAAGCGGAGCTTGCAGTGAGCTGAGATCGCGCCATTGCACTCCAGCCTGGGCAACAGAGCGAGACCCTGTCTCAAAAAAAAAAAAAAAGGAAAAAAAATATGTTAGGCAAATATAGGTGCTTCTTAGCCTATGGTTCTGCGAGGTCCCCAAACACCCACATGGCTTATTTAGTCAATATCCTGGACTCGAGGGACTGAGAGCCTATAACAAGCCTACAAGGAGGCTGCTCAAGAGATGGAGGCAGGCCGGCCTTAGCTGGAGAATTTCCTGCTAATGTAGCTGTGTGGGAAAGGAAGGCCTGACAAAGAGGCAAAGGGAAATGTTTCATATCTCCAAATTTTGCAGTAACCTAGCTTGGACTTTAAGCCACATCCTCCTAGAGTTGGACTGGGCTCCTGCTGTTTTTATTTCTCTGTAGCTAACCCCTTGGTGTCAACGTCTCCCAACAAATCTGACGGTTTCATCTGCCCAGCAAACCTCATTGCTTCCAACAAATGGCTTTATTTAACTTTGCAGAGAAGACTGAAAACAAAGCATTTTTCATAGTTTATATCTGATGTTCATGTTTTATATTCTTCTCGTTCAAATCGTATTCTTCTGCCTGCTTTCCAGGGGAGAAGTTTGCGTGTAATCCATTGCCCTATTCAAATCCCCTCTCATACTCAGTCACTGCTCCTAAGCACATCTGGATGCTCAGCCCCACCTCTAGGAGCCAGTGCCCTTTTCAAAGAACAAGCTGACTCTTTCACATGCCTGGCAGGTGGAGGTGGGAGGAGCTAGGGTAGGAGTGAGGGAAGAGGGGGCTTCTACTCTCCAAATTCTTTCACAAAGTCAGCTGCCTGTGTTCCACGTCTATCTTTCTCCTCTGATACCCGCTCTGGTGCGTTTCCCTGCCCTACCTCACCTGCTCCACCTCGTTTGTCCCTAGTCTTCCTTTTCATCTGGCAGCTGCATTCCAGAATCTCCACCACAGGCCTGGGCCTCACCTGCATCCGGCTCTCAACACTGGACTTCCACAGAACACCCTCCTAGCTGACCTGGCTACACTTTGGGCATGGCACATACTAGATATGATTATTCCAAGTGGCTGGCTTTTGCCAAGCCGCAAATTGTATTTTGCCAATCATTCTTTTTTTCCCTTTAATTTTCAATCCCTTATGTATTTCAATAGGAAATGTAATCCATCTGTTTCTGGTTCATTTGCAATTACAATAACTCATTAGAACCTTGTGTTGTAAGACTCGTTTAATGTTCAAGAAGCCTTCTGAACTTTTTCACAGGACTTTAGAAACACTCTTCCTAAAGGTAATCTTTGGCCAGCTATAAAGCAACTTCAACATGACACTGTGATTTCGGTTCAAGAAGTAGATTAGCTAAAAGGTGTTTTCTCATCCCTATTAAGTGATTGTTCAGACTATGTCTTGGTCATTGCATTCCCACAGGATGATATTTAATTAAGAAAATTGCTTGTGCCTGGAGGGCAAAGCCTCACACAGTGCCCTTCATTACAGGGTGAGGGGGGTGTTCAAAGCCTCCAGAGGATGGAATCTTCCATGCCCTGGAGTTTAAACCCTTTACAGTAATTTCTCAACAGTTATGAACAGGAAGTTCTAAAGATCCAACCATTGGCCGGGTGTGGTGCCTCATGCCAGTAATCCCAGCACTTTGGGAGGCTGAGGCAGGCAGATCACTTGAAGTCAGGAGTCCGAGACCAGCCCGGCCAACATGGCGAAACCCCGTCTCTACTAAAAATAAAAAAATTAGCCGGGTGTGGTTGTGCATGCTCGTAATCTTAGCTACTTGGAAGCCTGAAGCAGGAGAATGGCTTGAACCCAGGAGGCAGAGGTTGCAGTGAGCTGAGACTGTGCCACTGCACTCCATCCTGGGTAACAGAGCAAGACTACGTCTAAAAAAAAAAAGATCTAACAGTCCCAATTCCTTCTGGGAAATCTTTAAATACATGCATACACACCAGTGAAGATATCAGATAGAACAGATAGAATTGAATGGTGGCAAAAGCGGGGAATGTGCACAGAAGTAGGTCTTTGGGGATGGAAGTCACTGTAAGTGGAGCTACCTGTGGAAATGATGTGTAGACAATTGAAATGGGGGCTGGAGTTTCCATTCCGGGAAAGTGAGAGAAATGAGGAGAATAGTTTTAACAGCTCTTGCTTTGCCAGGTAGGGGAAACTACATACAGAGTGAAGTAAATAGTGGATGTCGAGATATTTAGACGATCTCCAGGGCTGTGGGCAAGGCATGAGCTGCAGGAGGGAGAGCTGGGGCAGCTTGTGTTCTTCTGCATGCTCTCTGGGGAAATCAGTCTCTAATGGTGCTGATTGGCAGCACATGGCCTCCCAGACAAACAATACTAAATGCTCAGTCTTTGCAGAATCTGAGTGAAAAGTTGGTCTGGGCCGTGTCTGCCCTGACAGGTTGGACAGGCAGCTCATGTGTTTGAGTACTAGGTCCATGCTCGCTGGTCATCACTCGGGTCGTGTCAGTGGTTAATTATTCTGTAGCCTTCTCTTTTGATTTACAGTTTGTAATCCCATCCCATGCACAAGCTAGTGAGAGCATAGTTGGGGATCCCAAGGAGTCACAAACAGGGGGTGCTTTTGTTGGGTTCCAATAAAAACGTGTGTCCTCCACCAGAACAGTGTTATACAAAGTACATGGCAGACTCACACCAGGAGAGATAATGAGAGAAAAACAGAGTCATAGGGAAGGGAGATCCAATTTTATCTGTTAGGAGCGCAGCTACAAGCCACCCTCAGACTTCCTCCATCCCTAATTCAACAAGTGTTGAGTTGTGCATCTTGTGTGGAGTCAGACATGAGCCTTCTCTTCAGAGAATGAAGGCTGCTTTATGTGGCCAACATGATAAAGAAAAGAGGTGTTTGGAGAGTCGGGGGCTCCCTCCCACAGGAACCAGTGGTCAGCACAGCCCCTGTCCTTGTCACTGGAATCCCTACTCCTTCTTCAACACACTTCCAAATCCTACATGCCACTCCAAGTCCAGGTCAAGTCCCATTTTTCAATGAAGTCATCCTAGTCCCCTGTCTGGGTGGTGCCCTGTTCATCTCTGTGCCCTGTTTACTCACAATCCCTGAAGCTTTACTGATGTTCCCTTGCACTCATATTCTCCTTTTTTCAGATGTGTGACTGGTCTCCTCCAAGTACACGGTTATATCCTCCATGACTAGGATTGCATCTGCGATGCTTGGTGTCTCCACAATGCCAGGTATAAAACCTTCATTAACTGACTTTTCAACAGGGCTCTGAGCCTCCTGAACCCTCATGTCACTCCATGTGGCCACACTGGATAGCTCTGGGGTGAATTTTTATCTGAGTAAGAAAACGTACTGCTGGGCTCTGGAGGCAGCAAAAAGGGGTAGATCAGGGATACAACAGAAAGGAGATCTTGAGAGGCATTCTTGAATTCTTGATGGGGGGAGGGGGTTGTTTGCGATGGTGCCTTCAGGGAAGGACTCTTATCTGTGTGCCCTGTGCATTCGGAGAACTCTAAGTCTGTAGCAGAGCAAATCAAGCTGACCTTTTGGCTTTAGGTTCATTTGTCCAGACAACATGAGGCATCCTGGAATTTCCATCTTCCCTCCTGGGAGCTTTCTTTTCCCCCATCTGCTACATCTTACCCAAATGGGGCTGCAGATCAGCAACAGTTGATCAGATCAGCATCAGTTGGTTTTAGACCACATCCTCCCTGCCCTCTTTCTCTCTCTTGTACAGACAAGAACCCAGGGTGTCCCAATGAGAGATGCTATTATTGGATATCACACCATAATTTAAATTAAACTCTACATAAAGTATACATTTTTATGAAATGAGATTAGTCCATTCTCATGTCTAGGATCACTTTAGATCAGTGATCCCCATGATCTGTATTCAATGTCACTGCATTTGAAATTTATTATTTTATGTAATTTTTATTGTACTTTAACTCCACCAACTTTCAACACTAGGATTGTCCTGCCCAGCAATGTGTACCAAGAGGGGGTATGCTGTGAAAAGGAAGGGAGAGCAGAGAAGTTATGCAAGAAATTGCAAGTAGCTGACTGTATTATTAACTGCCTTGAGTGCCACTGAGAGGTCAAATAAAATGGCCAAGAAAATAAATCTTGGATTTGGAGTATGGATGTAGTAGTCGGTTTGGACAAGGGCAGGATCAGAGATGTCTCTGGGGAGAAAACTAGACTGGAATTCTTTGAAGTGTGAATTGGAGGAGACAAAGTAGACATGTGCAGACGTCTTTCATGAACAGTTGGCTCTGAAAGCTACATGGGCTAGTAGGGTTTTTGCTTTGCTTTGCACCCTTTTCTCCTAACCCAACTCTCCCACAATATTGCCAGACTTACTCAATTTCTTCTCCTCTCGCTCAGGTCCTTGTCCATTTCTCCCCAGTATCTGGCTGTTCCTAATGCTGAGGATTTTTGTTCTTCAGATCACATCAATCTCTGAGCTTCTCTATGTGTATTCTCTTCCAAATATGATCACTATACTCCATCCTGGCATTACACTCATCAGAGTGATCTGCTAAGCCAAAAAAGGCCCCATCCTTAAAATCAGGAAAATCCAGAGGAAGTTTCAAAATTAGCTATTTTTTTTTAAATATTTCCAATCAAATGCAAACACTTTGTCAGGTCTACACCTCTATTTTCCTCCATAAGCAGGAGAAAAGAGCAGAGAATTTGATTCTCCTTCTATCTAGCAGATGCCCAAGGGCTGTATGTTTGTGTTTGTGAAGGAGAGAGAAAAAGAGAGAGAGAGAGAGAGAGACAGGAGGGAGAGGAGAAGAATGAAAATGCGCAGGCTAGAAAGAGAGAAGGGAGAATCAGGCAAAGACACCTCCTCCTTACTCTGGGCTCTGTCTGCATCTTCAACAGGCTTATGTGGAAACATCTTGCATCTTCAAATTCCATTCTAGGCTTGAAAGATACTGGGCAGGATATAACAGCTATTGTGTGTTTTTTCTTACATGTTTGTTCTAATAGATTTTCCATGAATCTTAGGGTTTTCTGGATGTATAATCATAAATAATGTGATTTGTTTCTTCTTCCTTCCCAGAGTAATTATTGAACTTCCATTCATTGTATAATTTGCATAGCTAGGACTTCAGAACAATGTTAAATAAAATAAAAAAGAAGGGACATCCTTCTCTTGATTCTAAATTCTCATATTTTAGCATGAATTATGACATTGGCTATTTAGTATCCATATTCTTTCTCATATTATAGAAACAAACATTCACTTATTCCTAGTAGAGTTTTTGTTGTTTTTTTTCAACGTGGAGAATGGGTGTTGCTTTTTCAGGACCTATTATAATGCTAATATGCTTTTTTTCTTTGAACCTACTGTGATAAATTATGAATGGAATTTCTAACTCTAAATCATTCTTGCATCCTCACAATAAATTGAACTTGCACACAAATATTTGTTTGTTGCTTGTTTGACTAACTGGGTTTTGTTTAAGAGCTTTAAAGCTTATGTAAGACATTAATTGTTCATGTTTACAAAGGACTGTTTATGTTTTCTTTCCTCTATTACATTGTCAAATTTTGATGTAACAGCTACACTAAAATGAAGTAGATTGCTTCTCATAATTTTCTAAGTACTGGATTATATTAGCTAGGTTAACACTACCTAGTTGCTATAACAAACAACCCCCAAATCTCAAAGGCTTAACCCAATATGTTTATTTTTAAATGATGACACAGTTATATGTGGGTTAGGGGCAGTGGTATGCTAGGGCTGGTTCATCCTGGATCATGAGAACTGATTATGTGCATCCATTCCAAACTGTGTTCAGTGACATCACGTTGGTTGCCTAAAAGCAGCCTTAGTAGGAGTATGCATTACAGAAATTAACAAATGTTACCAGTTAGAGCCTCCCCCCACACCTCAAATGGGTCACTAAATGTTTACCAGCACATCACCACTTGGGTGGCTCTTCTGCACATCTCTCCCTGAGGTGAGGACTCAGGGATCATGGCTCATTCCATCACATGGCTCTGCCCTCTCAGGGTCCTTCACTGTGAGCTGCGAGGAAGAAAAGAGAGAGCATGAAAGGTTCTACAGGACCTTTTATAGGTCAGCCTGAAAGCAGCATTCTTCATCCATTGGCGAGAACTTGTCACATGGGCTCCCTTAGATGCAAGAAACATGAAAAATGCCACCCTTCTTTGTATACATCTCTTTAGGACATTTTAATTCTGTCCCACTGCTCTATGTTGGCACCAGAACTAAATTTTCTCATCATAATACTTCATATTTTGCAGATCAATTTCTCCCTTCTTCATTCCCGCTCCAATAGTTTATTTGCTATCTTTGCCTATTTGTTCTCCCAGATTGATTTTATAATTCATTTGTCAAATTCAAGAAAAATATTCCATTTGTAGTTTATTTAAATTGCATTAAGTTTATAGATTTGGGGGATAAGATAGACTAGCTGATCTATATATTACCCCAATAGGTTAACTCTAATATTAAATAACTCCTTAATTCCTGGAATTAAATCTCTTAGATTATGTTGTATTATTCTTTTAATATACTGTTGAAATTGAGTGGATATAATGTGATTTAGACTTTTTACATGTAATTGACAAATGCATTTGGCTTCTAGTTTCAGTCTCTCTCTCTCTTCCCTTGACCTCTTTTATTTCATTGTCAGATTTTACTACTAGCTTAAGAAAATTAATTGAGAATTGACCCATCCTTTTCTATGCATTATAGGAACTCAGATGGCCTGAAAATTAAGTTCCTTTAAACCATCTGACACTGTTTTCCAACTTTTAAAATGTATTGCATAGTTTTTGGCTTATTTCTTTTTCTTCTTTCTGAATCAATTCTTTTAGTAATCATAGTCTTAAAAATAATTTCTTCAATTGATATTTTCCAAATTATTAGCAGAAAATTGATGACAGAATTATGCCAGGGTAGAGGGGTGGGAAATGGACTAGGAAGGGGGCACTTTTAAATTAAAAAAAAAGTTTTTATTTTGATTGTGGTGGTGTTTATGTGGTGTATATATTTGTCAGAACTCATTGAAATTTGCACTTGAAATCAATGCATTTTATTGTAAACAAACTATCAATAAAGTTGATTTATTTTAAAAAGCCTTTTTAATATTTGGTTATTTTCAATGTGTTAGTCACATGTAAAATATAGTTGTGTGTTTTAGCCTTTTGTGGTCACAGTGAGAAGGCTTTCTTCTTTCATTTGATAAGAAACAGCTGTGACTAATTAGCTTTTCTCAACCACCAACTATATAATGTATATATGCAATTGATATATAGTCAACTAGGGTGACCAACTATCCTGGTTTACCAGGGATGGAGGGATTTCCCAGGATGGAGGACTTTCAGTGTTAAAACCAGAAAGGTCTTAGGCAAATGAGGAAAGTCCCAGACAAGTCAGGATGAGTTGGTTACCCTAGGTATATAGCTGAACACACTTAGCATTTCTTGTAATATACAGTAAACGACATATTACATAGCAAGAGGAAGTAAAGAGACTTAGCATGAACATAGTCTCCACAGCAGATAGAATTTACACATTAATTTTTAAATGGTGTAAGAAAGTTTTGATAAATGATCTAATTCTGGTACTAGTTATAGACCTTGAGAACTAGGGTACCCACATTGCTAGTTTACCATGGTAGCTACCCATCATCTCTCCGTGTCCTGAGACTATGTGGGAACCTACACAATCTTCCTGGCTCTGGTCTGCTGTCATCAGAAACACCAAACACTTAAAAAAAGTGCCAAGTCACTGGACCTACGGGGTTAGTTCATTTTGAAAACGGAACTGGACTTTCTACCAAGAACCAGAAAAATGTTGAAAACATAAAACAACAAGAATCTGTGGTGTGTTTGTAAAAACCAAGCCTCTGACCCTGATCTAAACCAGACTGTTCTCCTCCTGGCTTCCTCCCTTTTTCCTTTAATTAAGCTAACTGGAAAGGCAAGGCTTTCATCAGACCAAGACGACAATCTTCCTACCCTAATCTCTAGGACAAAACAGAGAATCTGGTCTGGAATTGAATTTGAAATATTAAAGAAAAATGCCTACCAGCTTAATGTTGTCACTGTCGTATGTTTATTTTTCTTCCTTTTATGTCTGATGTCAAGGAGAAAATAATGTCATCTGCTGGAAATTTCAGCATGTTTGCATTTTGAGATAATTAAAATTAATGGTGGAGAGCCAAACTAGCACCAAACAATCCCTGTGATTCCCATGTGCGTAAAAACATTTTGTAATGACTTTCACTTAATCTGTGAGCCTGGCAGGCTGCCCCAAACCACCTAGATCCAAACTAGATTCAAGCAGCAAAGTTTGCTTTTCAAAAATAAAAATGTATATTCTGGAAGTTAGAAATTAGGGCATCGGTAAAATAGTTAGGCTCTGCAGATTGCTTTATCCATTTGGGGTTTTCCTCCAACTATGTTTCTTCCTTTTCCAGCTTGGATGGCAGGACTTCTAGTGCACATGGCAATAATGTTGCACCTCACAGCTATTGGAAAGGCAAGTCTTCCATAGGAAGGAGCAGAAATGAATTTTCCTTAAGGATCTGTAAACCCAGGAAACTCAGCTCTGAGAGATCATCTGTGAGATTCATTCAGTGAGGAAACTCAGACACAATGGTCATTTTTTGTAGGGCAGGTAGTAGTTGACAGGATGTTTGACTTTTCAATAGACTGCTTTACCAACTGTGTAACAGTCAATGTGATTCATCCATAAGAATCTCTTGCTTAATATCTTTTAGTAACCTCTCATCATCCACAGGGTAAACCCCAAACTCCTAACCCCTTGGCATGAAGCCCAAGGCTTTTCTTAAACTGGAGCATTTTTAGTTTCTAGCTTCATTTTCCTACTGACCATCCCATATATCACAGGCCATAGCTATCAAACACCTTGTAGTTTTCTGAACATATGGTGCTGTTCTGGGTACATACTCTTCCCACTATTTAGGAAACTCCTAAATCACTTCATGAATAATCTAGCACTTTACATCTGGTAGATGCTCAGTATATTTGCTGAATAAATAAATTTTAGAGCTTAACTCAAAAAACGCTTTTTCTGACTCCCTACATGAAATAAGGACTCCATTTTCTGTCTTTCCAAAATTCCTTGGATGTGCTTTAGCATGGTGGTTCACAACCAGGTGAGATTTTGCCTCCCAGGAATATCTGACAATGTCTAGAGACATTTTTGGTTGTCACACTGAGAGGGTGCTACTGGCATTTAGTGGCTAGTGGCCAGGGGTGCTGCTAACCATCTTACAATGCACAGCATAGCCTCCACAGAAAGAAATATCCAGCCCCAAATATTAATAGTTCCAAGATTGAGAAACTCTGTTAGCAGAACTCATCTTTTTAGAATAGTCATCTTGGGGGACATCTCTCTCCTTTGTTAGACAGTAAACACCTTGATGTCAGGGTCTATATCTTAATTATCTTTCCATTCCCACCTTTTAGCATAATGGCTGACATGTGGAAGATGCTCAATGAGTGTTGGATTAAAGAAAAAATTAATGATACACCATACAAGTGCTACATAGTGATAATTCTCTAAGAGATTATGAAATATAAAGATAGGGCTAGTTAACACATGTGACAATCTGAATTATAAATTCAAAGAATTTCTCAGTTTCAAGGAAATGGTATCTTTTCACTTTTTCCACTCCAAAGGGATTTCTTTCCAATGGTTCCTCACTTTGCCAGCAGTACCATGTTGAGAGGTACCTTCTGCCTTGGGAGAAGTAGCTTCTACATCACTGCACTTTTTTCAGCCTTAAAAATCACACTAAAGGTTGACATTCTATTTTCATGCCAACTCTCAAAAGCATGGTCTCATTGTAATTGGTGTCAGCTACAGCATTTCAGAATGGCCCATAAATAGTCCCTATTTGGGAGCTTTTGGAACTGCTATTTTGATACTTCCTTTATGTGTATTCGCTTGGATTCCAGCCATTTGTCAGGGAAACCATTTGAAAAGGCAATTTGAAAGCCCACCCACATGATCCCAGCACCTCTTTCTTCTTGCTGATGGTATTAGACTAAAATTGGTCTGATTTTGACTTTACCCACCCCTCTGACTAAGTAACTAGATTATGTTTAGAGTAAGAACTCAAAGAAAAATGATCTAACAGAGGAGTTTGTGTTTCACAGGATCCTTAGCAAGAACCTCCTCTTTTCGTTGCAATTCCCTCATAAAATTGTATTTTGCTTGGAAACACTGCAAGCAAATTATGGTCAGAGCTGATGTTTGTCATAATGAAAATGTGAGGGGTATGATTTTCATTTAAGGGTTGTACTTTCAGAAGTGTCCAGGACATTTAGGAAGAACCACCCTGCCTTGCTAAACATTTGAGGTGGGATTATTCTTACCAACCAAATAAAAGCATCCACAATTTTGTTTAGATTCCCATGAGAATTTCCACAGGGGTAAAATTTTTCCGTCTTTCTCTGAGAGAATTTTGCCCAATGGTCTTCTTGAAATGTGAATTATTACATTGAAAATTACACATTTGACTTAATAACATAATTTACAAAGCTTAATGAATATGTTTCACAATAGCACTTTGCTTCATTAAAAAAATTAACAAACACACTTTGGGAGGCCAAGGCAGGCAGATCACAAGGTCAGGAGATCAGGACCATCCTGGCTACCATGGTGAAATGCTGTCTCTACTAAAAATACAAAAAATTAGCTGGATGTGGTGGCACATGCCTGTAATCCCAGCTACTTGGGAGGCTGAGGCAGGAGAATCGCTTGAACCTGGGAGGTGGATGTTGCAGTGAGCTGAGATCATGCCACTGCACTCCAGCCTGAGTGTCAGAGAGAGACTCCATCTCAAAAACAAAAAACAAAACAGCAACAAAAAATTAACAAACAATTTGCTGTGGTTTGAATGTTTATCTCCTCTAAAACTTATATTGAGATTTAATTGATATGGGGTTTTTAAGAAGTGAGTAGGTCATAAGGGCTCTGTCCTCGTGAATGGATTAAAGACATTATCAGAGAAGTGGGTTAGTTATTATAAAATTGAGTTTGTTATAAAAGTGAGTTTGGCCGTATTTCCTCTCTCTGTCTTGAGTGCTGGCTTCTGCCTTTCACCCTTCTGCCACAAAATGACCCTCACGAGGTACTCATGCCATGCTATTGGACTTTCCAGCCTCAAGAACCATGAGAAATAAATTTCTTTATGAATTACCCAATGTGTGGTATTCTGTTATAGCAGCAAAATTAACTAAGGTATAAAATTGGTACCATTAGGTGGGGTTGTTGTTATAACAAATACCTGAAAATGTGGAAGCAGGTTTGGAATTGAGTAATAGATAGAAGCTAAAAGAGTCTGGAGGAACAGGCTAGAAAAAACTTGTTTTGCTGTAAGTGGAAAGTTAAAGATGATTCTGGCGAGGCTCTGAAGAAGCGAATACTAGGGAAAATCAGAATTTTCTTAGAGATTACTTAAGGGTTGTGACCAAAATGTTGATAAAAATATGAACAGTAAAGGTGGTTCTGAAGAGGTCTCAAGTGTAACTGAAGAAGAAGGTATTGGAAACTACAGCCAAAACAATCTCTGTTATAAAACAGCAAAGAGATTGGATGAACTATATCCATGTCTGATGACTTTATGGAAGATGGAGTTTAAGAGTGGCAAACTAGGATATATGATAGAAGAACTATCTAACCAGCAAAGCCTTTAGGCTGCTGCCTGGCTACTTTTAACCACTTATAATAAGATGCTAGAGGAAATGAATAATGTAGAGGCATAATTTATAGTTGAAGGGGAAGTAGAAAAGAAAAATTTGAAAAATTTGCAGCCTGGCCATGTAAAGAACAAAAAAGTATTCAAGGGTGTGTTCCACACAATCATTTGCTAAACAGATACCCAAGAACAGAAGGAGGCAGCGTGTTATTCATCATAACCATTGGAGAAAGACTGTGAAGGTATTTCAGAATTCTTTGAGGCTGCCCCTCCCATTCCAGGGTCAGAGCTCTAAGAAGGCAGAGGTTTTGGGAGACAGGTTCAGGGTGCCCTCCACGCATTTACTGCCCAGAAGTGCCTCAAGTCTTTGCTTTCTGTATCCCAGTGTAGTGCTCCTTGGCTGCCCCAGATAGTGGCAGGAAGCAGTCAAATGTCTAGGCAGATAGGGTCAGTTCCCTGGTGAAACCCAACCTTCAAGCTGAAGACAGTTTAAAGCCTGAAAACCAAGCCTGAAAACCAAGCTGTGGATTGGATAAATCCACAGACTGGATTGAGAACCTCTCTTCCTATTTGGTATGCTTTCCTCTGATTGATCCCCACCCTTCACCTGTGTTACATATACCTACCCTTCCCTAATTGGTTTTTGCACTGTCATGTCCATCTTTGAGGAGTGCCTTTTTTTAGCCCTTTTTCCATACTCACTAACCAATCAGCACACACTTCCTCATTCTGAGCCCATAAAAGCCTGGTACTCAGCCATACTTGGGGACTACCTGCCTTCAGGCTGGGGGGACTACCCAACTCCAGGAAAGGTGCTGCCGTCTTTGGGTTTCCTCTCCACAGAGAGCTGTCACTCAATAAAACTATCCACCCTGCTTGCCCTCTGGTTGTCAGCATAACCTCATTCTTCTTGGATGTGGGACAAGAACTCGGGATCCTCTGAACATGGGTGTGAGAAAGGCTATAACACTGTAGCCCTCTGCCCTCCCCCGGGTGGCCACTCCAAGCGACAGGAAGTAGTGGTGGGGCTGGGCATGCCCAGGAGCCACGGGCCTGAGTGAAGTGATGGGACTGAAAGAGCTGTTAACACGTCCCTGTCCACTGAGCTGTGGATGGGGGAATAACATGCCCTATGGGGCTCTGGGATCACTGATATCTATGAATTTTTTGGGCGCCACCACATTCCCCTCATTCAGATGCCAGCACTCAAAGCAGAAGCAGGTGATGGCATGCCCAGCTCAGCCTCATGCCTGGCCCATGCCGGGCCTCACCAGACCATGCAAATCCAGGCCGAAGCATAAGTCAAGAGCAGCCTGCTGGGCCCAGTGGGTGGGCTACCTCCTGCAGCAAACCTGGAGCCTAGTGAGGCCCTGGGCAGAGATGTCGCTAGCTGCAGAGGTCTTCACCTGGTGAAGCAGCACCAAAAAAATCCTGCATCACTGTCATTCCAGAAAATGCAAGTGGTAAGCCTTGGTGGCACCCATGTGGTGCTAATTCTGTAGGGACACAGAATACAAGAGCTGTGGGGGCATGGCTTTCCCTAGCTAGGTTTCAAAGAATGTTGCAAATAGCTTAGGTATCTAGGCCAAAACTTTCCACAGGCACAGAGTAAAGCCATCACAGAGAGTTTCCACTAAGGCAGTGCCTAGTGGAGCCATAGACGCAGCACCACCCCTGAGGCCACAGAACTGTAGAGCTGCCAGCATGCAATGCCACCCTGGGAGAGATAAAGGCACAAGACTCCAATTCTAGAAAGCTGAAGTGTGAGCTGAGCCCAGCAAAGCCATGGGAACAGGGCTGCCCAAGATCTTGGGGGCCCAGTGTATTCACGATTTGGAACATGCAGTCAGTGAAGATTATTCTCCAGCCTTAAGACTTAATGTTGTTTTCTCTGTTGGGTTTTGGACTTCCTTGGGATCATTTACTCCTTTTCTCTCGCCTATTTCTTTTATTTTTGGAATGGGAATGTCTATCCTATGCCTATACCACCATTTTATTTTGGAAGCATATAACTTGTTTTGATTTCATAGGTTCACAACTGGAGGAAATTTGCCTTAGGGTAAATCATGTCTTCAGTCTCACCCATATTGGATTTAGAGGAAACTTTGGACTTTGAACTTTTGAGTTAGTGATGAAACAAGTTAAGATTTTGGAGGCTATTGGGATGGAATGAATGTATCTTGTATGTGGGAAGAACATGAGTTTTGGAAGGCCAACGGTGGAATGCTATGGTTTGAATGTTTGTTGTCTCCAAAACTCATATTGAGATTTAACTGATGTGGAGATTTTTAAGAGGTGATGAAGTAATGAAGGATCTGCCCTCATAAATGGATTGATGCCATTATTTCAGGAGTGGGTTAGTTATCATGAGACCAGGTTTGTTATAAAAGTGAGTTCAGCCTGATTCTCTCTCTCTGCCTTGCATGCTGGCTTCTGCCTTTCAGCCTTCCACCATGGTATGACCCTTGCCAGTTGCTAGTGCCATTTTCTTGGACTTTCCAGCCTCCAGAACCATGAGAAATGCATTTCTTTTCTTTATAAATTACCCAGTCTGTGGTATTCTGTTATAGCAGCAGAAAACAGACTAAGACGCAATTATTACATTGTGCTACAGTTTGCAAACAATAGAAGATGATTCAAAGAAGCATAATACTTGAAATTTATATTATAGCCAAGGAGCTTTGATAGGGACCAGAATGTATAGATGCAAAAGACTTACAAAGGGAGCATGACTGCACAATTGGCAATGTTATTTAAATGGTAGTAAAATAAAGAGTTCAAAAAATGAGGACAATGTATGTGTGGATGAAACTTCTACAAGAAGCTTTATCAAAGATATAGAATAGATAAATTTACTTTCATATCCTTTTCTGGACTCCCATGGTGTTTGTTTTGTTTTGTTTTCTATTCTGGAACTCTCAGAACAGTCATATATTGAATTTGATTATTGTGTGTCTTCTTGATTCTCTGACATCATCAGCTTCAGGAGAACAGAAGCTAGGAATATCCATCTGTGTATCTCCAAACAAATAGTGCAGTGTCAGCTACAGAGAAAATTTCTACAGAGATTAGTTGGGGAGAAAGTGGCAATTGCTCATGGTGTCACTTTCTTATGGACACTGGGCAAAAGTGCCCACTATAATGATATAAAAGTAAAACCAGGCCGAGCACAGTGGCTCACACCTGTAATTCCAGCACTTGGGGAGGCCGAGGTGGGTGGATCATTTTAGGTCAGGAGTTTGAGACCAGCCTGACCAATATGGTGAACCCCCCGTCTCTACTAAAATACAAGAAAAAATTAGCAGTGTGTGGTGGTGCACCCCTGTAGTCCCAGCTACTCCGAGGCTGAGAAAGGAGAATCACTCGAACTCGGGAGGCGGAGGTTGCAGTGAGTAGAGATCATGCCACTGCACTGCAGCCTGGGTGACAGAGGGAGACTCCATCTCAAAATAAATAAATAAAATAAAAATAAAAGGAAAATAAGACACCAAAGAATTTAATGTATTGGATAGTGTCAACAGATAAGGAACAATCAGTTGTAGATCCACACATGTGACTCAACATCATCTGAATTTTTTTGCACTATACCAAAATCCAATTGGTTTTGTCCCCTTCTAGAATTATAAGGGATAAGAATTTGACCTGGGTGCCCACTTAAAATCATTATTTAGTTTTATTCTCCCATCCACATTCTTAAAATGACTAAATTCAAAAGAATTTAAAAGCCGCATTAAAAACTAAATCAAAATCTGCAAGTCAATAGCTGCATCTCTTTCTTCATGGCCTAATTCACAACCTCTTTTGAGTCTGGAATTTACTCCAGGGCAATTCTGCAAAGATTCTGTACTCAATGGTAGTTTGATATCATTATTCATACTCATGAATTGCATTGAATTTACACATAAATTGTACTTGTCTAATTTTCTAATTATTGAGAAGAGGTAATCTGGTGGCATCTTAATCTAGGAAAAACATCTCAAACCCTTTTGCACACGTTTTACATTTGGCATAACCTAAAACACATTTCCCCACAAAACTTTTTTCCTTAACTCTTAAGCCCCTGAGTATTTCAATGGAAACACAATACTTTTTATCTGGATTCATTTACACTCTCATTTACTCATCAGCATGGTGTTTTGTAAGAGATATTTAATATTCTCCAAGAGCCCTTTTTTCTCTTGCACATTTCAAAGTTTTTCCTGTAGGAAACACTACGTTCCAAGCCATAATTTGAGACTGAATCCAGAAAACAGGAGTTGGGGGAAGCCATAAATTCCAAATGAGTTTCAAGTGGCACTGATTTTAACTGCCCATTATACATATAATGTGGTTACTGAAATGAGAACTTAGTGCACAGAGTGAAGAAGACCTTTTACATTTGGTGGCATTAACTTTGCACTAGTGCAGATGCTTAGGAAAGAGGAACACTTATCTTCCCTCTCACTGTGTTGACTGAGGCCAGCTTATTTTTCAGGAAACAGGTGTCACAACAGACAAATTCTCTGTGGGAGTAATCAACTTTCCACAGAGTGACTTTCTCCTACTGGAAGGCACGGGCCAGAGCCATGAGTGAGCTGCCTGTCACAGTGGCGGAGGGGTGCTCCCACTCAGGAGGCACTAGGCAATACCGTAGCAGCCTAAGCCTTCCTGCAACTCATTCAGGATGAGTGAATTTCTTTTCATTGCAAGTATTGAAAACCAGCTTCAGTGAGCTATTTTTTAAATAATTTTTTTGGAAGGATACCAGAGCCTTCCTTAGAATTCAAAGAAAAATGGAAAATCCAGCTTCTTAGGACAGACGGCCAAGGGGACAGTGTCAAGGAGGCTGGGCAGGCACTCACACAATGTCTGACAGTACTAACCAGTGCATACTAATAATTCACCAACTGACCACCCTCCCAACACTTTCCTTACTACCTAGCTCCTGGCCTGCTCTTTATATTGTTCTTCTCTTCAAGAAGGAGTTTGTGGCCACCCTATTTTCTTTGGTTTTAAAAATTACCTTAATTCCTGTAATTGGTTATTTGTCTGTAGAGAGTTGACCATATTATTATTACTTACAGATTTTACATTAAAAACTTACTCTTACATAATTGTTCATGGTGGTTATGGTGTCTTGTGAGACCCCAGGGATTTTTTAAATTATCAGTTTCTATAACTGACTCATTCTGGTCATGAAAGATGGGTCTTTGTGTACTACAGTATGAGTCCAAATATTCCAACCTGAATGCTTAGAATTGTTGGAGCTGTGTGTGTGTGTGTGTGTGACAAGCACATCCCAACACCTGAGAAACCTGACTCAAAACAGATAAGATAGTTTCTCTCTTTTAAATACGTATTTGTTTATTTACAGACAGGGTCTCACTCTGTCACCTAGGATGGACTGCAGTGGTGGGATCATAGGTCATTGCAGCCTTGGACTCCTGGGCTCAAACGATCTACCCAACTCCCAACTCAGCCTCCCTAGTAGCTAGGACTACATGCACATGCCACTATGCCTGTTTTTATTTTTTTATTTTTATCTTATTTATTTATTTTTTGTAGAGATTGGGTCTCATTATGTTGCCCAGGCCGGCTTCTTTTAAATAATTTAATTTCGAAACAAAAAACACTTTTAAAAGTAATTGTCTGGTCAGTACATATCCCCAAATACATGCATGTGAAACTAACATAATTATTACATAATATATAAAGTCACAAATTTACCTTTTAAAAAATTAATGGGATATTTTCAAAAATTATGGATGGAAAGTCAGTCTATTTTGAACTATTTAAATCCATGCATTTTAAATCTGGTAAATTTCTGCTGGAATTCCTAGGTGGTCAAATGATGCTGAAGGCAAGGTAAAACTTACTCTTTGCAACCCAGACCTTGTAAAAATCTTATCCTACTTCTAAGAAGCAGATCTATTCAAGAACTGCAAATAAAATGCAGCCTTATTAAAGGCAGATCCTTCAGCAATGCTATTTATTGGCCTGCTCGCCAACATGAATCCAAAGTGCTCATTTTCAGGAGTCATTATGTCCACATTCTTAAAGTTGAAAAGTCCTTGTAGAGAGGAAAGTCACTAGTGTGTTCTTTCTCTTTTCTCTGATTTTACTGAGTCAAAAGAAAAACCTCTAAACAGAGCTTGCTTTAATCATCTGCCAAACACATGGGTCCAAGGTTTTCTTCCATGGGGAGGAGGTCTCACAGCCAGCCTGAGGGAATAACATTACCCACAAGGAACAAACAATACACTTCAGCAAGTGCCTTCTTCTCAGGTATACACAGGCTCAAAAATTTTAACATCTAGAAAGACAATATTTGAGAAACAGAAGCATCAACAGTAAAGAAATGTGCAACTGGTAGTGGGCATTCAGGAATATAATATCTCATCTATTCTCAATATGGTTCCACACTTTCCCACAAATTAACATGGGTCAGAAAGAAATCAGGTTGTGGTCAAATAAGAATTTGAATTTAAAGTGAATTAAAATGTATTTCTTACCAATTATGGCTTTTTGCATAGAAGTGTTAAAAAGGTAATGCAGTTTGAAAATGCTTACTATCATAAAACAATAAAGTGAAGGGGTCTTTAGAGATACATCAGCACTGCACCTGGGTTTAACAGTTAAGGGATCGAGAGAACTGAGTTTCCCAAATGGCATGATTGTTATGTGGCAGATTTCAGGCTAGAGTTGGATTTTATAATTTCCAGTGGTTTTTTCCAGCTTACTTGGAATTAAAGTGTGAATTCCGATTTGAGGATTTATAAAAGCCAATGGGCGATTCCACCATTGATGCTGTCTGTGTACTCTTTGTGTATTGAGATTTCATGGAGGTCATGAAGAAGTGAAAGAGAATTTCTTCCCTAAATAATGTGTGAACTAAATCACAATAACATGATCCATCACCCGCAGAAAGTGCGACTCTAGATAATGCTTTCCATTAAATGGTATGAATAAATTTCATTAGTGTTTTATATGTACTTCTATTTGAATACAAAGAATAGTTAAATATGTGTACAACTAACCTTGGAAAAAGGAAGTCATTTTCTCAGGCTCAGTTTCCTTAGCTGTATTATTGGGAAAATAATTGCTACTTGTGATAAGGAAGTTTAATGAGATAACGTGCACGGCATCTAGAACTGTGCCAGACACCTAGTATGTACTTCACGAATGTTGATTTCCTTGAGGAATATTAAAATCCTTCTAACTTTTGTAACTTCAGGTCCATTAGAATGAGATAGGACATAAATTCACTTGTACACAAATAGCCTAGAAATAATTTTGAGGACAGTGGTTGAGAATAGGCATTCAGTTCTTACTTTTCTTTGTCCTTCTCACATAACCACACAAATTCAGATCTCCAGCTCGTTATGTGCCAGCCTTTTATGAGGCTGGCTCTTGGCTTCATTGGATAAAAACATTCACCCTGTGTTCTTCAGTTCTTCCTTCAAACATCCACTGCCCTGGGTTGAATTGTATCTCCCCAAATTCATGTCCACCAGCAACTTGTAAACGTGATCTTATTTGGAAATAGGGTCTTTGCAGAAGTCATCAAGTTAAGATGAGGTCATATTCGATTCACTTGGGCCCTAAATTCCATATGATTCTTGTCTTCCTAAGAAGAGAGAATAGAGATACAGAAGGCACAGGGGGAAGACAGCTATGGGAAGACAAAGACAGATATTTGGATTGATGCTGCCACAAGCTATGAAGTGTCAAGGATTGGTGGCAACCACCAGAAGAGGCAAGGAAGGATTCTCTTCTAGAAGTTCCAGAGAGAGCATGGCCCTACTCACTCCTGTATGTCAGACTTCCAGGCTTCAGAACTGTTGTTTTAGGCTACGCCTACATTTTGTGATGATGTATTACAGTAACCCCTGCATACAAATACACCTACTCAGAGGAAGGTCACAGAGTTTGTCAATGCCTATATAGCCCATCCTCTGCACCATACTAGTTAGACAGAAATTCCCTTAGTAACCTTCATTCCAGCCTAAATATAGCATCTGGATTTCTGTAATCTACACCATCCCTGGTATTTTCTTTAGAGAAAGAATGTTGAAAAGTGAAGTCACCTCCAGCATTATTTCCAAGGGCCCAGGCTTATCCTCTCCTCTTGAACGTCACCACACAGGCTCTCTCTGGGCTCAAACAAGTTCCTGGTTCTAATGAAGCAGATAACTGCAAAATCCAGAAGACCCTGGAGAAATATCATTAGTGAGGAATCCATGGCAACTGGGAGTTTCAGGCAGGACAATGGTTATGGTTAATTGACCTTGTGGATATTAAAATGGGTTTTAGGATTTGGGACTTCCTTATTTGAACTTTGCCACTGACCCCATCCTACAGTGCATGTGCATAAGACATGCTGTGAGAAGTGGTTTCTATTCACTGGAGTGCATTTTACCCCCACAAGATTTTTCAGTTAATGTTGGACTAAGCATGGATGTTTGGACTTAGGTAAGTGTGACATATTTGGCTTCATTTGTAGTGTTAACTTTGGAATGCAAAGGGTAGTATATCAAAATATAAAATAAGCCTCTTCAAGGTGTTTTTGTGGATTCTTTCATACTGCAAAAGTAAAACGATTTGCCTTCTGGAGAATTGAACTAAATTCTAATCTAGTCTTTAAGACTAGAATGCTAAAAACGAAAATATGAAGGAAATTAATACCCCTTATTATTACATTGATTCATAAAAACGTTGTTACTGACAATTGATTGGGACTTGAGGCCTTCTTCCAGAAAAAAAAAAGGACTTGACTGTCAGGCCTATATTAGAGATAATGCCACGTATTTGTACTATTAAAAATTGTTTCAATGAAAAAAAAAGAAAAAATAAATTAAAAAAACCAAGCCTCTTCAGAATTTACCGAAAGTAAAAGGGGTTTTCACAGATAAATACATAAATATTAATCAGTATATTTCATTGGGCTTTTCCATTCCAAATTTCACTCCACTGATAGACTGTTGCAATAATCTTCAAATGGAGTCTCTGTCTTTCCTTATCCAAACTGTTTTTTCAACAAAAAAAGCTGTGTGTAGCTCTGAGCTATAATGGAAAATTCAAAATTGTAGAAAACAAGACTTTGATGTTTGAAAACTCATATTTCTTTAAAGGACAAACATTCATATGCACAAACACACACACAGACAAACCCACACAAATTTAGGATAACATGTAAAAGGACTGTAGGTATGAAGAAAAATGATCAATTAATCAATTAATTTTTCATGACAGGGTTAGATCAGTCTTCAAGGACAAATGAGGAGATATTTGGGCTGGTCTTAGAAAATGATCAGGAGAGAGAGAGAGACAGAGAGAGAGAGAGAGAGAGAGAGAGAGAAACTAGGGGTCTTAAACTCAAGTGCTATTTTGCAAGCACTGTTTCCAGACCAGATGAATCTGTCTGTAGCATGACTCTCTCCATGTCACTTGCCCTGTCACTTTCAGCCCTAGCTCCTCACTCATTGCCTCTACGGTGAAGTTTTGACATCTTAGCTAGAATTTCAGGCCTTCCATAATTATATTTCAACTTCATTTATATGAGTTTCCTCTTCCATCCTCTGCTCCACTGCACAGTATTTCCCAGGACGTTGCCTCCATGGCCGCAGGTTTTCCCAGTCCTCCTTCTTCCACCTTTCTCATCCCCACTGCCACTGCCAAAATTTCAAAGCCCAGGTTGGCATCACCTCCTTCAGAAAGTCTCCTCCTTTTTTTTTCTTTCAGCTAGAGGTATTCTTCATGTTTCCAAATCCCCAAAGCACTTCATTTATACATCTGTCATGAGGTGTGATGGATTGCACTATATTTCCAAATATTTGCTTCTCTCCCCTTGTGCCAATTCCGGAAGCTCCTCTCTGGTGCCCCACTGATATCAGACATGGCCAGTGACCTCCTGTGGCTGCGAAATGGAATGTGAGAAGAAGTGATGTGGGCCACTTGTGTGCAGGAGCTTTCTGTGCTGCTCCATGCGGTGCTGCTGCCTTGAGGACAACGTGTCTTAGAAAGGGCTGTTTCTTCTGTCTGAGTCCAGAAATGATGGCAACAGGGAGTTCACCCATGATGGACTATTACTGCAGAAGAATTGTTGAAACTCACTGATAACTTGTGGTTGTGTTATCAAAGCATAGTCTATTGTAAAAGGATGTATACAGCAGGTCTCATACTCTACCTTAAATGATCAACTTTTGCATATGTGTCTTTTCCCCCAACTAGGATATTAACTTCCTATAGAATCTATGTGGGATTCATCATTGAATTTATCACTCCCATCACAGGGTCTGGCACTCAGTAGCTGCTTACCAAATACTTATTGACTCATATAATAAGTGAGTGTGTGGTTTCAGGAAGTGTGTGTGGGCATGCAGGGGTATGAGCATGCAAGGTGGGGGCAGGCAGGGATGAAGGGTGAACCACTCATTTTCTAGCCTTAGCTAGGTCCGACTCTTTTTTCTTAATGGTTCTCTACTCTGCTGGGGTACATTATGAATTAGCTAGTTGGAGATTTATTTTTAATTTAGAGATTAGTTTTATAGTCTTCAAGATAAAGAGCAGAGGATATTATTTCAAGATGACAGGCTATGGAAGGGTATAAATAAAAGAACAACAAAGTGGCATATTATTATATTATCATATTCTGATATAATAAAGTAATAGATGTGGCGAGGATTCCAAGGAATAGTTAATCTCCACTTCCTTTCAAGGACACCTGGGAAGACACCAGGACATAGATGTGCAAGAAGATTCTTTAGGTTTCCTAGAAGCAATAGTGTAGAGTGCTGCTTCTTTAATCTTCACGTCCTTACTGAAATGCAGATTCCCTTTGGGCATATTGGTGGGGAGGCACCGACATAACACATTTCTAAGAAGCTCTCAGGTGCTGCTGCTGGCCTTTGGACCACCCTTTTAGTAGCGAAGTATTGAAGACTTTGGGACTGAGTCAGCCATAGGACACTGTGGCTGATACCTGCTAGCAAAGAGAAAAGCAGGTAGTCAGTGCCTGATAGGCATGTGGGACGCAGCTTGCCCTGAGAACAGTGGGGAAAGTTTGTGCTACTGAGCTTTTCTCCCAGTCAAAAGGCAGTACTTGGCGCCCGGTGGCCATCAGAGCTAAGAGGTTAAGAGCACCTATATTAGAGTCCAGAAGTCTTGGATATCAAATTATAGCTCCTCAATCTAATGAATGGTGAACAGTTTCTTAACCTCTCTGAGCCTTCATTTTCTAATTTGTAAAGAGAGATAATATCAGAAAGTAGCCCAGATACTAGAGGGGAGTGAGCCTTCGAAATCTCAGCAGCAGGATCAAGATGTTAAAAGAGGCTCTTCCTACCACAGTTTTGACCTGGGTGTGAACACAAGAGATATTAGATGTCAAAGTGAATGTCAGTAGATCCCCACTTGAAAAATTTATAGAGAGATATTTTGTAAAGTGGTTGTTGATTTTTAACTCCTCTCATTGGCTTCAAATAAAACAAAAATTGAGAACAGAGAAGGGAGGATTTGAAAAAAGATTTATTTGGGAAGAGCTAATGCAGTGCCATAAGCGTCTCCTGCCAGAAGGCATGAGGGGTAGGGATGGGTGTTACCCCATTCATTATGAGCCCCGTGAGAGGCTTCTGTGGGGTGGCTGGAGAGCTTGAAACATGTCCCCTACATTTGAAAGACATGAAGGAGTTGTGCTTAATGATGAGAGCGTTGATGATGGTGACAAGTTGTAGACTGCTGTGATGGATCCTGCCTGTGATCCCAACACTTGTTGGGTCAAGGGGTGCTTGTTCATTTCCCATGGAGCATGGTTCATTCCCTACAGAGATAAACAGACGCACAGAAATAGAGAGAGAGTAAGGTCAGGCATGTGGCCATCTTGGGTGCCTCCCATAAGAAAGTAAAGAAACCCAACAGTAAGAAGCTGAGGCTTATCATGAGATTTCTAGGGTTTTCCACTTGGAATAGGATATACCTTTCAGGCTCAAGGCAACAGCACAAGTGGTCTTTGGTGATAGAAACTCCAGAGAACAAAGAAAGTACCTACAAGAGAAGGAGTGAGCCTTATTCATCTGCCAGGCACAGGGTGCAAAGTCAGCCCTGATCAGTACATGTCCATGAAGCCTTTCATTTTCTCTTTCTATGCCATTCTCTGGACCTGATCAGAAAACACCTGGAAGGCACAGGGGCAGTGGGGAGGGAAGTGTCAGTAGGAGAAAGAAGAACCTACCACCGTCCTTAGGGCTGCAGCTCCCAAGATGAGGGAGGGGAGACCTGACATTGAATAAAGTTTGGTGTGTAGATTAAATCTTGGTATAGATATTTTGACTTCAGAATAAAGACTTTTAAAGTTATTACTTAATATCTATTGCCTGTCTATTACGTAGTGTTGAGCAGAAAATTATTGGGGCTGCTGAAGTTTGTATATAGCAACAATGGAGGGTAACCTCCTTAAATAATTGCAATTGGAGTGAGAGATAAATAATAATGATAAGTTGGCTTCTGAGTATATAACAGTTGTCCCTGTTCAAAAAACAGGTAAATCTCAGTGCCAAAACTAAAGATCCATTCATGACAACAGCAGGGTCTGCCACAAACATAAGGTGCCTATGGAAGGTGGTGGGAAGCTGCTAAAGAGGGGCTTGAGCCACCTCAGGTGTCCCAGGGAAGCAGGGATCTTGAGATACTGGGGAGTCTCTGGATTGATGGAGAAAGAGCTCAGGAACCAACAGCAAATTGTTTTCACCCCAAGAGAGAGCCTGAGGGAGAACCTGTGGTATTTTCATTACCATTGGAAACATTAGCGAAGCCTTGACCTTCTTCCTGCTCCCCTTCCCCAACCCCAGGTTGGGGAGAACTGATGAAGGAGTCTTTCCAAAACCTTAGAGTAAAAGCATTGCCTGAATTCCACATTGATGATGCACTTTCAAGAGTAGTTATAAACCAGGTTCAGGTTAACACACAGCAAGTCAATGAGGTAATGATTAAGATACAAATGCACTGTTCCCAAGTTCTGTGAAAAATCACCTGGATTCTTTCCTCCCTCACTCTTGCTTACAGTGGCAGCAATTATGCCAGCCATTCCCCCAACCTCCTTTGTCACTCCTCACCTCCCGCCCTCTCGAGAGAGTTGCTCTGTTCTGATACCTTTCTCAGAATTATCTTATTTCCTGACCCTGCTCTCCCAAGACACTCTTTTCTTCTTTTGTAGATTAGGGAGAAAGAAGGAGTAAGGGTTTTGTGGAGCCAAAAAATGAAGGAGGTTCTGTTACATACATAGTGGTTGATCTGATACAAGGCAAAGAGGAAATCAGCCTGAAAAGCTGCTAGGAGTAAGGCATTTCAGATCGGAATCTACTCTTCCTGACTATGGAAAGGGGAAGCGTCATGCATCAAAATGTGTGATGGCTGCATGCCCATTGCCTTGGTACAATAAAGCCTGCCTGTCGAAGCAACAGAGTCATGGTGCAGGGCTCTCTCTCCTGGAGAGCACACTGCGATGGGAAGAGCGCGGGCTTTGGAAATGGACACACCCATGTCGGAAATCCAGCTCTGACAGCTGTTAGATAGTGTATATTCATGCACTCAGCCATTTATAACCGCAAGACACTTTCCTAAAGAACCTGCTGTGTGTGGATTCCTTGGAGCTCATTGATCCAGGAGACTACTGCTGCCCTCAAGCAACTCTTAGCATGGCGGGGGAGATGGACATTGTGGCAAATAACTCGACTGCAGTGTGACTAGCACAAGGATAGACACATGTGGAGGTCTTCCTGTAACCATGTGCTGAAGGAACGCCCTTCACTGAGGCAGAAATAAAGGATGAATGTGGGCTCATTGACTGCACATTGGGCTGAGTGGAGGACTTGCCAGGTGTGTGTTAATCCACGGAGGATGGGATGGCAGGGTGCATCTGAAGGAGTGTGAATTGTTCCACATGAGCTTAGCATGGGGTGGTGGTGGGAAAAAGTGGGAGGTGAAGATGAAAAGGCAGACAGAGGCAAGAGCATGAGATCATGGAGGGCCTTATAAGCTATGCTAAAGAGTTTATATTTTATCCTACATACAATGAGACACGATCATATTTATGTTTTGAAATATTTCTTTGAAGGAAGGATCTAAAGAAAGAGACTGAAGCTGAGAGAGGGAAGAAACTGTTCAGGTGAAAGGAAACAAATTATTGAACTAGAATGGGAATGGAGAGATGTCCTAAGTGAGTTCCTCCAAAAGCAGAGTGGTAGATTTGAGTGCAAGTAGTTTACACGGCAGAGTACAGCAATAGGATAGTAAGTCAAGGAAGTGGCAGAAGGAAGGAAGCCAAGAGAGCATGTAAAAATGATCAGGATACCACTGTGGAATTGATGCCAAGTCCTGCTGGGACCCTGTATAGAAGGTACTAATAGTTCTCATTCAAACGGGAATTGGGGGACATTTATTCATCAACTCCCATCCACCATTGGTTGGGAACCTCTCTTATGAGCATTAGCTCCCCAACACTTTAGGCTCACTATTTACATATGCAGAGTAGGCTTCTGAAGAAAATTGAAGCCCTCAGACAGAGAACTGTTAGTGCTTGAAGTCAGAAACCATTGACATACTCAGAATGTTGAGTGCCAAGAGGGCATACAAGCAGGGCACTAACAGTATCTGCTGTAGGAGGAAGCTTAGGAGGCAGAGTGAATAAAGGGTTGGTTGTAGGAGATACAGAAGAGGCAATAGTCTAGAATAATTTCCAACTTTCTGATAGGTGTGATCAAATAAATATCAATACATTCTGATTGAGAGTATGGAGAAGGAAGACTGAAGATTTAAACAAATGAATTTGGAAAGTTTCGAGTTCCAATTTCACTTTTTGAAATATAAGAACACCTTATGTTGAAGTGTAGGTGTAAGGATTAAGTAAGCCAATATTTGTAAAAAAATCTTTTTCAGTATCTAGCTTGAAATTAATGTTTAATTATACATAATACTTCTTGAGTGAAGTATTATTTAAATGGTTCTTGTGGCAACCCATTACATTTTGCATGGACAATGACTAATAGAAAGTTCTAAAATTATGTTAATTTTCTCATCCATCTATCAATCCATTTATTCATTTACTAACTGCCAACTATGCACCAGGCATTTCTGGGTGCCTAAAATTTTGCCCACTATTGAAGTTCTTCCCAATAGAACAAAATAACCTGAATCTCCTTCCCCCATATAAAACCCTTTGAATATAGCTATCAAGTATCTGGTACAGAAAGTGTGGGTTAGAAAAAAATGAGTGAAATGTGAATGTACATAGTTATTTCATACTGTGCTCAATAATTTCATAATTGTAATCTCATTAGGTCCTCTCAATATGAAGAAATGCAAAACATTCTCATTTTAAAGATTGACGAGCATTAGGTCAAGTTCCCTAGGAAACTAGTGATGAGACAGAAAATGCAGGTAATTTACTTGTGCTCTTAGGAACAACATCTGTTCAGGAATGAGAGAGCAAGGCTGGCAGAAGGAGTAGCTGAACTGCAGTGTAGTCGCAAAAGGCCTTAGCTAAACCAAAGAGGAGTTTCTAGGGCTGGGATTGTTCTTCAGAGATATTCTGAATTGAGGCAAGAGGGCCTGGCCTTTGTACTTCCAAGTATAGTCATTGTATATGGGCTACCGCTATGCAGAAGCGATAATCTGAACAAGGCATTTATTTCCCTTTGATTATGGGGCAATTCCACAGGAATGACACCTGTAAGTATCATCAGAAAACACTGCAGGAGCTGGCAATGCCTTGGTCTTGAATGTGGGATCTTGGATCTTGGTAGCACATCACAGTATCCACTACACTCATGTTCAGAGAAACTTGTCCAAGTTCAACAGCAAGTGCCAACCCTTCTTCCGTGTTTTAAAGCCTGTGTTCTCTCTATTAACATGTGTGAATAAAACTGGGATTTTCAAGTTCAGTGAGTAACCCTGTGTCATGTAGCTACAGAAAAAAATAGAAGCGGGCTTGGACTTAATTACTAGAATTAGAAAATGTAAAAATACTCTGAGGGGCACGACCAAGACAGGATATCATTCATGGGCAGTGCTTGAAGAAACCTGTTTTGTTTAGACTAAATAATGAGAAGGCCAACACAAAAGCCACATTCAGATAGTTCAGTGATATCTATGTGAAGAAGTATAAGAATCATGGGATTATATACTTTCAGAGTTGGAAGAAACTTTAGAGACAATCTAATTTATACATTTCCCCAGTCTTCTCTTGAAGAACCTGGTCAGTGAGTGTTCTGCTTCTTTTGAGAAGTTTCAGTGACAGGAAATCCATCCTCTCTTGAGATAGTAAACTTCCTGTTGGAGTAGCTCTAATCCTCAGAGAGGCTTTCTTTACATTGAGCAAAAGCTGTTTCATTACAGATCCCACTCATTGAACTAGCTCTCCTTTTTAAACATAATACTTTTAATTCCTATGCTAAGTGGCAGTCCTTAAAATATTTAGAAACCATTATTCTGAACAAATTATTCTCTTCAGGCCTTCACTAATACCTGTATTACTAATACAGTTTTGAGATTTTGGATGGATAATAGGAAATATGTATAAAATTAGTCTCCAACAAAACTCCATATTCCTTTTTTTCCTTTGAAATTTTTGTAGCCACAAAACTCCATTTTCTTAAATAGAAAGTCTCCTAGAACAGTACAAAATGAGCCAAAGATAAAGCTCTTAGATTAAATCTGAATATATCATCTTGCAAACCATTTAAATTAGATTAAGAAAATCTAAGGGCTATTTGATGTCTCAACTGTATTATTTACATTGCTCTACCATAAATAAAATCTAGGGAGTAGTCCCTTCTTTTTTTTAATTTAGTCTATATTTATATGCTAAAATTAATTTTAGTTCTAAATGAAAGGTCCACATTCTCATATAACAGAAAAATGTAAGTCCACTCTCTTGTATGAAGGGATTGTTTTTGGTGTAATATGATTTGGCTCTATGTCCCTACCCAAATCTCAGATTGAACTACGATCTTCAGTGTTGGAGGAGAGGCTTAGTGGAAGGTGATTGGATTATGGGGGCGGATTTCCCTCTTGCTGTTCTTGGGATAATTAGTGAGTTTTCATGAGATCTGTCTGTTTTAAAGTGTGTAGCACTTCTCCCTTTGCTGTCTCTCTTCTGCCACCATGTGAAGATGTGCTTGCTTCCCCTTTGCCCTTCTACCATGATTATAAGTTTCCTGAGGCCTTCCTACTTGTGCTTCCTGTACATCATGTGGAACTGTGAATCAGTTAAACCTCTTTTCTTTATAAATTGCCCAGTCTCAGGTAGTTCTTTATAGCAATGTGAGAATAGACTAATACATTGGTTTTAATGTGTTTTTGTTAGGAGGGCCTTACTTATGGTTTAGGTCATAGACAGTCAGGCATATTCATTTAATTGTTCATGCACTGATTCCTATTTGTTGCTTGCATACATCCAGGCTTTATTTGAATTGCTGTGGAAGAAAAGATAATTGGAACATTGCTCTGAGATATGTGCTATGGTGTGATAGAATTCATGTAAAAATAGGGGGGAGAGTTGGGGGAGTTAAAGAAGTCTTTATGTAAAAACTATAAATTCTAAGCTAGGACTTGAAAGCTGAATTGCTCCCTTTACATAGATAATTAAAGGAAAGGAGTATCCAGATAGAATCACAACATCTAATAGTGGGAAAGATTTTAGAAACCATCTAATCTAATTCGTTTTGTTTAAATGAGGATACAAGGGCTCAGAGTGATCGAGGGATGTGTTTCAGGACACTCAAATTGTGATAAAATAGAATGAGGGAAAAAATAAGTTGTGTTTTTATATACTAACAATGAACAATCTAAAAAAATTAAGAAAGCAATTCCATTTACAATAGCATCTAAAAGAATACAGTCCTTAAGAATAGACTTAACAAAAGAGGTATAACACTTGTGTAATGAAAACTACAAAATTTTGCTGAAGGAAATTAAAGAAAACACAAATAAATGGAGAGACAGCCTATGTTCATGGATTGGAAGAATTAATATTGTTAAGATGTCAATACTACTCAAAGTGATCTATAGATGTAGTTCAATCCCTATTTAAATCCCAATGATTTTTTTTACAGAAATAAAAATATTCATCTTAGAGTTTATGTGGAATCTCAAGAATCCCAAGTAGCCAAAACGTTTTGAGAAAGAACTAGGTTGAAATTCACATACTTCCTGATTTCAAAACTTACTACAGAGCTATGGTAATAAAAACTGTGCTCCCAGCATAAAAAGAGACATATAGACCAATGGAATAGAACGAAGATCCCAGAAATAAGGCCTTGCATATATGGTTGAATGACTTTTGGCAAGGGTGCCAAGACCATTCATGGGGAAAACATAGTCTTTAATAAATGGTGTTGGGGAAACTGAATATCTACAGGCATAAAAAAATGAAGTTGCCACAATGAGAAATCACCTCACGCCTGTTAGGATGGCTATTACGTAAAAAATACACAAAATAACAAATGTTGGCAAGGGTGTAGAAAAAAGGGAACTCTAGTACACTGTCAATAGAAATGTAAATTAGTACAGCCACTGTGGAAAACAGTATGGAAGTTCCCACTAAAATTAAAAACAGAACTACAACATGATCCAGAAATCTCACTTCTGGGTATATATCCAAAGGAATTAAAATCAGAATTTCAAAGAGACATCTGTACTCGCATGTTCACTGCAGCACAATTCACAATATGCAAGACACAGAAGCAACGTAAATGTCCATCAATGGATGAATGGATAAAGAAAACGTGGTCTATGATACAATGGAATAGTATTCACCCTTAAAAAAGAAGGAAATCCTGCCATTTGTGACCACATGGATAAACTTGGAAGACTTCATGCTAAGGGAAATAAGCCAGACACAGAAGGACAAATACTACATGATACCACTTATGTGATAGATCTAAAATAATCAAATTCATAGAAGAAGAGAGTGAAATGGTGGTTGCCAGGGCTGGCGGAAGAGGGAAATGGGAGATATTAGTCACAGGATATAAAGTTTCAGTTACACAAGATAAATAAGTTTTAGAAATCTACTGTACAGCATAGTGCCTTTGGTTAACAATACTGTTTCATAAACTTAAAAATTTGCTAAGTGACTAGATCTTCTGTGTTCTTATCACACACAAAAAATCAATAACAATAAATAGGAGGGTGGAGGGAAACTTATGGAGGTGATAGATATTAGGTTGGTGCAAAAAAGGAATTGCAGTTTTTGCCATTAAAATAATGGCAAAAGTAAATGGCAAAATTAATTGAAAGTAATGGCAGAAACCACAATTCTTTTTGCACCAAGCTAATATGTTTATGGTAGATTGTAATGTTGGCTTCATGGGTATATACTTATTTCCAAACTCATTGAGTTGTATATATTAAATGTGCATAACTTTTTAAATGACAATCACACCTCAATAAGTGGTTTAAAAAAAAATGAAGGTGAATTCCACCTTACACCATATACAAAAAGCAACTCAAAGTGGATCAAAGACCTAAACATAGTAACAAAAACTGTAAAACTCTTAGAAGAAAACATAGGGGAAAAGCTTCATGACGCTGGATTTAGCCATCATTTTTTGGGTATGACATTAAAAACACAAGCAACAAAAGAAAAAAAAATAGGTAAGATGGCTCCTTACTTATCAAAATTAAAACTTTGATGTCAAACAGAATGAAAAGACAACTCACAGAATGGGAGAAAATATATGCAAATTGTATATCTGATAAAGGATTTATATTCAGAATATATTTTTAAAATTCCCACAACTCAACAACAACAGCAACAACAAACAACTCCATTTAAAATGGACAAAGAAGGACTTCTTCCTTTTGGTCCAGCATGTAAGGAATCTAGAAGTCAATACTCCACTCTGATAACAAGTAAAAAGCTGAAAAAAGCAGAAAATAAATAATTCTTCTTAGTTCTATCAGAAAAGTGTGGTCACTGCCTCTAGCCTCCCATGCTGGAGAAGGGAAATATTCAACTCAACTTCAGCCCCTTCAGCTGTACTGCCTCAGCTAAGGCAGGAGAAAAAAACTGAGAGGGTCTCATGAAGTTCGCAGCCCAGAAGCACAGGATCACTGAAAGACTGAGAACTAGTTATGGGACTATAGAACATTTTACCTCCCCCCACCCCTTACCACCACATTACTAATGATCCATTTACTACAGTTCCTTTCATTCAGTATCCTATATCTGGCTTTCAGTAAAAAAGTATTAGGTATACTAAAAGGTAAAAAATACAGATTGAAGAGACAGAGCAAGCACCAAAACCAGATTAGGCTGTGGTAGAGATGTTGGAATCATCAGACTGTAAATGTAAAAAGCTATGATTGGCTGGGCATGGTGGCTCACACCTATAATCTCAATATTTTGGGAGGCTGAGGCAGGAGGATTGATTGGGGTCAGAAGTTCAAGACCAGCCTGGGCAACATAGTAAGGCCTGGTCTCAATAATAATAATAATTATTATAGTAATAAAGCTATAATTAATATGCTAAAGGATCTAATGGAAAAAGTAGACAACATACAGGAACAGAAGAATGATGTAAGCAGAGATGAAAGTTCTAAGAAGAAATTAAAAGAAATACTAGAGATTAAAAACTGATTCTATTTTGATAGAAATGAGGAATGTCTTTGATAGGCTCATTAGTTGACTGAAAACAGCAGGGTAAAGAATCTCTGAGCTTGAGGATATATCAATGGAAACCTCTAAAATGAACAACAAAGAGAAAAAGACTGAAAATAAATAACAAAATATCTAAAAACTGTGGAACAACTATAAAAGGTGTAGCATACATGTAACAGGGCTACCAGAAGGAGAAAAAAGAAAGGAATAGAAGCAATATTTGAAGTAGTAACTCCTGACAATTTTCCCAAATTAATGGGAGACACAGTTATAGACCAAACTGAGCCCCTCCCTGTAAATTCAAATGTTCAAATCCTAACTCTCATTGCATTTGGAAATAGAGCCTTCCAGTAGGTAAAACAAGTTAAATGAGGTTTCAAGGACGGGTCTGTAACCCAATAGGATTGATGTTTTTATAAGGAGAGGAAGAGACACCAAAGATCTTACCCTTTTCTTTTTCTTTCTGCAAATGCACAGAGAAGAGACCATGTGAGGACATAGCGAGAAGGTGGCTGACTACAAGTCAGGAAGAGAGGCCTCATCAGAAACCAATTCTGACAGCACCTTGATCTTGGTATTCTAGCTTCCAAAACTGTGAGAAAATAGATTTTTGTTGTTTCAGCCACCCAGTCTGTGGTACTTTGTTATGGCAGCCTGAACAGACTAATAGAGACACCAAACCACAGATCTAGGTAACTCAGAGAACACCAGGCAGGATAAATGGGAACAAAAACAAAAACTACACTAGGCATGTTACATTCAAACTGCCAAAAATCAAAGGTAAAGAAAAAAATCTTAAACGAAGCCTGAGGGAAAAAACACCGTACTTCTACAAATCATGCAAGTAAGAAGAGAGTGGAATGAAATCCTTAAAGTGTTGAGAGAGAAAAAGACTCCACCAATCTAGAATTCTATATCCTGTGGGCCTAGCGCGGTGGCTCACACCTGTAATCCCAGCACTTTGGGAGGCCGAGGCTGGTGGATCACGAGGTCAGGAGATCGAGACCAACCTGGCTAACACGGTGAAATCCCGTCTGTACGAAAAATACAAAAAATTAGCCGGGCGTGGTGGCAGGTGCCTGTAGTCCCAGCTACTCGGAAGGCTGAGGCAGGAGAATGGCGTGAAACAGTGAGGCGCAGCTTGCTGAGATTATGCCACTGCAATCCAGCCTGGGCGACAGAGCGAGACTCCGTCTCAAAAAAAAAAAAAAAAAAAAAAAAAAAAAAAAAAAAAGAATCCTATGTTCTGTGAAATTATCCTTTAAAAGTGAAAAGGAGGCCGGGCGTGGTGGCTCACGCCTGTAATCCTAGCACTTTGGAAGACCAAGGCGGGTGGATCACCTGAGCTCAGGAGTTAGAGACCATCCTGGCCAACATGGTGAAACCCTGTCTCTACTAAAAGTACAAAAATTAGCTGGGCAAGCACCTGTAATCCCAGCTACTAGGGAGGCTGAGCCAGGAGAATTGCTTGAACCCAGGAGGCGGAGGTTGCAGTAAGCCGAGTTTGCGCCACTGCACTCCAGCCTGGGTGACAGAGTCAGAGTCTGTCTCAAAAAAAAAAAAAAAAAAAAAAAGCAAGTGAAAGGGAAATGCAGAGTTTCTCACACAAACCTTGAGAAAATTTTTGGCCTTGCCAGAAATGTTAAATGAAGTTCTTCAGAGAGAAAAAAAAGTGATATAGGTCAGAAACTTGACTCTACGTGATTAAAGAAAGAGTATTAGAGAAGGAATAAATGAAAGTAATTACAAATTTTTATTTTCATTTTTAATTGATCTAATATAGTGGCGGTTTGTTCAAAATAATATCAGGAGCTAGACATATATGCCTTATTAGCATTGTGAAATGCTGTATATTAGCATTGTGAAACAAATGACAGCAAAGATACAAGGAAAGAGAGGGAGGAATTAGCATTATTTTGTTCTTATACAGTATTCACACTAGTCATGAAGCGCTAGAGTGTTATTTCAAAGTGGACTTGGATTAGTTGTAAATGTATGTTGCAAACTCTAGGGCAACAATTTAAAAAAAGTAAGAAAATGAAATATAATTGCTATGCTAAGAAAAAGGAGAGAAAATGAAATTATATAAAATGTTTAATTAAAACTACAAATGGCAGAAAAATAGTAAGAGACAAAAATAGAAACAAAGGAAGCTGGGCAATGAATAAAATACAGTAACAAATATGATAGATATTAATGCAAATATATTAATAATTACTTTAAACATTAATGATCTAAATACTAGTTAAAAGACAAAGATTGTCAGAGTGGACCATAACACAAAACCCAACTACATGTTGTCCACAAGAAACCCACTTTAAATTTAGAGATACATACAGATTAAAATTAAACGGATGGAGAAAGATATGCCAATATGCCATGCCAGCACTAACAAAAAGAAACTAGGAGTAACTATATCAATTTCAGAAAGAGCAGATTCCTGAGTAAGGAAAATTATCTGAGACAAAGAAGGGCATTTTGCAACAATAGAACAGTCAATTCTTCAAGAATACATAATAACCCTGTGCATGCCCCTACTAGCAAGGCATCAAAATATGTGAGGCAACAACGGGTAGAACTGCAAGAAGTAATGGATGACTTCACTATTATAGTTGGAGAGGTCAACACCTCTATTAGGAACTAACGAATGCAGCAGGCAAAAAACCAATAAGGATATAGCAGAACTCAATATCACCATCAACGAACAGGATATAATTGACATCTGTAGACTGCTGCATCCAATAACAGCAGAATACACATTCTTCTCAAGATCACATGAAATATTCACTACTATGAATTACATTCTGGGTCATAAAACACACCTTAATAAATTTAAAACAATGGAAATTATACAATATATGATCTCAGAACTAAACTAGAAATCAAATAAGTAAAAATTAGTTGAAAAATCCCCAAATACATGGAGATTAAACAACACACTTCTAAAAGACACATGAGTCAAGTAAGGAATCTAAAGAAAAATTTAAAAACATTTTGATCTAAATGAAAAGGAATATACAACTTATCAAAATTTGTAGAATGCAGTGAAAGCAGTGCCTAGAGGCAACTTTATAGTATAGATTACACACATTACAAAAGACAAAAGATCTGAAATCAATCATCTAAGCTTCCACTTTGGGAAACCAAAAAAAAGAAGAGTGAATTAAATCTAAAATACACAGAAAAAAAGATAGGAAATCAATAGAGAAAATCAATGAAACTAAAAGCTGATTCTTTGAAAAGATCAATAAAATTGATAAGCCTGCCCCCAGGCTAACTTAAAAAAGAAAAGAAAAGATACAAATTACTAATATCAGAAATGAAAGAGGGGATGGATATCACTACAAATCCTATGAACACTAAAAGGATGATAAAGAAATATTACAAACAACTCTGCCTACAGATTTGATAATCTAGATGAAGAGAGCTCCCTGAAAGACATGATCTGCCAAAATTCACACAAGAAGAAACAAACAATCTGGATAGGCCTAAAGATTCTGAATCAGGCCAGGTGTGATGGCTCATGCATGTAATCCTAGCACTTTGAGAGACTGAGGCGGGAGGATCATTTGAGCCAGGAATTTGAGACCAGCTTGGGCAACATAGAGAGATCCCATCTCTACAAATGCTTTTTTTAAAATTAGCCCGACATGGTAGCTATAGTCCCAACTACTCAGGAGGCTGAGATGGGAGAATTGCTTGAGCCTGGGAGGTCAAGGCTGCAGTGAACCATGATTGTGCTACTGCACCCCAGCTTGGGTGACAAAGTGAGACTCTGTCTCAATAAAAGAGAGAAAATATATGAATTAGTAATTAATAACTTTCTAATACCAATAATACCCTAGATGGGTTCACTGGTGAATTATATCAAACATTTAAGAAAGAAATTATATCAATTCTCTACAATCTGTCTTGGAATTCAAAAGCAGAATTCTAACTCATTCTGAGGCCAGCATTGCCTTGATGCCAAGAAAGGACAAAAACATTATAAGAAAAGAAAACTAGAGACCAATATGTCTCATGAACATAAATGCAAAATCCTCAAAAAAAAAATTAAATCCAATAATGTATAAAAAATTACACATCAAAACAAGTGGGATATATTCCAGGTATGCAAGGCTGATTCAACATTTTAAAATCAATTAACATAATTCACCACACCGACAGGTTAAAGAGGAAAAATGATATGGTCATATCAATAGACACAGAAAAATTTTTGACAAAATTCAACATGAATTCATGCTAAAAATTCCAGCTAACCATAGTACTTAATGGTGAAAAACTCAACACTCTCTCACTAAGATTAGGAACCAGGCAAGGAGGTCCCCTTTTACCACTCCTTTTTAAGATCATATTGGAAATCTTAGCTAATGCAATAAAACAAGAAAAAGAAATAAAAGATATACATATTTAAAACTGTCTTTATTTGGAAATGACATGATGTCTATGTATAAAATCTCAAAGAATCAGAGAAAATACTCCTGGAACTAATAAGCAATTATAGCAAGGTTATAAGATATAAGGTGAATATACAAAAGTCAATAACTTTCATATATGCCAGCCATAAACAACTGAAATACAAAATTAAAAATACAATACTATTTACACTAGCACCCCAAAAATAAAACACTTAGGTACAACTCTAACAAAACATACCCAAAAACTGTATGAGAGAACTACAAAACTGTGATGAATAAAATAAATGAACTAAATAAATGGGGGAACAGTGCATGTTGATGGATAGGAAGATTCAATATTGTCAAGATATCAGTTTCCGCCCAACTTGATCTGTGGATTCAGCACAATTCCAGTGAAAATCTCAACTAGTTATTTTGTGGATATTGACAAACCGATTCTATGGAGAGGCAAAAGGCCTAGAATAACAAAATCAGAGAATTGAAACTACCTTACTTTAAGACTTACTGTAAAGAAACAGTAATCAAGACAGTGTGGTATCGTTAAAAGAACAGACAAATAGGAAAATGGAATAAAAAGGAATAGAATAGAGAGCCCAGAAGTAGACATAAATTTAGTAAAGGTGTCTTTGATGAAGAAACTAAGGAAATACGGTGGAAAAATATTTTCTTTTCAACAAATAGTGTTGGAACAACTGGAGATCCACGTGGAGAAAAATGAATCCAGACACAGGCTTTCCTTACACTTTTCACAAAAATTAGCTCAAAGTGAATCGTATACCTATATGCGAAACACAAAATTATGAAATACCTAGAAATAACATAGGAGAAACTTTAGGTGACCTTGGTTATGCCTATGACTTGTTAGATATAGTAACTGCCCCTTTTCCTGAGGTTTCACTTTCTGTGGTGTTAGTTACCCATAGTCAACAATGGTCTGAAAATATTAAATGGAAGAGTCCAGAAATAAACAACTCATAAGTTTTAAATTGCCTGCTGTTCTGAGTGACATGATGAAATTTTGTGGTGACTTGCTTGGGATGTTAATCATCCCTTGGTTTAGCGTATCCGCACTGTATACATTACCTGATCCTTAGTTGTCGACATTGTCTGCTACTGACATCCAACCATCGAAATAATCATGGCTCAATAATCCAACATCACCTGAAGCATATGATCCTCCTTCTGATGTATTGTCAGAAGGTCAGTGGTACCCTACTGCTCTGTCACAATGCCTACATCATTCACCTCACTTCCTTTCATAGGCACGGTATCACCTCACATCATCACAAGAAAAAGAAGTAAAGAAGTAGAGTACAATAATATCCTTTGAAAGAGACAGACAGGATTCATATAACTTTTATTAAGGTATATAGTTATAATTATTATCTTTTATTATTAGTTTCTATTGTTAACTCTTACTATACCTAATTTATAAATTAAACTTTATCATAGATATGTATGAATAGGAAAAATACATAGTGATATATGGGGTTCAGTACTATCAATGGTTTCAGGCATCCACTAGAGGTCTTGGAACACATCCTCCACAGATAAGGGTGAACTACTGTACTACGCTAAAAGCATGATTCATGAAAGATATAATTGACAAGGTGAACTTCACTAAAATTAAACATTTCTGCTCTATGAAAGGTACTGTGAAAGACGCTGCCCAGAGAATGAGAAGATAAGCCACAGACTAAGAGAAAATATTTGCAAAAACCATGCCAGATGTAGGATCATTATCCAAAACATAAAAAAACTGATACAACTCAGCAATAAGAAAACAAACACCCTGACTAAAAAAAATGGGTAAAAGACCTGAATAGACACCTCACCAAAAAAGGTATATAAATGGTAAATAAACATATGAAAAGATACCCTACATCATATGTCATCAGGAAAATGCAAAGTAAAACAAGGGTGAGATACCAGCCTATGCCTATTAGAATGGCCAGACTTCAGAGCCATGACAGCACCAACTGTGGTGAGGATGTGGAGCAACAGGAACCCTCACTCACTGTTAGTGGGAATACAAAGTGGTACAGTCACTTTGGAAGAAAGTTGGTCAGTTTTTTACAAAACTAAACATCCTCTAACCATATAATCCAGCAATCAGACTCTTGGGTATTTACCCAAAGGAGTAGAAAAATTATGTCCACATAAAAACCTGCATATGTATGTTGATAGGTTTATTCATAATTGTCAAACATGGCAACAGCCAACATATTCTTCAGTAGATGAATGGATAAACTGTGATACATCCATACAATGGAATATTATTCGTGCTTTCCAGTCTGAAAAAAAAGAAATGAGCTTTCCAGTCATTTACAAAATGGAGGAAATGCAAATGCTTATTAGTAAGTGAAGGAATGCAACCTAAAATGTATATATACCGTACAATTCCAACTATATGATATTCTGGAAAAGGCAAAACTATGGAGACAATAAAAGGATCAGTGGCTTCCAAAGAGTAAGAGGAAAGAAGGGATGAACAGGAAGAGCACAAAGGATTTTTAAGACAATGAAGCTATTCTGTGTGATACTATAATGGTACATACATGGCATTACACATCTGTCAAAACCTATAGAATGTATAACAAACCAAGAATGAACGCTAACATAAACTATGGATGATAATGGTGGGTGATAATGGTGTGTTTATGTAGGTTTATGAATTGTAACAATATACTATTCTGGTACGGGATGTTGATGGTAAGGAAGGCTCTGTGTGTGCACATGTGGGGGCAAGGGTATAATGGGACCTCTGTACTTTCTGCTCAGTTTTGCTGTGAAGCTAAAACAGCCCTATGAAATGAAGTACACCACAGTGAAAAAAAATGGGCACAGTACTTGAATAGATGCGTCCCCAGAGAAGATATACAAATAACCAATAAGCACATAGAAAGACCCTCAACATCCTTAATTATTAGGGAAATGCAAAGCAAAATCACAAGATACGACTTCACACTTAGTAGGATGGCTACTACAAAACAAACAAACAAACAAACAAAAAAACCCCCAGAAGATCAGAAGTGTTGGTGAGGATGTGGAGAAATTGGAAGTCCTGTACATTGCTGATGGGAATATAAAATGATGCAGTCAATGTGGAAAATGGTATGGTGTTTCCTCAAAAAATTAAGCACAGAATTACTGTATGATTCAGCACTTTCACTTCTGGGTATATACCCAAAAGAATTGAGAGCAGGAGATTGAACAGATATTGTACATCCATGTTCATATCAGCATTATTCACAGTAGCCAAAATGTGGAAGCAGCCCAAGTACCCATGAACAGAAGACCGGATAAACAAAATGTGGCACATACACAAAAGGGAATATTATTCAGCCTTAAAAAGGAAGAAAATTCTGACACATGCTACAACAGGAAAGAACTTTAACAACATTACGCAAAGTGAAATGTCAGTATTTCCCTGAACAAATATTATATAATCCCACTTGTATGAGGTACCTAGAGTAATCAAATTCATAGGAACAGAAAGTAGATTGGTGATCGGGAGGGGCTGGGGGAAGATGGAAATGGGGAGGTAGTGTTTAATGGATACAAAGTTTTAGTTTGGGAAGACAACTGTTCTGGAGTTGGATATTGGTGACAGTTGCACAACAATGTGAATGTACTGAAAGTTACAGAATTGTACACTTAAAAATGATTAAAATGGTAAATTTTATGTTATATATATTTTACCGCAATAAAAAAATAGGCATTTTTGTCCAGAGATAAGGGATACAAGAAAAATATAAAATCAGACATACATACATACACATACAATATATGAAGCCAAGGCTTAAAAAAAGCTAGAAATGTTTATTTACAAATTGAAGATATAATCAATAACACTATAAAACTTTGTTGACAAACCAAAAAATAATATGATGAATAAATGGTGTTTATGTTCCAGGATTAAAAGAGAGAACACTGTAAATGTCAGCTCTCTTTAATTTTTATGTGTTAACTTTTGTGTTTAATGAAATTGTATTCAAAATGCCATGCCAGCACAGTGAACCAAACGTTCATCTAGAAAGAAAAAGATTAGGAAATTAATAGTCAAGAAAATGTCAAAAAAATGAGTTTTGATGACATGAGTGTTGATTGACTCACCCTACCAATTCAAAGTACTTTAAAAAATTACAGTAATGAAAGTATTGCGGTCCTAATGCATAAAGTTATAGTTGGAAGAAGGAAATGCAAATGTGGGAAATAACTACAAGGTAAAACACTCTTAGTGTACAATTAAGTTTGTTTAAAAATATTTATATGTCAGGAGCGGTGGCTCACGCCTGTAATCCCAGCATTTTGGGAAGCCGAGGAGTGTGGATCACCTGAGGTCAGGAGTTCGAAACCAGCCTGGCCAACATGGTGAAACCCCGTTTCTACTAAAAATACAAAAAATTAGCCGGGCATGGTGGCGCATGCCTGTAATCACAGCTACTCAGGAGGCTGAGGCAGGAGAACTGTTTGAACCTGGGAGGTAGAGGTTGCAGTGAGCTGAGATTGTGCCATTGCACTCCAGCCTGGGCAACAAGAGTGAAATTCCATCTCAAAAAAAAAAAAAAAAAAAAAAAAAAAAAATATATATATATATATATATATATATATATATATATATATGTAAAACAATGAAAGAAAACATAAGAAGTATCAATAATAATTATCTGCAGTTTGTGGATTGTCCATAATTTTTATATTCTTCTGCTTTTTTGTCTGTATTTTGGAAGTTTTCAGCAACGATCAGTATAAATTTTACAATCAAGAAAAGACGCCATTTTCAAACAAGAAAAGAAAACACTGCTGCCAGCCCCAGAGTCCACTTGTCTAGAAGGCCTGACCACTAGCTTTGCCTGTAGTCCTATCCCCCGAAACAGCTTTGTGGTCTTTTCTGTATACTCCTGCTCCCACATTTAACTCAATGTGTGGGCAGAAACAGAATAAAATGCTGGTCTTAAGGAAACGCTGCAAGATACTATCAGGATGAAATTAAGAAGTAATTTTAAATAAAGATTGGAGGATTTGTCAACAAATTGGACAAAATCCAGAGAAGAACCAAGGAATGACTGAAGACCTGAGGCTGCAGGCTGGATACGAGAGTAGAGATGAAAAGAAAATGTGTTTAACTTGGCTGGACTCTAAGTGGAGACTTAAAAACAGTATTGGAGCCCAATCAAACCACCATTAACAACTGCCAGGCAGATCCCCATCCTGAGTGACCCTGAAAGGTCAAAACAAACTCTTAAAATTTCCAGTGCTTTTTAGTTCAACCTGAGGTTAAAGACCATATCTTCCCCATAGTACAGATTGCTTTTGCATGTATGCCAAGAGCTTGTCTTCATTGCACATTAAAGATGCAAATATAGCATAGAGGATGGAAGTCTTTAAGGGCCTCTCAAAAGGTTCCTGGTGACAGAAGATGCCGACTTGGCCAGACAGGACCAGATTTTTTTTTTCCAACTTTGCACAGCACAAATGCCCTAATTAAATGGTTTATTCTTACTGTGGCTCACTTTACCTGCTTGTTTTGTATTTATCTGGGGATACAGACATTCAGAAAGAATGATGACAGAAAAAAGAGAAACAGAGTTACATAGAAAAAATGAGGCCAAGAGAGTTCCTGAGAGAGACCCAGGGCGGCACCCAGAGGGAGAGAATGGCTGATAACCAGCCAGAAACTTGGAAACTAGATTGAGAGAAAAGCCGGAGCAGAGAGAAAGGCACAGGCAGCCAGAAAGAAAGAGGAGAAAGGAGAAGGCCCCGTGATCTGTCCTGGGATGGGAGCAATAGGGAATCTTGACTCATTTGTACTTGTCAGACTATTTAAAGGAGAACAGAGCTCTGTGGCAAGGCAGCACTGTTTATTTTTAATATGCCAGTGTATTTTGGTAACAGAAAGGAAAAAAGAGCAAAAGGAAAGTGAGAATGAAGCTAGGGAGCCCTGCGCTGACTCTTGAGAGGCTGTCAAAGAAAGACTGTGGCATCCCCTGCATTCAAGTAGCTCCGTTAGTCTGACTTTGGCCTCCCGGACACCCTGGGCTCTGCCTAGAGAGGAGGGGCAGGGCTCCTGAGTCTTGCTCTCCCTTATTCCCATGGATGATGCTTCACAGTGGGGAAAGAGAGTGTCAGGAATTATCAAGTTTAATTTTGTTAATTCTTGCTCTGGCTGCTTCATGCTGAGGCAATTAAGCCCTGTCAGAAAGGCACAGACAGAGGAGCCTTTGTAAATTTAGATGAAATCTCTTTTTCCACCTGGTCTCATACTCAAAGATGCTGCAAGACTCCATATCTGATGGGCTGAGGATCTGGATTTCTCTGGCGTTCCACAGAGACATACATTCATAGTCTGTGTTCCTGCTTCATTCTCATCTTGCTTGATTAGGGACATGCCGCTAAAGTCATAAAATATAATAAATATTTTCACTCTCTTGCCAACTGAGTAAAACTCAGTTGGATTACAATACAAAAATCTCTTGAGGAAGAAGGTTAAAAATTCCCAAACTCCCTTTGGTTAATTTTTCACTTATAGAAATATTTTAACTCCATTGGAATTAATGTCTTTTCAAAGTGACGGAGACACATGGTACAAGACAACACTATGTCATGTCATAGAAAAATAGAGATCTATGATATTGACTCTAAGCATGATGTACCTATCCTCTTTATTAGAGATGCCCAATATGAAGATCAATTGAGCTATTTGCTTGCTCTGGGAAGTAAATTTTTGTAGATTTAAATATAAATTATTTTGAAATATGATGCATTTATGCATGAATTTGCAGTTAAATAAATACACCTGTATTGGAGATGTGCTGTTAGTGATAGAAGTGAAAGACCCAGCTGGGTGCGGTGGCTCACACCTGTAATCCCAGCACTTTGGGAGGCCGACGTGGGCGGATCATGAGGTCAGGAGATCGAGACCATCCTGGCTAACATGGTGAAACCCAGTCTCTACTAAAAATACAAAAAATTAGCCAGGTGTGATGGCGGGCGCCTGTAGTCCCAGCTACTCGGGAGGCTGAGGCAAGAGAATGGCGTGAACCTGGGAGGCAGAGCTTTCAGTGAGCTGAGATCGCACCACTGCACTCCAGCATGGGCAACAGAGCAAGACTCCGTCTCAAAAAAAAAAGAAAAAAAAGAAGTGAAAGACCCAAAACATTTGGGTACTGTGATATACGACAAAAGTTCTTTGAGCATAGCACTTAAGAAGAAAGCCTCAGAGTGGGGCAAGGCTGGACAAAACATGTCTGAACATCAGAATCACCTTGGTAACACTGAAAAAATACATAGTCTTGGACTTCACCCCGGAACTATTGTATTTGAATTCCATAATGAGACCTAGAAGTCTATACTTAAAAAAAAATTTTTTTCCGTGTGCACTATCATTGTGAACATTTGGGCTGGAGAACGTTTCATTTTCCTGCCTCCAATAGCTGAACATGTTCTAAAGTATGATTACCAACGTAACGTACTCAAACAGAGCGAATTATGTCTTGTAGTGACAACTAAATGAATTTTTTTCATATGGACTTCAGTCATTTTTCCCAACACCTTGATTGCCATTTCTATCTGATAACTCTAGAATTATACAATCAGTTGTATGGTAGGTACACTTTAGAGGTTTACTTTAACAAAGATATCACATTGATTCTATTGCTGTTTTTCACTATGTCAGTTTTATTAGGGTGAGTTAATATGAAAATATACCTCTTTTTGAAGGTGAATATTATTTCAAACATTTGTAACACATGGTATTTCAGAAAATTTCTTGAGGTCACAAGAGAGTTAAGTTTCATGGCAGTTGTTTTTGCATAAAAATATATTTGCTAACTCTTCCTTAATACATTTATTTTAGGATATTCTTGGGTATTTTGAGACAGAACAAGAATATGGAAGAAAGGAGGAGGAAAATGGAGGAGAGGTGGGGGAGGTGGTGGGAATTCCAAATAATGCTACCAGTCAGTGGGTCTCACTGTGGGTTCATGCTCAGACTGCAGGCTGGAAAGCAGAGGAAACACGGTCATTGACTCATTGCCACCAACTCTGAGTAAGACTTTTGACCTTTCGATGTCTTAGCTAATGAATCCAAAAGGAAAGATGCAGTGGGGAAAAAGTAATTCGGTCAAATTGGCCATGAGGTCTCCTAGGGAAATACAGGATGATAACGGGACTAAGATTTCCTGTGACCTTCTGTGGCTTCTTTAGTCTGGGAAGTCATTATCATCACAGCAGGCAACCCTGTCATTTTTGCTTTGTGGTAACAAGGAAAAAGCCTTTGATGTGTAAATGTGGGATCACTGTGTGAGTTAAGAAAAGAACAGTCATCTCATCCCCTCCACACCAGCTCCAGGTTTTTCCAGAACAAATGGCAGAGAGGTTTCCATAAGATCAGCTTTTTAAAAAATCAACTTTATTTTACGCATTTTAAGCTCCTAGCTTGAAGAATTTCAACCAACTCATACACCTGCATAACTGCTGACACAATTAAAATATAGACTATATTCTTCACCCCCAAAAGTTTCTTTGGGTCCCTTACCAGAAAATCTCCCTCCATTCCCAGCCCCAGTCAACCACTAATCTTTTTATCACTGTAGACTCGATTTGTCTCTTCTAGAGTTTTGTATACATACAGCCACATAACATCTATTCTTTGATATCTGGTTTTCTTTAACTCAGCATACTGATTTTGCGATTCATCTATGTAGTTTCATATATCAGTAGTTTCTGCCTTTTTATGGCTGAATGGTATTCCATTGTATAATTGTATGACCATATGTTTATCTATTCACCTGTCAATGGACATTTGAGCTATTTCTAGTTTGAGACTCTTATGAATAAAGCCATTACAAAAACTTATGTACCAATCTTTGTGTGGGCATACATTTTTATTTCTCTTGAGTAAATATCTCAGAAAGGAACTGCTGGTATTTGTGTTAGGTGTTTGGTCAACTCCAGAAGACTGCCAAAGAGTTTTTTCTAAGTGGCAGCACCATTTTATATATTCACTAGTAGTGTATGAGGATTACAATTTCTCCCTATCTTCCCCAACACTTGCTATTATCTTTCTTTTTAATTTTACCCATCCTTAGGCATATGTAATGATATCTCATTGTGGTTTTACTTTGCATTTCCCTAATGACTAAGGATGTTCAACACTTTTTCGAGTGCTTATCAGGCATTTGATTACCTGCAGTATCAGTTTTAGAAACAGAACCTTTTTATTAACAAGGGAAGAAATTGTCTACTGTGTGCTGTCTGTGGCCCCCTACCTTCCGGCAGAGGAAGAAGAGGCTCCACCACTCCACTGACTGGTGCTGAGAATGACCCAAGGTTTATACCAAGGAAACAGTCCATACGTTGCCATCATTTCCTCCCATGAGGGATGACAGCAAGGCCTCACCTCTGCTACATCGTTTCCTTACAACTCACTTTTCCTTCAAGGTCACTTGTGGCCTTTTTAGCAACCTTTTTTTCTTTCTCTCCTTCAAGCTTCCCTTAGTATTTTACCTGGATTCACTTGTAAATATCTTTTTTTGTAAAAGCAACTCCCCAAGATCTCCTCTGGTTGATCCATTCACCACAGTCTCCATCTCTAAGATGGTTCTTCCTCTGATGACAGCCATCAAAGCCTCCAGTTGTGGCTGAGGTGAAGTGCTACCCACATTCCCTTATTTGGATCCAACCTTTATTTCCCCAGCTGGTGGAGACATTGCCTGCTGACGGCTCACAATTTAGTCTCTACTCTGGAACTGCCATCAGGTGAAAGGAGCGACCTTGTCCTATGATGTGTTACCTCTTAGAGGGTTGCTACATGCAATACAGGAATGAAGGATTCATACAGAGATAAAAAGTTTCACCCTTCTTTCCACACTTCAGACATCTTTGAGGTGCTGTATTAGCTTCAGACTTCCTGTTGAATCAGCTGAGGCCAAGGTTGCAAATGCATTGGAGTTCACTTTATCCCTCAGCCCAGTCCTGTTTCCATCTGCTTACAAATCTCTGTCTCAGAGAGGGTTTTTCCGGGTGTGAAAATTTCCAGGGGCAGCAATAACAAATTACTACAAACTGGGTGGCTTAAGACAACAGAAACATATTCGCTCATAAATGCAAAAGGCCAGAAATCTGGAATCAAGGTGTTGGCAGGGTCCAATCCTTTCGGAGACTCTGAGGCAGAATCCCTTGCTGACCTCTTTTCTGACTTCTGATGTTTATCAGCAATTATCAGCCTTCCCCGCTTGGCTTGTAGACACATCACTCCAGTCTCTGCTCCTGTCTTCACATCACCTCCTCCTCTGTGTGTTTCTTAAAAGGACACTTGTCAATGAATTTTGGGCCCACGTGGGTAATCCAGGATTATCTTATCTCAAGACCTTTAACTTAATGACATTGGCAAGACCCTTTTTGCAAGTAAGGCCATGTTCACAAGTTCTGGGCAGACAGATCTGTTTTTTTGTTTTTGTTTTTGTTGTTGTTGTTTTTTTTTGTTTGTTTGGGTTTTGTTTGTTTGTTTGTTTGTTTTTTGCAAAGAAGCCATTATTCAACTCACTATTCTAGGAAACTGAGCTAGTACAGTTGTTTGTAGGGGCCTAGGGAGTGTATTTCAAAATGGAGTTTGGGAGCTGGATTAACCACCAGCTGGCCGGCAAGGAAGATCCCATCACTAGGGGTGAAAGGAGTACTGAATGCCCCTAGGGTGCAGTGGGGGGAGGCAATTGTTTAAACTTTCACTGTAGTGAACTGGGATGGGAAAGAAATACACTGGCAGGAACCTCAGAAGTTCAAGTAAAGTAGTAAGGATAAGGACTGTGGGGCCCAGTAGATATTATCTTGGGAAAAGACAATGAAAGCCTGGGAGTGATTAATCACCAATTTAAAGTGAAATGTGAAAACCAAAGGGCCTCACCTCACTGGCAGCATACAAAAGGCTCTCATTTCTGCAGATAGAGGGCAGAAAAATCCTAGAATCAGTCCCAGGACTTTGTTAAAAGAGTAGCAGACCTCCGGAGGAGACTGGCTCCTTAACCTTAGCAAGTCAGCTACGTTCAGGGTAGAGCCCTCATGGGGAAGGACTGGGACCCTAAAATTCAGGATGGCATGTTCAAGTTGATGCATTCAAAGTATTGAGTTCCTTCAGAGTCCCCTGACACTCTGGGCCTGCAGAAATGGCCACTCCTCCTGTAAAAGTCTGAACCTTCTCCTCTCACTTGAAGGTAATGTAGAGGACTCTGCCTGAAATATCGTGCTTCCTTTTTTTTTTGAGTCTGCTCCCTGCCCCTACCTCCCTTCCTGGCCACCAGATCAATCACTGGGCTCACATCACAATGTGGGGAAGTGCTGGATCTGCCAAAGGAGGAAGGGGTTAGAGCCCCGGGGAGCTGCAGGTCTAGTCCACAGGTCCCAGAAGGAGGCTGGAGAGCATGTGTGAGCTGGATCTGAGGGTGCTGGCTTAAAGGAGTATAGCATAAATCTGGGTATGATGGGAGTTCCTTAATATGGAAGCACTCTCCTGTGACGTAGGAGCTCTGTCCTGGCAGGACCCTAAGAGGCAATTCTAACTCATTACTGTGATGGCTTCTGAGGCTTGGAGAAAGCAATGGTCCGCACCCAGTGAAGTAGAAATGCCACAGTCCTTTTGTTATACACATGTACAAAAGCATGAAAAAGCTCAGAGAAATGAATGTGCTAGAATGGGGCCAGAAAACCCAGCCATCCACTATTCTTCAGGAGGACCTAGAGATCCTCATTTCCCAAAAAAGTAAGGAATGTGCTGGTGAGATTGGCACAGCATCATTAAGAAGCACCAGTAGGAGGTGCTATTTCAGAACTGTTAACAACGGGAATGTTAGGACCCTGAAATAATAAAAGACTTTGGTAAATTTTGATGGTCGAAAGCAATGTGGCTGCTTGACATCCTCATGACATGGAAGCTGGCTTCCCACAGAGAAGACAATTCAGGAGGGAGTGAGAGCACGCCAAGCACAAGCTACCCTGTTAGTGACCTATCCTTGGCTGCACTTCCACAACAGCCTATTTGTTAGAAGTGAGTCGTAAGTTTGGTCCACATGCAAAAGGAGGAAAAATTGGGACCACCTTTTGAAAGGAAACACATCAAAGCATTTGTAAACATATTTTAACACAGCCTAAGGGAAATTCCTAAGGGAAATTTGTGATTCTTATCAGTGCAACTGATAAGGTTTCTAAGTCGTGGTTCCCAAACAGAAACGTATTCACCAGGGGACACTGGACTCTAAGCTTTAGCTGTTGTTCAATCACTGTGGGCCCCTGTGTCAAGAGACCAATGGGCAAAGGAGGGAGTTGGCATCCTAGCTGGGGGATGTCAGCCCAATTATTAGGTGGGGAAAGAGCTGCTGTTACCTAATGGAGGTAGAGCACATTTGGCACCAACACGACCCACTGGGGGCATTTCGTGATATCCTTCTGCCCTATTTTCTCAGTCAGTGAACATATGTAGCAATCATATGTTCTGAGAGTCTGAGAAATATCCAGGTAAGCCACCTAGACTAGAAAAGGTGCTAACCATGAGCAAAGGGAATCTAAAACAGACACGGAGGAGGAAGACAATGAGCTTGCAGCCAGGTAGTAGTACATTAATCCCACTAATCTTTCCCATTCATCTGTCTTGTGCAGTTTTCCCAAGAAAAGAGGGCATCAAGGATTCTGGAGGGGCTTTATCCAGTTGGGGTAAACTTGATGTCTGAAGAAAATGCATCCAGGTTGCACAGGGGTGGGCCATGTTGGATGCTGGGGCTCATCCCCAGACACATACTCTCTTCAGGATGGAGGCACTTCTTCTTCCAGCTGCTGGATGTTGCCTGCTGGTGGCTCATGGCTGAGTCCTTCTCCAGAGAAGGCCCTTAGTTAAGAGAACAGGCTCATCCAAGGCTATTACTTCCCTCCCTTGGGACAGCCTACTTTCAACTCACTGGATGTGAAGGTACGAAGCCCAGCCCCCTTACTTCAATTTGGGACATTTATGAAGAGCCATCCTGGCTCCAGAGCCTTCTGTGGAACCATATGAGGCCTTGCTGCAATTCCACTGCAGTTCACCTTCCTCTGCCCAGCCCTTCTGTTCTCACTGCCTTACAGCTGCTGCTCTTGAGCGCCTTCCCCCAGTAAATCCCCTGCTCACTAATACTGACCCTTGGAACCTGTTTCCCAGAGAACCCATCAATGACACCACCACTTATTGTGCAAGCTTGTCTATCTAAGCTCTTTTTATATATGCATCTCTATAAACCCACTCAATAATTCTTGAAGTCTTTACTATTCATATCCACATTGTACAGATGATAAATCAGAAATCATTTACTGAAGTTCACAGAAATAGTAAACAGCAGTTAGCTTTCAACCCAGATCTGACTTGAGAGCCTGGAGTATTAACAGGTACCTTTGAACCTTTCTAATTTTGTGGTCCTAAGAGTGTCATATTTATTTAGCATAAATATTTTGTCAACTTCCTGGATGCTCTCCTAAATGATAGTATAGATGTAGCAGGTATACAGGTTAGCTTTGCTGCAGTAACAAACAACCTGAGTCTCAATGGCTGATAAAATCAAATACAGTCAGACCACCGTTTCCATGGGTTCTGAATCCACAGATTCAACCAGCCACAGGTTGAAAATATTCAGGGAACGAAAATGGATGGTTTTGTCTGTACTGAACACGTACAGACATTTTTCTTGTCATTATTCCCTAAATAATACAGTATAACAACTATTTATTTACATAGTATTTACATTGCATTAGGTATTATAAGTAATCTAGAAATGATTTGAAGTATACAGCTGTACATAGGTTATATACAAATACTACACCATATGGTAGATATGAGCACATTTGGCACCAACATAACCCATTGGGGGCATTTCTTGATATTGATACATTTCTTAGTGTAGTATGTGTGTATAACCAATGTATGGCTGTATACTTTAAATTATTTTATGTATATATGGACTTGAACATCCATAGATTTTGGTATTTGTTGGGGGTCCCTGGAACAATCCCCCACAGATACCGAGGAACAACAGTATTGATTTCTTGCTCACATTACATGTTGGCTGCTCTCAGTGGGCTGTTGTGGCTTTCCTCCACACATCTTTTCTTTCTAGAAGCAATGCTAAAGATTCAGCCCCTATTTGGGGTATATCCTTCTTATGTTAGAGGGAAAAGGCCAAAAGAGCTGATGGAAACTTGTGATGGGGTATGTTATAGCTGCTCACACAAGCATGTTACTCTGCAGGCCCAGAAGAACTGGTGGTGGTGATATGTGATCCTCTTACCAGGAAAGTGGAAGTGAATGATTATGAACAATACTGCAATTGACTGCAGCAGATATCCATGTCAGGGCTGTAGCAACTTAATAGTTCATTTTTACCAGTTAAACAGTTTCAGTACATAAATTATTTATGCAACACATCTTAGGTGCTGGGCAATGTTTACGTGGTGAGATTCCCATGATTGTTACTCATCTCAGGAACCCATGGTCAAGCAGGTGTCTATTCTCTGGCCACTTCCCATGGATATTGTACACCTCAGGGACTCTCTTTCCCCTTTGCTGGGACTCTCAGAAGGAATGGCAGTGAGCCACCTGCTGACAAAGGCTTATCTACAAGGGAGCTTGAGAAGAGGCAGGGGTAGTCTCGTTGGCTTCATCCTTTTTGAAAGAAGGCAACACTTTTCATCTTTCTGTTGCCTAGAAGGTAGCATTATGCAGAAGAGATAGTGCTGTCAGTTTAATCCAAGTGCAGAGAAGGAGTTGCAGGTGTATCCCTCAACTCAAAACCAAGCAGAGGCCCTGGGTGGAGAGGGAACACAGTGAATAGAGATGCCATCGAGCTCTACAGGACAAGCCACTGTGATTTTGCAGTAACTCTTGTCCTCCAGGTCAGGGATCCTTTTTGTGACCACAAGAAAGATTTCTTCCCTGGTGTTTGGGAGGTGTAAGCGAAGTCAGGATGCCTGGATTTGCCATCACAGAGGAATGCAAAGAATGATAGTAAAGTTTTTCATTTCACAAGAGAGACTTTTGGTCTTCTATTTTTGATATGAAAATAGTAATTTGAAAATACCCTTTCCTTTGCTGTGCTTTCTGTCAAATTTGGTACCACCACGACCTGATGAACTTTACTTGGCAGGCTGCCAAACTAAATACATCTTGGCCAAGTGCCTAATAATAATGATGGCTAACGTGGTGGGAAAGTGTCTTAAGGATGTTTTGTGGAAACAAGCTCCTGAGGAAGCTGCAAAAACCATCATTTCTTCTTTGCTCCTTTAATCTAAATAAATTAGATTAAATTCATCAGCTTTCTTTTGTTGTATTTGGTGGAAATTTAAATTCCAAATGGTTTGCTTTGACCAGCATGATTTTAAGGAGTTAAAAACATAGTTTGTATCTTTTAAGGGGAAGTTCCTATGTTATAAGAAAGTTCCAAAAGACAGGTTTAGGAATATATGTATATATATTTATAAATTTATATATATAAACTATATGTAAACATTTTTTCATGATATCACCTCTGCAATTGGCTTCATCATATTTCTTTGCTACCCTCCCTCAGTTTCCATATAACCAGCTTCATATTTATTTAATTGGGTTTATAAGATATCTGAGTGCTGTTGGATAAAAATTATAAATAATTTAAATATTCTGTTAGTACACGTCAAGGATTAACCCACCCACTTTACTGTAACTACTGCAGGGATCTGGAATAAAGTTAGTGACATTGGCAAATTCTTTGTTCATTGAGTTATGCTAGTCCTATTGGTCTACAGAAATAAATGTTCCCATTTCTATATACACATCCATATTCCTTTGCCCTGATGCATATACTTTGTTTCAAACAGATTTTCCTCACCTGGAAGATACATATTTGTGATTATTTATACAAATGTCAGCATTTAGGCTCCAGATAAGGCAAATGTGTAGTGTCAGCATCATCGGGATGGCCCATGCTAACTGGCACCTTTTTCTCTCCGTAGATATCAATGTCTGTCTTTTTTAAAAAGTTGATTTTATATATTGTATTATAATAAAGGTATTATATTTTTAATATCAATGTCTGTTTTATAACCTGTGTGAACTGGCTAGATATGCCTTTATTTTGAAATTAATTAATTAAAGTCAAGGAAATACTTTCAGAAGCTTGTCATAGAGGCCAAAATGTCTTAGCCTTTTGACTTAAAATACAAATAAATAGAAGTCAAAATTGACTTTAAAAAAAATACTTTTTCTAGGCCAGGCGTGGTGGCTCATGCCTGTAATTCCAGCACTTTGTAAGGTCAAGGTGGGCAGATCACTTGAGGCCAGGAGTTCGAGACCAACCTGGCCAACAAGATGAAACCTCTTCTCTAATAAAAATACAAAAATTAGCCGGATGTGGTGCCGTATGCCTGTAATCTCAGCTACTCAGGCTGAGGCAGGAGAATCACTTGAACTTGGGAGGTGGAGGTTGCAGTGAGCTGATATCACACCACTGCACTCCAATCTGGACAATGAGCAAGACTCTGTCTCAAAAGACAAACAAACAAAAACACACCATAATTTTTCTGAAGACTGTTCTTTAAAAGATAATGGTCAAAAGAAACAAATGTGCAAGGTTTTGTGAGCTTTAACTGGCAAGGAGAAATTTTACTCTACCACACAGACTCTAATTTTCACTTTCCTACTGTTGCTGAGACACCAGCTTCATTCAAATTAGGAGGAGGCCAGCAACCAGCACCACAGAGCCACATGGAGCCTTGATCCATGCACTATGATGTGCCCCAGGAGAGTGGTTATGATGCATGATTCATATTCATAATGACTTCGTTGCTCAGAGAGGCCTTCCTGCGAGATCATCAGACATTTGCTGCTGAAAATATTACTTAAGTCAATATCTACATGTAATGTTCATAGAAAAAAAAATTCAACTCTAGGTGGTCATGCATCTGATTCATAATTAAGTAAATGGTAATTTCATGACTTTCTAGAGAAATATTTTAAAGTAAAAATAAATAGAAGTCAAAATGAAAAGTACCACAATGGTCTTGTTTTCTAGGGTATCACGTAATGTTTTTTCTTAAATATTTCAAACTGCTTTGTGCTTAAATAATACCTTATAGTCTTTGATTCTATTTCAGAAATTCAACTTACTCCTACTTTCTACACCAGCCTAGATGTGTAAATTAATTCATTGTTTTCATTCCCCATTCATCATTTATTCATTCAAAAAAATTTGTTGATTTTCTACTATTTATCAGGCAGTGGAAATACAGTAATAAATCATTCTGACTTAAGAATTACATAAATAAAACAATATTCAGTTGCAAGAAGTGCCAGTGAGGAAGTAAACAGTTATGTGAGAGGGTAAGTGGGTAAGAAGTGGTGGTGACTGGAGTAAGGAAGGCCCATGTCACAGTGTCCTAGGGTGGCACAGGTTGCCACAGTTAAAGCACGAGAAGGAGTCAGCCATGCAGAGAGCTGAGGGGAAAGCATCCTAGAAGGAGAGAACCATGGCAGAAAGGCTCTGAAAAGGCAGAGCTGGAAATATTCTGGGAACAGAATGGAGCCAGTATGGCTGGAGTCTCATGAGTGAGATGAGATTGGTAAGATGCTTAGATTCTCTTCCAAGTGAAAACCTTACAGAGTTTAGGTAGGAGCATGATATGATCTGATTTAAATCTGAATCATCGCAACATTTAAAGACAGCAGCCACTGGCTTTTTCCACACCACTGAAATCATTGGTCTTCTACTTCCTACAATTTTCTCTTTTGTGTCAGATATTTACAAATGTCTGATTCCTTGTATTTGCTCCTAAGTTTCTAGTTCTTGGAGTCTGCTCTCCTCCAGCCTGTCATTTGCAACACACACAGAAAGCTTCCTGATCATATTTTAGTTTCATCCTTTCTGACTCAAGGTGCTCTTGCCGTTGGGTTGATGGTATACTGCCTGGAAGAAGCTATTACCCTGTTATTTTACCATGATATCACCTCTGCAATTGGCTTCACCAATGTATCTTTGCTACCCTCCCTCAGTTTCCATAAGCAAGATGAAGAACATACACTCCTTCCCCTTGTATTCAAGTGTATGGGGTGTGGGGACAGGTAGGGCTGGCTGGTGTGAGGACAGGTAGTTACTAGAGGCAACTTTTCCCAGAACAGAGGAGACGTCCAGCCCAAAAGCACTCATGTGCATTCTTGCAATTCTAAGACTGCTGGTGAGGATACTCTCAATATAAGCCTTTGGTTTCTGAAATAAAAAAGCTGTGTCTGAGAAGCAGCTTATGTGTTTGTGGTCCTGGAATAGACTGGGGGAGGGATTTTCAGGTGGTGCCTATAGATATACGTACAGTTGTGACATGGGGTGAAGGCTTTCATTGATGGTGATGTCATGGGTTCCCTCTGGGAGGATGGAAGCCCCAGGGAAATATATTGGTAGTATGGGATTGAAGTCCTGGGAGCCCATTGCTTTTTGTGGGAAAGCAATCCTATGGCTCACCATTGCTCTCATCAGAGGGACTTTGTCCCCAGTGCCCACATGCAACATGGATTGAGGCCAGGGAAGTTTGGGTTTGACTAGACTAGGACTGCCCTGCTCTGCAGTCTTTTCCAGCCTTCTAAGGGAGGGCATCAGTGGCTCACTCTAGACTTGGAAAAACAGAATGAAAAGGGAATATTTTGATTAGAGTTGACTTAGGAAATATTATTATAGGGAATTCATGGAAAAACATTGCTTTCCAATTTCAGAACTACTCGAAATATCTGGTAGGCTAAATATAGAACACTATTCACAGCCTTGCAGGTCCTGAGGTCTGGCTAAATGTGAGCTCTGGGGTGGTGCCTTCCTCCCTCTCCTCCTCCCTCTCTCTCTCTCTTCCCCCTTTAGCTCTCTCTATGTCTCTCACTGTTTCTCATTTTCTTTATCTCTCTTTCCTTGCTAGCCCTGGATGCTTAACCATGAATGATTATCAACCAAGAACCTTAATTGTGGTCCCAGTACAAACTGTTACTTAGTTTGAAAATAAGTAATATTAATGAAATTTCCCTCTGAAAAATAACAGCTGAAACGAGAGAGGGAACGTTTCACAAACTAATAGAGCTCACAAATGCATCTTTCAGAATATGTTTTATAAAGTTTATGATAATCTAAGAAACAGTGTAATCACCCTGTAACTCCAGGAGTGAGTTACAGAGGAGGTAATTCAAAGGATTTTTCATGCTGGGCTGAAAGACCTTGCTCTTTGTGACCCCTAAAGGAGATCTATGACAATGGAAGAGACAGAATTGAGATTAGTGTAAAGGAAAACTTCTCAGCTGGAAGGGGTGTGAGGCCTGAAATTCCCTTCTAAGTAGAATCATCAAAGTATATTTTTTGGTGATTTAACTTTCCCTTCCTTTCCTTCCTTCCTTCCTTCCTTCCTTCCTTCCTTCCTTCCTTCCTTCCTTCCTTTCCTTCCTTCCTGCCTGCCTGCCTTCCTGCCTTCCTGCCTTCCTGCCTTCCTTCTTTCTCCTTCCTTCCATCCTTTCTCCCCCTTTTCCTGAGGGAATTGAAAACAATAAAAATTCGAAGAAAAAAATGTGGACACCTATAATCATGCAACCATTCTCTTTCCTCTTCCTTCTCTCATTTTCTATGAATGTACAGGCAAATACCATCATCTGCAGTGGTTATGTTCTATAAAGTCACTGCAAACACTGAATTAGCAAATATTGAGCCATTGCTCCTGGGAGAAATACAGAGTTAGGGATTGTGAACCTCAGGTCACAACATTTTCACCAACAGATCAATCCATAACTTTATTTTAAGTATATTTCTGTTTAATGGCATCTCATCTAACATATACTGTTGATGCATTAGCATTGAACTCATGACCTATAGCACTGTGACTCATTCCCAAATGAAGCTTATTTAACACCTGTATTTTCTCCAGAAGGTACTTCACAGCTTTGTTGTGTTTAGGATCACCAAACAGCACTTTAGTCCTATGCTTGGGGGACATTTTAAACAGTGAAATCATGAGGAAAAAGCACAAAAATGCAAAAAATGTGTCATGAAATTGATAGCCAAAAGGACACGTGTTTAAAATATAAGAACTGAAATAAGAAGGTAAAGCATTGCCTTGTCCAATCTCAGAAATCATGCCCATCCGGCTATTTGAATTTTTGCCACTCTGTCCACATCTGTAAATGACCATGAATGCACAGAGTATTGACTTGGGAGTTAGAAATACATTTCACAGAGTAGATGGATTTGAAAATATGGAATTCATTAAAAATGAGAATCAATGGTACAAACACACACATATAGTCTGTTGCCTTTCACTTGTCTTTGTCAAATTACTTTTACATATATTTTGAGGAGATTTTAGGAAACTATAATACATCCCATTTAGATAGAAACTAGTTGTTAGCAGACATACTTCCAAGAGATGTAGACTTTAAGTTTAGTTGAGATGTGCTGATTTTTGCTGTGCCAAAACAATTTAAGAAATTTAGAAAAACAGACCCAGCAGGCCCACCTACATGTGTTTTTAGTTGTTATCAAGGCAGGGACACACACAGGGCTTTTGAAGACTACTGGCAAAAAGGCCCTTCCCCCTACATAAACAGAGATGAGGAATAAAGTATATTCCACTCTAAAGAGTTAACATGTTTCCTGGTTGAAAGGTGGAAGATAAATTTCTATATGACAGAGAAAGAGGCAAAGCAAACCTTTGGGCAGCCTGAGTTGGTGCTGAAGCAGCATCCAGGCCCTTGGGTCTCAGACAGAAGAGACCGGTCAAGGACAGAAGCCAAGCCTCCACCCAAAGGTCAGAAGCTGGAATTTAGCTTCTCTGCACTGAGCCTCAAGACCTGACACATCTGTGACAGGGGGTAAAAAACACTCCACCCACAAGACTTGAAAAACAACAAGAGTTGTCATTTTTAAGAAATAGAGACTGACTCTAAATATGTGCTGAGGATAGGAGTCTATATTTATTCTTCCCATGGTGGGGAATTTATGTGAGAAATTAATAAATAAACTGATGAAATTCTTGAGGCCTAACTAAATCAGTCCTTTTATACAGACATTACCAAAGACAAATGGAATTCTCACATACAATCTCCACAAAAGTCAGGCTCTAATAAAATATCATAAACCGTAAAGGAAAACACTATCATTAGGGAGACATGACACATAAAGCAAATGGGAGAATTAACATTCTAAGCTGATAATAAAAAAATTGAAGAGAATAGAAAATAATTTTAAATTAAAGACATAAAAAAGAAACTATAATGAAAGAACATGGCAATATTAAGAAAGAATCAAATAAGAACAGGCTAATTTAAAAAAAAAAAAACTAAACAGACATTCCAGGAAAGAAAATTCTGGTTGTTGAAAAGAAAAATCTAGTGGTTGATTTTAAACTCCAGATTAGACACTTTTGAAGAAAGAATTAGTTATCTGGAAAACAGATATATCAAAATAATCTAAAATGCAGTACAAAGAAACCAAACCAAAAATAGACAAGTGGAAATACATCAAACTAAAATCCTTCTGCACAGCAAAGGAAACAATCAAAAGAACAAAGAGACAACCTATAGAATGGGAGAAAATATTTACAAACTTCATCTGACAAGTGACTAATATCCGGAATATACAAGAAATTCAAATAACTCAACAGCAAAAAAACAAATAATTTGATTTTAAAATGGACATAGGATCTGGGTAGACATCTGTTAAGAGAAAACATACAAATGGCCAAGTAGATGAAAAAATGCTGAACATCACTAATCATCAGGGAAATGTAAATGAAAACCACAATGAGAAATCATCTCACTCTGGTTAGAACGGCTATTATCAAAAAGGCAAATAAATAAATAACGAATGCTGGTGAGGATCTGGAGAAAAGGGACTCTTATAGAGTATTGATGGAAATGTAAACCAGTACTGCAATTATGGAAAACAGTTTGGAGGTTTCTCACAAAACTAAAATCAGAACTACCATACAATACAGCATTTATCCACAGGAAAGAAAATCAGTATATCAAAGAGATAGCTGCATCCCCATGTTTATTGCAGCACTATTCAGAATAGCCAAGATATGGAGTAAACCTACTGGGCATTTATCCAAAGGAAATAAAATCAGTATGTCAGAGAGATACCTGCATCCCCATGTTTATTGCAGCACTATTCAGAATAGCCAACATATGGAGTCAACCTAAATGCCTGTCAACAAATGAATGGATAAAGAAAATGTGGTACATATATACAATGGAATACCGTTCAGTAATGAGGTACATTAAAATCCTGTTATTCACAACAACATGAATGAGCCTGGAGGACATTATGTTAAGTGAAATAAGTCAGGCAAAGAAAGACAAGTACTGCATATTCTCATCCACATGTGGGAACTAAGAAAAATTGAGCTCATAGAAGTAGAGAGTAGAATTGTGGTTACTAGGGGTCTGGAAGAGGTAAGGGAGAAGAGAATAGGGAGAAGTTGTTTAACAATACAAAATTCCAGCTAGATAGAGGAATAAGTTCTAGTGTTCTGTATCATTGTAGGAGAAAGAGGGTTAACAATGATTTATTGTATATTTTTGAAAAGCTACAAGAGAAGATTTTGAATGTTCATGATACAAAGAAATGTTAAATATTTGAGGTGATGGATATGCTAATCACCATGATTTGATCATTACATATTGTATACTTGTTTGAAATATCACTGTCTCCAATAAATATGTACTATTATTATATGTCAACTAAAAATAAATAAAAGAAGAAATGAAAGTTTTAGAACTGATTATTTTGACTATGGTGATGATTTCACAGAGACATACATGTCAAAGCTTAAAAAATGTGCAGTTAAATATATCCAGTTTATTATATGTCAATTATACCTCAGTGAAGCTGTTTAAATAAAGAGATGCTACAATAGAACAAAAGCTGTTTGTTTTTCCATACTTGAGAAGTTTATTAAAAATTTAAAATTCTGAGTGTCTAAAATAGGTGCCGAGTAATGTATATGATGCAGTTCTATTTTAGGGGGAACAAAGGGAAACAAACACTATACCAAAGAAAAATTACAACCTAGGCTGGGTGCAGTGGCTCGCTCCTGTAATCCCAGCACTTTGGGAGGCTGAAGCAGGCAGATCATGAGGTCAGCAGTTCCAGACAAGCCTGGCCATCATGGTGAAACTCTGTCTCTACTAAAAATACAAAAAAATTAGCTGGGTGTAGTTGCGGGCACCTGTAATCCTAGCTACTCAGAAGGCTGAGGCAGGAGAACTGCTTGAACCCAGGAGGCAGAGGCTGCAGTGAGCTGAGATCACACCATTGCACTCCAGCCTGGGTGACAAAGTGAGACTCTGTCTCAAAAAAAAAAAAAAAAAAAGAAAGAAAATATTCTAACCTAAATATTTTTTATGATAGTATATACATGGAATAAGGTGGAACTTGTAAACAAAGCCAAATGAAATTAAACTCATTTTCAGTAAAAAAAAAAAAAAAAAAAAATGGTATATAATACAGAATTTTTCCCTGGTTCCTGCAAGGGAGCCTCTAAACCCTCAGAATTTCCCCAGTGATAGAAGAGTCTTCGATATTTAGGGTGCACCTCTCAGATCATACCTGAGTTTATGCTCAGGAGGTGACTCATGGTGTGCCCCAACATAGTTGAGGTTGATGAGATGACTCAGGATGGGGGCTGGCCACAACAGAAGGACCAGCCAAGTTAGAGCATTAGGGCTTTGAGCTATGTGGTATCAGTCCAGCCTCCAGAGAAGAAACGGAAGCTGGAGCTCAAGCTTAATCACACAGCCAATGACAATCAATCCTGCCTATGTAGTGATGCTCCACTGAAAACCATGGACACCAGAGCTCAGTTGAGCTTCCCTGGTTGGCAGTGTTCTGCCTATTGTCACACATGAATGTGCTGGGAGGATGATGTTTCCCTGAGGACACAGAAGCTTCACATTTGGGACTCTCTCAGACCTCACCCTGTTCTTTTCTTTTGGTTGATCTGGATGTGTATTCCCTTTTGTTTTTTATAATAAAACTCGGAAGTATAGTGCTTTCTTGTGTTTTGTGGGTCATTCTAGTAGATTACAGAATTTGAATCAGTAAAAGAATGCTCCAAATTGCAGCAAATTGGTTGGAAGTGTAGATGGCCTGGGAAACCCAAACTTGTGACTGGTGTCTAAAGGGAGGCAAGTCTTGCAAAGGACTGTGCCCTGAACCTGAGAAGTACGGCCCAACTCTGGGGATTTGGTGTCAGAAGTCACTGCAAACAGTAACCACTAGAAGACTAAAAATGGAATGAACAAATTCCAAACCCACAGGTGGTCAAAGGAGAATAAAGTAAACTTGATTATTCCAATGGAAATCACAAAAATAGAAAAAAAAAAAAAAAAGAAAAAATCATGATAAAAGGAAAACACAAAGTAAGATGATAGAAATAAAGCCAAATGTATCAACAGTGACAATAAATGCAAAAAAACCAAAAAACTAAACTTGCTTATTAACAGGTTTTGACATTTTAAAAGCACACTGAAGCAGCCATAGAAAAAGATCAGAACTTGAATGTACTCCCTTATGCTTGTTTATATTTGAATTATATATAGTGGAGAATATACCCTAATCTTCTCAGGGTTTAGGGTTTGTAAAGGTCTTTATCTGCCTCAACATGAAATACTTTTATAGCCCTGAACTAGTTATTTCTATGGAGAGGACGTGGGCTCTGACTTTTGTAGTGGGAAGATGTGGATATTGAAACATGGGTCAAGGTTCTGAGTAGTGGGGTTGCTGAGACCCAGATAGGAAGGACTTGTTGCTGAGTTTGAGGCATCATGTCACAGACTGAGCAAACCCTCTCTGCCACCGCCACCCCCCCGCAACCCCGAGGAGAACACCAGCATTTAACATGACCTTCCATTATTAGCTTCCAGCAGCTTTCTCTGTGAGGAGCAGGGGCCACTTCAGTCCACCGCAGCAGGAAACAGGTTGTCAGCAATGTGGGGTGAGCACTCAGTAGCAGGAGAGTAGAAACCACAGGATTTGTGGCAGGGGGGTGAAAAAGCAGTGGCAGGAAACACAACTGTAGAACTGATGATTTTAGAGTATAGTCTTAGCCTTTTAAATTAATAGGACTCATTTTTAAGATAAAAAGTCATGTCACACACAGAAGAAATATATGTTCAGTTGGCAAAATATATCATGATATTAACTTACTATCAAACATTTAAACAATAGTAACTATATTTTCTTGAATACTTTCTGTGATTCAGACACTGTACTGAGTGTATTTTATATGAAGGAAGTTTTATTCTTACAGTGGATGAGGAAATTGAGATTTGGAAGTTAAATTCCTTGTTTATGTTAATATAACAAAGGGACAGTGGACGTAAGATTCAAATCAGCTCCACCTGACAGTGACACAGCCAATGCTGACCTTATGGCTATGTGCATTTGTTGTCTGCAGCAGAAAACACAGATGAGAGGCACTACTTTGATGTGGCCTGTGAGTTTGTACGGTCCCTCCACCAGCTTGCTCCAATCCTGCTGGAGTTTCCAGCTGGTCATGCACAGGGGAGCTGGGCAGGGGAGGTGGACTTGAGAGCAGAATCTTGGCAGCGGTCAATGGTGAGAGTAGTCATTGGAGAGAGTGATTCCCTCCAAAGGGCTTGGGATGTACAGTGACGCCTGGCAGGACCCCACACCAGAAGAGCTCACAAGCAGATCTGAGGGAGGTGCTCAGGTACCAGCGCTCCATATATAGAAGCAATTCAACCTCTTAGCTGGGCTCATGAGGGCATCAGGATCTGAGGCCACACTGCAGCCACACTGCATGCTGGTGACTCTTCCTCTAAGGAGCTGCACTCTCTCAAGCCCCATGTCTCTCCTCTGTGCTGTCCTCAGCCTGCTGCGCTCCCCATCCCATCTCTCTATCTGGCACATTCTCCTTGCTAACTTGCCCTCATCTTTCAAGCAGAACAAACAGCATTCCCACTTCAAGGTTTGCCCAGCTCTCCTTCCTGACTCGGGCACCCCTTCTTGGTGAAGGCTGGCACGCTCCTTTAGAGAGTTAATTATACTAGACTCCAGTGAAGCTCTGAAGATTGAGCTTTCACCAATATACCTTGCATCCTGCCACTTCACTGCCGAGCATCCTTCAAAGGCTTCAGTGCTGCCTGCATGACAATGACAACCTCTTGCTTCATTGCTCATCACTCCTGGCCTCACCCTCTGGTACTCTGTGCTGGTTCATACTGATCCTTGATGTCCCTAGAGTGGGCCTGTCTGTCACTCCTCCAGAGTTTAATCCGTGCTGCTCTTTCCCCCTGGGCTGCCCTCCTTTCTAGGCTTTGTCTGGGCACCTTCCTTTCATTCTAAATAATTAGCACTTAGCTCAGCTATCACCTCTTCCAAGAAGCAGTCTCTGACACACCTGGGGACAATTAGATGCCTGTCTTGTGAGCTTTCCTGGCAACCCTCCCATCACCTGCACCCACCTGAGAGCTCCACCAGGCCAAAAGGCGCTGGCATCGTCAGTGCAGGGGGCTCTACTTTACAGGCTCACTGCAGAGTCAGCCTTTGCCCTGGACTGGCAGAGCACAGGGATGCTGAACATTTATTTTTCTAATAGCAATTTGATTCGTTTTTAGTTATAGATCCTAAAAACTATTTCATGTTCATTAAAAGAAAAAAAAAACACAGACATCACAGAGGAAAAAATAAAGTCACCAAAATCACCACTTCTCAGACATATGTACTGTTACTTATAACCATAATAGGTAAGGAAGTATTTCCTTCCTGACTTCTCACATTTTGAATCATACTACACAAAGATGTGTACAATATGTTCTCTTTTCTGTCCACTTAGAAATGTATTTGAGCCATGTTTATCAGGTTAGTAGAAGCAGTGGTGGTCATGGTGGTAGGAGTAATCTTTACCTGTTGATAAATATAGATTTACACTCCACATGATCATTTTTCATTCTTGCACGGTATTCTCATGAAAATAATCATGAGAATTACAATAATTGCTAACATTTATCGAGTGACTACTCTGAGCTATGCACAGTCATAATAATACTTTACAATAATAATCAATAATACTTTGCAGTCATTATTGTATCTTTACAACAACATTATGAGGCTGGTATCATGATTACCTCCATGCTTTGCTGATGAGAAAACGAAGCCTCAGAGATGGGTCTTGCTAGAGTTGGTCGGACTCTACAGCCTACATTCTTAACCACCATCAAAGGTGTACTGTCACATTAAAAATTCCCCTACTGGCAGATAATTAAGATGTTTCCAGGGGTTTTTGTTGTTGTTGTTTCTTTGCAATAATATAGTAAACAAAATTATTTTTGAAAAAAAGAAAAACCCCAGGACCATTTTGTTATGCCCATATCCCTCCCCTCCTTGACCTGTTCTCTCATTACTTCAATTTGCAAAAGACCACTTTAAAATCCCATCACATTGCTTTTATGAAATACGGTGGCACTGGTATAAGCAGATCCTCAAGACTCCCTGGATTCCAAGAAATTTGCAGCTCTTTGGAGGCTGGTCAGGTCTTCAAAAGACTCATTTAACACAAATCTCTTTACTTGGAAATTCTTCAGTGCTCAGTTAGAGGTTGATTTGGCTCCTACTTCCTGGGGCATATTTAGATTCAATTAGGCCAAGAGCTTAGACTATTGCCCCTTGAGAAAGATTAGAAAATGGGAGTTTCCCCTTTATAGGAAGATTGTCATAAAGAATCAAGCACTGCACTCTCAGTTTGAGAGGTGTTGATGTAGCTTTGCCAAACTTCCCAATTAACGCTTTGCGAAATGATCAAATTTCCATGAAGACACATGACATTTCCATTTCCTCATAATGTATATGGGTAGTTTAAGAAACTAGATATCTGGAGATGGGAAATTCAGATTTTAAAAAAAATGGAAAAAAAAACCCTCTTCTCTACTTTTGACTAAACTTACTTCTTTATTTTTTCTCCCAATTATAATTTCCATGAACATTTTTCATCCTCTTAAGTCAAAAGAGAACGACACTTAATGTCTCCTTTTTGACAGTGACTCAAAATGAAATAAAATAAAAATGCATAAGTGCCTTTATGTAATCTAGCATAAGGTCTTGTTAGCTGAATGTATTTCACCTGAAATGAAAAATAAAAGGTAAGCAAACCCGAAAGACGGAGGGTGGTCTGCGCAGTGTAAATTACTTGACATCTTGGTTCTGGTTTCCTGGTGTGAACAGCGATGATAAGTGTTGACTTCTCCTGATTTACCAGGAAGGCACGACATTCACTCGTGCTATTGTGAAGACGCTGCAGAGCTGAGGGGAGCCCCCTGCCTCCTTCACCTAGAGCGCATTGTTGCTGGCCTGTGTGCTGGGAGGACAGGTCTCACTGAATTGATCTCAACCAGAGTTTTCCTAGATCTCACTAGCTTTTGTTTGCAAATACTTTCCCATTAATTCCTAATTCAGTTTTCTGTGGTTTGCCCAATGCAGACTTATTAGTCCCATTTCAAAGTTTTGCCTCGTTGTTTCGGGGAAGTGCTTGGAGATGTCTTTTGTGAACTAGCCACAGTTTTCACACAGTTTTCCAGTCTGGGCCCTTGAGTTGATTTCTCCTGCTTCTCTCTCTAGAGAGCTTATTATTGACCCCTGACCACCAGAACACCTGCTGTGCCCATGCAGAAATCCAGGGCAGGCCCCTTTCTCCCTCTTCTTGGCTCCTGGGTTCTGGAGAGTCATTGCTTCTCAGATATATGCTTTCCCCATTCCCCTTAAGAATAGAAGCCCGAGGAAGATCATTTCCTCCTCTGTTTCTGTAGGTGAACTTATCATAGTTCCTTTTCCTAGAATAGAGATTCCAAGGGTTATCAACCCTGACAGTTGCCTGGACATGTGTGCATCTGTTTTAGGTTTAAAATTAATCTTGGTGAGATAGAGAATTTCCCTGCTCTACTCTGTAAGGCTGACCATGGAAGGGGACATCAGGAACTCTGTTTCTCATGTTTTGAGACATGAGAATCATGTCTCAAGTGGGTATCAATGGGAAATTAGTATGAAGTGCCCAAGTGGCTTACCAGTAACTGCAGAACATTAGAAGTAGAGTTATTACACATGATATTAAATACCACAAAAACATTCCCCACCAAAAACAAAAGCAGGAACATATCTGACTGTCATGCATACAGAGTTTACACATGTGATCATTATGAGTTCATAACAGCATATTAACAAATGTGAAACCAAGACACTTGGAGAGATTTTGTGAAATAAAAGTAGTAAAGTTTAAACTTGATTACTATGTAATCAATATATCATTTGTGATTTCTGTAGACTTTCCTAAGTCAGAGAGTAAATAGCAGAGATGATCTGTTGCTTTATTTAAAAATTTTTTGATATTTTGGTGAAAAGAATAAATCCTTAGCTTCTCTCTCAGGCCCTGTCAGAACACTGGTGTGATGACTTTGGTTAGGATGACAATTCTATCTACCCACAGCAAACAGAGTAGCAGCAACTATCTGTTTAATTAGTCAATACTTTCATCACTCCTTTCATCTCACCAGCTATGAGAGATGGACTAAATAAGCAGGAAAAATAAGTTGAAATTATGTAACTGTCCTTACTGCATCTGGCTAGATCTAACTTTCTAGGAGAGGATGTATACAAACGAAAAAAAAAAAAGCAATCTTAGTAAAATTAAATATGATGTATGACCTCGTGTTCTAGACCAGCACTTTACACAATTTAATGTGCACCCACATCACCTGGGGAAGAATCTTGTTAAAATGCAGATTCTGATTCAGTAGATTTAGGGTGGGATCTCAGATCCTACCTTTCGACAAGCTCCCAGGTGATGTTGATGCTACTGTCTGAGGACCACACTTAGAATAGCCAGGAACTAAGAGATGTTTAACTTCTCTTTCACATATTTTTTTTGAGATGGAGTCGCACTCTATTGCCCAGGCTGGAGTGCAGTGGCACAGTCTGGGCTTACTGCAATCTCCGCCTCCTGGGTTCAAGCGATTCTCTTGCCTCAGCCTCCCGAGTACTTGGGATTACAGGCGTGTGCCACCATGCCCAGCTAATTTTTGTATTTTTAGTAGAGACGGGGTTTCACCCTGTTGGCCAGGCTGGTCTCAAACTCTTGACCTCAAGTGATCCACCCACCTCGGCCTCCCGAAATGCTAGGAGGATTACAGGCCGGCCTCTTTTACCGTTCTTTATATGGCTACACTGCCAACCATTAGGACCTCTGAGATTAAAAGATGAAAACAAAAAGTAACTGGCGCTTAGGTTTGCTAGTTATTAGCCCTTGTGATAAAGATTTAGTGAGAGAAGCTACTAGACCACTGCTTCTTCAATGTTACAGTGCATAGGAATCACCTGGGAACTTGTTAAAGTGCAGATTCTAATTGAGTAGGTAGGGGTGGAGTCTGAAAAGCCACATTGTAACAAGCTCCTGGGTAGCATTGAAGTTGCTGGTCCAAGGATCCAACTTCAGAGTAGTCAGGGTCTCTAGACAACAGAATTTACAAAAATTCACCCCACACCCCTTTTTTTTTGTTAGTCTCTGTTTAATTTTCTGATGAAGATGAAGAAAAGACATGTAGTCAAAATCTTAATTTTTATTTAAATGGGATAATTGCTGAGATTCTGGAGAAGGGAAGATGTGATGGAGGGGGTGGGATGGAGGGTTTGGCATCAGGAGGGAGAGCACTGGGTTCCCGTGGGTTTACACTCTTCCTCACGTGGGTTCACATGCTCATTATTTCACTATGGGTGTGCCTGCCCTGTGGCCTTGCAGCCTGGAGGTGTCTAGACTGGTCGTCACTCCGCTGCATGTCCCAGGGCACGTAGAAGGCTGAGAACAAATAATTTTAGCTCAGGGAGTTCCCTGCATAATAAGAGCTACCTCTTTTTCTTCCCACTTTGAATAAATAGAAGTCAGCGGGACTTTGGTCACCTCTCACTTCTGCCCAATTCAAGTTTCTATCTGCACGTGTGCACACATATCATCTGAAGGCAAACGGAAAGGCTGGGTTCTGTCAGACCCCAGTACAGAGCAACTCTTCATTTCCTAGACTGGCAGTGGCAACCGAGTGCAGTTTTCCATATGTACCTAAGCACTGTTCCCCGTAAATTCATCGGGTGAATCCTCCCCCGACACCCCATCATCCCCCTCCAATGTCACTGTGTGACTTCCGGCTTCAGTCTGGGCTCTAACTGTTGGACACTGACTGTTGAAGGAAAGCAATATAGAAAAGGTCCAAGATCAAGGTGATCAGCAGGCTGTGATGTTTCATCCCTTTGCTCACCTTCTCACTTCATACCCATATACTTCAGATGATCTATTGTTTCTGTGCTGAACACACAGACACACACACACACACCAGCTTTCTCTGTTTATTTCTTCTTAAATTGTATTGCACAAATGTGAAAACCAAAAAACATCCCACTTCCTCACTAGGCAGTTGAAATTTTCCTGATGACAATCCTAAGTAACCACAACAGGGAATGAGTTAACATTTCAGTTGGGAGGATTTCCCCACCTCTCCTCTCCTGTCAATGAGGCATGAAGTTCCCAGTTGATTTCTCCATCTGGCCCAACAATTCCTGGAAACCTGATTCCAAAGAAGGCAATGAGAAGATGTGAAAGAGTTGCCTGGGCAAGGGAGGTGGAGGCACGAGGTCAATGGGGACTGGTGGCTCTCTCATGAGTTCAGGGGTGAGGGCCTGCTGCCAATTTTTAAAACTTTGCCACTAGCTTGGAATACAAGCTGAATTAAAATAAAATAAAATAAAATAAAATAAAATGAAATGAGGGAATGCAGAGGAGTTGCAGTTCCTCATTGGAAACATTTTCAGCATGAAAATTTCAAAGATTGGCCTCATACATGAAATCTCAAATGACTTCTGATAAAACGCAATCCACAATTTTAGCAGGAAGGACTTTGCTAAGCTTACTCATATACATACACAAGATAAAAAAACAGCCACAGCAAGATATAATTTCTTAAGTGTTGAAGGGCAGACATCTCTTACCACTCTTTAATCTTTCTCAGGATTTATCCAAGAGGGTGGGCTGCATTGTCTCAGAGAGGAGAAGTCAATCAGTGTTTTCAGAACTTACGTACCAATTTAGCTTTTCCCAACTGTGTGAGGAAAATTCTTGGAAGTGTAATTACTTGTGGGTCAGGTTACCATGTCATATTTAATAGAATTGTGCAAAGGAAACTCTAGCAATAAGAGGCAGGGAGTTATCGTTAATAGTGATGTGGGAGATCAAGATGATCGAGGCTTCTCCCATGGTCTTTATGGGGCAGAAATTATTCACTACAGCATAGAATCCCAGGAATTCAAGAGAACCCAGATTCTCAGATTGCACACCCCTCACACAAACTTTGAATCAGAATGGGTGCCCTCTTTGAGACTGTCTCAGTGGTGTTACTCCACATTGCTTTAGTAATTTCCATGACAATGGAAGAATAATTATTCCCTTTGCTTTGTGGCATTGATGACCACAGAGGCCCAGCCCCTTCTCATGTGGCTCAGGTGGAGATGCTATTGTTATTGTTATTTCAAGCCAGACTGGGAAGGATTCCTTTCTGGATGGGCCAACCAGTATTAGCGCTGGGCCACTGACGTTCTGGTGTTTGTGGGATGCGGCAGTGATGACACTTATTGTTCACACAATGCTTGTCAGGCACAGAGCTAAGTAATTCACATGTTATCTTGTTCAGTCCTCAAAACATCTCTTTGAGGTACATACCTTATCCAGATTTTACAAATGAATAAACTGAAGACAGTAAAGTCCCTTAGCTGAACTGGCGGGAGGGCTGGATCTCTAGAGGAAGGCACTTGACCTTCCCAGTAAAGATTAGTTACAGAGAGAAGATCTTGAGAAATCTGCAAAAGGCTGACTGTCATCTAAGTGGCACACAACATTAAGTCAGTCCTCAATTTCTCTATTCGAATCATGTTTAAAATTTTTGTAAAATTTACTTGAGCAAATTTGTAACAATAAACAAAAACGTTTACTGTAAACAAAAATCAACTCCAGATGAATTAAGAGCCTAAATATTGAAAGCAAAATCTTAAATGTTTAAGAAATTAATTAAGTAAACATCTTTCAGACTTTAGGGTGGGTTTTTTCCTAAGCAATGACAAAAGCAATAAGTGCAAAAGAAAATACTGATAAATTTAACCACATATAAAACTGAGAACTTCTGTTCATCAAATAATACTATGCACTTAAGAAACAGATATATAACATATCAGCATATATATCACAATATATAAAGAATGTCTATAAATAAATAAGGGAAAGAAAACATTGTCCAAAAGTCCATAAGTCTGTTATTGAAATATTGATATCAGACTTACAGACTTTTAGACAATGTTACCTTATTTCTTCTGGTATAGAATAATGTTCAACTCAATAGGAAAAAAGATAAATACTTCTGCTGATGTTTCACTTTTTTAAAAAAATATATACAGCCAACAAAAACATGTGTTAAAGTTAGCCTAAAGCTCTCTCTTTATATATTTTAAGCTCAGCCTCGTGGTTTCTCCATGCATAATGAACTGTAACCTAATTGGTTGTGTAAACAAACTATGTCGGACTCTTGTGCCAATCACTGAGTTTTTGCCAATCAAAGGTGGCCAGTTGTTCAAACTGTGTTCAAATAAGGCAGAAGCCAAGCTGTAACCAACCTGGCTGTTTCTGTACCCCACTTCTGTTTTCTGTATGTCACTTTCCTTTTTGTATCCATAAATCTTCTTCTACCATGTGGCTGTGCTGGAATTTCTCTGAGCCTAGCCTCCTCGTTCAGGAGGCAGCCAAATTTAAGAATCGTTCTTTGCTCAGTTAAACTTTGTTAACTTTCATTTAAATTTAATTTACATTTAACCTGTCTAAAGTTTTTCTTTTAACATATGTGACAAGGTGCTCACCTTCAGTAGTAATAAGGGAAATACCAAGTGTGGATGAGGATGTGGACGGATGGGCACTTTGATAAACTGCTAATAGAAAAGTAAATTAGTACAGCCACTTTGGAAAACTGTTTGGTACTATTTAAATCAAGAATACACATTCTTATGATCCAGCAATTCTACTACTAGGTATGTATATGTACACAAGCAGGCCTTGTTTATCTAATCCTGTGTTAACTGAAACTTTTGCATATTGGAAATGTGTCCTCATTTCACACAGTTCCGTGACAACTAAGGTAACAGTGATAAATTACCACAGAATCTGCAAAGCGAGGACACAGTTCTGACATACACAATTTTATTTAACATGGCGCTGTGCCAAATGAGGATTGTGTGCATGCAAGTGGGAGTATATGAGTGTGTATATGCCTTCAAAAGAAACGTATGCATATGTGCACCAAGATAAAGGATAAGAAAACTAATTGCAATATTGCTTATAATACCCAAAATTTGTGAAAAAAATTAAATATTAATCAAAAGTAGAATAGGTGAGTAAATGTGTTATACAGAAAATGGAATATTATACAGCAGTGAACAAGACTGAGCTACAGCTAAACAATGAATCTTATCAGCATAATTTGAAAAAAGATGCAAAACGAAAGAAATCATATAATACAAATCAGTTTATAGAATTTTTTTTTTTTAAATGGAGTCTCACTCTGTTGCCCAGGCTGGAGTGCAGTGGCACGATCTTGGCTCACTGCAGCCTCCATCTCCTGGGTTCAAGCAATTCTCCTGCCTTAGCCTCCCAAGTAGCAGGGATTACAGGTGTGCACCACCACGCCTGACTAATTTTTGTATTTTTAGTAGAGATGGGGTTTCACTGTATCGTCCAGGCTGTCTCGAACTCCTGACCTCAAATGATCCACCTGCCTCCACCTCCCAAAGTGCTGGGATTATAGGTATGAGCCACCACCCCCACCCTAGAATTTTTTTTTTTTTTTTTTTTTTTTTTGAGACAGAGTCTCACTCTGTTGCCCAGGCTAACGTGCAGTCACATAATCAAAGCTCACTGCAGCCTTGACTTCCCAGGCTCAGGGGGTCCTTCCATCTCAGTCTCTCAAAGTGTTAGGATTACAGATGTTAACTTCCATGCCCGGCTAGTTTATATAAAATTTAAAAATAAACTTTGTTTAGGGATCATACATGGTGGTAAAACAATAAAGAAGAAGCCGAAAATGATATTCACAAGAGTTAGAATAATGGTTACTTCTGGGGAGAGAAGAATTGTCTTTGGAAATACACAAATATAGGAATTTCTATGTTTCTGAGTTGTTCTGTTTCTTGGCCTAGTTGTTATTTATACACTGTACTATAATGTGTGAATTATTTAATAATTTTTTTAAACCACAGAATCTCAAAATTTAAGATCTATTAAGTGCAACATAGGTCAGTCCTCCTATTCTGAGTCTAAATTAACAAAGGAACAGAAACCAGTGAATTCAGTGATTCTCAAACTTGAATGTTTACCCCAAACACTTGGGAGATATAAAAATACATTCCTGGTTCCACCGTGGAGATTTCAGTTCCATGGTTTTGTGGGTGGGATCCCGTAATCTAGGTTTTAAAAAAATTCCCTAGGTGACCTCGTTTATTTGTTATTGTTGTTTTTTGTTTGTTTGTTTGTTTGTTTGTTTGTGATGGAGTTTTGCTCTTGTTGCCCAGGCTGGAGTGCAATGGCACGATCTCGGCTCACTGCAACCTCCACCTCCTGGTTTCAAGCGATTCTCCTGTCTTGGTCTCCTGAGTAGCTGGGATTATAGGCATGTACCACCACGACGAGCTAATTTTTTGTATTTTTAGTAGAGACTGGGTTTCACCATGTTGGCCAGGCTGGTCTTGAGCTCCTGACCTCAGGTGATCCACCCTCCTCAGCCTCCCAAAGTGCTAGGATTACAGGCATGAGCCATCTTGCCTGGCCCCTAGGTGACTTTGAAGTGGCTCATAGCCTTTGGCCCTTGAAATAAAGGCTCATGACTGTACTTATAAATTTAAAAGGGCAAATGAAATAAATGCAACTGTTAAAAACCTTCCAGAAAAGATAATAACTTTTATTGTTATTTCAGGAAAAATTTTCAATATCAGACTTATGGATTTTTGGACAATGTTACCTTATTTCTCATGGCATAGGATAATACTTTGGACTTAAAGGGAGATGTTACTTTTTAAAATTTTGTAAATGCACACACACACACACACACAAATTTGCACAGTTTGTTCGTTTTCTACTGATTATTTCTTCTAATAAAGGGCCTATGCAGAAAATTGTAAATGTTATGTTTCTAAAGTTTTATTTGAAAGTAAGTTGGAAGGAAACCATTCCCTTTGAAATGAGGTTAGACAAGGTTGCTCCCTGTCACTATTCTAGTCAACATTGTATTTTAGATCCTAGCTTGCACAATGTCACAAGAAAATATATTGAAGGCATTAGGTTTGGAAAAGAGTGTATATAATTGTCATTATTATTGTCTACATAGAAAACACAAATGCCTTTATAGATAAATTACTTGGAAATAATAGGTGAATTCAGCAAGTTGACTGGATAGAATACTAATATAGAAAAGTCAATTGTACTAGTTAGTAGTACTGGGATTCGATATGATGAAAATGTAATATTTAGCAGATTTAGGGAGAAATATGTCCTGGCACAACAGTATTCTACGAAAAGACATTCTGTTTTATGGGTGTGTTTACCACTTAACCAATTACTGCAGAAGCCATAGTTCTCAAATCAACTGCCAGTGGAGATTAAAACCGGTTGGTATTCATCTATATCAGCAGACCAAGCGGATTTTTTTAAATATAGAACTTTATAAAGAACAGAAAAATGGATTGAGGATTCCACACTATGGAATAAGGCTATGTAAAAATGAGTCAGTTATGTTCAAGAAAAGTCATTATATGCATGTAACAAACCACAATTAACAGACAGCATTACTTGTACAACAACTTCTCGTTCCTTCTGATAGATTTCATGAAACATACAAGAATGGTAGGGTGAGACATCTCTGACTAAATCTCATTTATTTTGTTGATGTCTTCATCCAGGTTTTTGGCTCTCTACTGGTTTCTTTCTAGGTGTCTGGTACACATTTGCACAAGAATAGTCACCTCTTTACATCAAGCTAGATGAGAAGTATTAGGTTTTTGTAAAAATTTTAGTTGCAATTTCTTAGCCTTCAGACTTCAGTAGAAAGCCTGCATCATGCCCTTGCCCACATTCATACATTTGCGGATTTTAAGAAGAATTTCTGTCCTTCATTTCCTCCTGGAAAATGCCCCCAGCTGCTCCTTATTATAAGATAAATTGTTCGTTTATCTATTTGTGTAGGATTGCACCCTTCTCTTCTGACTCTTTGTTTAACTCCTCTCCCCATTTTTGGTGAGATAAAAGTTAACTTCTGGATTCCAAATAGTTCTGGTACCATGTGGAAAACTCCCCCAAACTGACAATGGCCCTGTGAGTTCATAGGATCCTCTATTCCATTCGGTCAAACTTCTTAGTAATGACATCATCTCATCATTTCATATGCCTACTGTTGAGTGGGTTGCAAAGCATTTGTTTTTAAAGTTGTTAGGTTCTTTCTAAATGGCTTTGATTAAATTTACCTGGCATTTTGAAAACAATAGAATGAAATATGTAGTGGCCACAAAAAAAATAAATGCCTAGGAAGAAGTTTAGAGTTGTGCAAAATCTATGAGGAGAAAACTTTAAATCACTGAGAGACAAAGGGAAAATTGAAAACTTGAAAGAGTGTATCTTGTTCTTGAATAGGAAGACTCATCATCCTAATGAGGTCAATTTTCCCTCAATCAATCTATAAATTTATCATAAGCCTGGAGAGTTTTAGAACTAAATAAACTGATTTTCATATTCATACACAAAATAACTGAAAAAATAGAACGTAACAATCTGAAGGAAAAGAATAATTGAAGGATATTAGCTATATTAGCCATATAAATCTACTGTAATTAAAACATGAAGGCATGAGACTATAAATAAACAAATAGATAATAGAATTGCCCAGAAACTGACACAGCAATCTATGTGGATTTAGGATGTGAAAAGCTGTCACTGTGTATCAATGAGAAAATACAATTTTTAAAATTAATAATGTGGGGCTTTTGCATAATTATCTGAGAAAAATATCACATTGGATTCTTATCCTTCTCCTTACATTAAAATAAATACAAAGTGGAAGCAAGATTAATGATAAATAGGGAAACAACAAAAATGCTAGAAAAGAATTTTCAACTAATCCTGGTTGGGGAAAGGCCTTTTTAAGCATGACACAAAACCCAGAAAACATGGATACATTTAATTACAAAACAACAAAATATTTCTGTTAACAATTTCTTGTACTTTGGTTGAAGAGTACAATAATGAGGGGTTTTTTTGTTTTTGTTTTTGTTTTTGAGACAGAGTCTCGCTTTGTCGCCCAGGCTGGAGTGCAGCAGCGCAATCTGGGCTCACTGCAAGCTCCGCTTCCTGGTTCACGCCATTCTCCGACCTTAGCCTCCCGAGTAGCTGGGACTACAGGCGCCCGCCACCATGCCCGGCTAATTTTGTTTTTCTTTTTTTTGTATTTTTAGTAGAGACGGGGTTTCACCATGTTAGCTAGGATGGTCTCGATCTCCTGACCTCGTGATCCACCCACCTCGGCCTCCCAAAGTGCTGGGATTACAGGCGTGAGCCACCACGCCTGGCCACAATGATGAGTTTTAATGTTCAAAAAGATTATCTGAATAAACATTTCTATACTTGTTAAAATAAAAATACAGATGCATAGAAAAGAGATTTTATTACTCTCTCAGGTACATACTGGCCATATGAACCCCAAGACCACTCTCTCAGTTTATATACTTAAGTTCTTGTTTAGTTTTTTTGTGTGTGTGTTTGTTTTAGACAAAGCGCCCAGAAAGAATAGGCTCTTAAGTGTTAGTATTGTAAACCCAAGCCCATTACTCAGGTCCTATAATATCATAACATGCTGTTACCCAGAAGGGAAATAGCATCCCTGAGTTTCATCGGAATGATGCTTTACTAAGCCTTGCAGAGTTTCTATAGTTATTAAGGAGAGGGAGAGTGAGAGCGAGAGAGAGAGAGAGCCAGAGAGAGAGAGAGCCAGAGAGAGAGAGAGGGCGCTCCTGGATACTTCCAGTCTGATGTCCCCTCATTCAGACATTCTGTAAGGTCTTCAGCCAATATTTATTGCATAGCTATTTTGGGTACATTGTGTTTAGATGTTGCTGGGCATGGGGATGATTGTCATGGTCCCTGCCCCCATAGAACCTACCGAACCTACAGACTTTGAGAAAGAGTGGATTTCTCTTTGAGTCAAAGACAAACATATAACTTGATACTTAATATACTTGATATGATGTTTAAGATCAGGGTGGTCTTCCCAAAAGATGACTGAGACCAAGAGATTTTTGTCAGTTATTTTTTGAAGAATTGGAAGTTGAAAGTGGCCTATCAATTCAGGTTTTGTTAAAATACATTCTTATTGACACGTTCCTAAATTCTGGACTTGATAATAGTTTTATGAGTCTGCTAAGGAAATTTTTAAATTCACTGCTTATTGTGGCAACAATAATGTATTTGATTAAGTAAACAGAGTGGCAAATTTAATCTTGAGTGACATGTGATTCACCGCTTCACCTATTTCTCTGGTAGTATTACTAAATAAGGAGAAAAAAATGATTAAGCCCATTTCTTTTTGGGCTCTAGGGTCTTTTAGCATCACATATCAGTTGGTTGTTATTTCACTAAATAAGCTGTTGATTACGGTTCATTAACTGAGGTACTCATAAATTAACATAAATGTGTACACCTGAGTTTTCTTTTTTAAATGAACTGCTATTTTTTTGCTTGTTGATAGATTGTCAACTGACTTTGCAAGGACCATTCAAATGTCTTTCTTAGTTCCTTGAAACCTATTTGCTTCCTCAGCAGCTTCTCCCTCCTGGAGCCTTGAAGTGCCCTAATAAGTGGTTCAAAGGTGAGCCAAGTACCGGGTAGCATTCTTTTCTTTCTTTTTTTTTTTTTTGAGATGGAGTCTCGCTCTGTCGCCCAGGCTGGAGTGCAGTGGCTCGATCTCCGCTCACCGCAAGCTCCGCCTCCTTGGTTCACGCCATTCTCCTGCCTCAGCCTACCGAGTAGCTGGGACTACGGGCACCAGCCACCACGCCCGGCTAATTTTTTGTATTTTTAGTAGAGACGGGGTTTCATCGTGTTAACCAGGATGGTTTCAATCTCCTGACCTCATGATCCGCGCGCCTCGGCCTCCCAAAGTGCTGGGATTACAGGCGTGAGCCACTGCACCCGGCCCCGGGTAGCATTTTTGAAGCAGAAAGCTGGCCTGATATGTGTCCTTCTGGTTTTCATGCAAATACATCAACCTTAGATCATAAAACTCAACCTGTAATAACAATCACTAGTATTTAATAAATTGCCAACTGGTTTGAAAACCTGTTCAAATATTTTGTAGCACCCACAAAAGCAGTTGTAATAAACTGCTTGGTTATAAAAATCATGTAACACATAATTATTGGCATTATCATGTTCATTTGTTCTCTCATTCTCTCTTTTTGGAAACAAAATTCTTGGTTTGAAAAACAACTTTCCAGTGGCATTTCCTCTTCTGAATTGTGACGTGAATTTTAAGTAAAAAATAAACTTGGGCCGTGATAAAAATGAAATTGGACCTTTTTAAAAATAAGAGATCCCAAAGTATAATTTTAAATGAGTCACTGCTGATTAATATAATAATAATTTTCATAGGGAATTTATTGCAATGTGTATAGAAAAGCCACTATGGAAACTCATAAAAATGCTATGGTTTGTCAAGGTTTTAGATTAATTTTTTGCAAGAAAAATAACTTTGAAACTATAAACATGCGCCTGAGTTTGGCATAGGGAATTTTGGACTTTAAAAGAAGGCATTAAGGTCCTGGCTTATTTCTGCTGGCCAGGACTTTACTTTCTAATGCCCTGAAACATACTGAGTTCCTGTGCTTTGAATCCTATTAGAAATGGATATTTCAGCACCCACCAAGACTCCTGCCCTTGTGCCTGTCCATGTAATGGGTATTTTGTTTTTAAATCCTGAGGTGAGTAGGGAATCTATGTTGGTCCATGAGCCAGGGTCAACAATTTCATCAGCCCAGCCAAGTATTAAAAACATGTAGGAAAAATAAAGAGCCCCCAGTTTCAATGAAGCTTTAAACAAAGTTGGCTCGTTATCCATTCAATGGGAATTCTGTTGCATAAGAAGGGGCTATGCCTTTCTGACAGTCGCTGATCTCGGGAAGCCATGTACCACTGACAAGTCACTGCCAGGGATCCTTACCACAGTCTACCTCAGCATGCCTCTGTTCAGTGTCTCGACATCTGGGAACAATAGGTAAGTTATTTTTTTGACCCTTTCCTGTAAAAACTAGATTAAAATCTCAGGCCATTTTGGATAGGATGAAGGTTAGGATCAGATCAGTGGCAATTGTGTGCCCATGATGAAGAGGGAAATCTATATGAAGGCAAGCTCTATGTTTGCCTTGTAAAGTCCACCAATCAAAGACCAAAGGGAGATTTCACCAATGGGACCCAAGAGCTACCAGGTGCAGGGAAAAGTGTGAAAAACACCTAACACCTCTTAAAAGGTTTTCAAATTAATTTCAGCTGTGAAACCGTCTGAGCTCACATTATGTAATTTCTCTTGCTGTGGGGTTGCAACCATTATATATCTTAATTATGTAGGAGGAAGTTAAACCACAAAGGAAGAGTGATTTACCAAAGATTTGGGAGAAAGTCTAATTGGATCTTTAGTTAGACATGGCTACTTTCTCTTTTTCCAGAAGTTATCTTTTGGCTTTTTCTGGAGTCACATGAACTGCCTGGGTAAGGAATTATGTTTTAACTCTGAACAAGAGCAGGTACCATCACCCCACAGTTTGCCAGAAGGAGCCTAATGTGTCAGATGAAGATTTGAGTGATAAACACGTACAGACAATGGGGTGCAGAGAAAGGAAATGCATGTGAAAGGAGATAATAATATGGTGCTCCTGTAGATACCTTATGTCGTGGGCTTCCCAACACCCATACTCCCATTCATCCTTCCTTCAGATGATTAGTCTAAATTAGTAATTTATCCCCCTGGATAGTGATTGGTTCTGGAATTGTCAGGCCTAAGCTACCCAGAGAAAATGAAATATAAAGAGAGTTCAGGATAACTTTAAAAATCTAAGAGAGGGAAAGAAAACATATACAAATATATGTGAGTTTGTATATATATGTATATACATAGATGTGTGTATAACACAAATGTATATGCATGTATATAGGTACATACACATGCATATATGTATATATACACATGTATGTGTATGCATATGTATATACACATGTGTATATATGTATGTATACATGTATGCACATATATGTGTGTGTGTATATATATGTACACACATATATATGTATGTGACACTATAGTCACAGAAGGACACCAAAACACAGCTTCAAAGTGGTGGGAATGGGGAGAAAATGCCTTAAACACTGTTCGTTTCCTCATCTCCACCTCTGCCTCACCATGTCCAGATGTGAACAAGGAGACATGCTTTCTTAATTGCTACTGGTAAACCAGCCTTGGAATCATGTTGACCTTATTGAGATGGATAGAGCAGGGAGATACAAATACTTAGATCCCCTTGATGACATTGGAGAGCTACTATATCAATTCTCCCTGAAACCTTAACATCTGGTCTCCCTATAATGTGAGTTAATACATTTCCTTGTTATATAAGTCAGTTTGAGTCGAGTTTCTCTACTTGCAATAGAAATCCTAATCAATATAGGCAACATTTCTTAACCTTCACATCATGTTGTTTTTTCGGGTCTGTGTACTGGTCACTCACCTCCCCAACATATCATATCTTATCTCTGCCCTTCTCTGTTCCCAGAAGCTTGACGACTTTGGATTGCATTGCCTGGGTTCCAGTGGGAAGCAGCAGTATAAGGTGGGGGACAGATAAAGAGTGTGAGGCATTTCTTCTCCATTCCCGCCAGCTTGGAGGCTGCCTTGCTGTTGGCAGCTGTGCCCTTGCATGACTACAGCTCCTACAGGGTGGCCCTTCCTCCTTGGCCCCAGGAACACCCTTTCCTGCACTTGTCCCTTCTGCCCAAGGGGTGCTAATGGCTTCTTTCTGTTGCCTGCCTTTGGCTGCTCCAACATCTCTTGTTCCTTCCTTTAACTTTGTCTATACTTCTGGAAGTGACTTTTTTATTAAAGTCTCTTCATGCAAACCATCTGTGGGGAATTCTATTTTCTTCCAGGACTTTGACTGATGCTGTCTGCCTTCTGCCTCACTTTCTGGCTTTCATTTGTTTAAAGTTATAAAATTGTCCAACCTTGAACTATAAGTAAAGCTACTTGGGGCAGATATTGGAATTTGGTGAAGATTTAAAGGCTTTTTCCTTTTGCATATTGATTGCCTTTGAATGAGTGAGGGAAAGGCAAGTTTTTTCTATAAATATGTTAGGCTTCCTGGGCCATGCGGTTTCTGTTGCAACTATCAACTCTGCCATCTTTAAATGAATGGGTGTGGATGCATTCTAATAAAACTTTATTTACAAACAGGTAGTGTGCCAGACTTGGTGCCTGGGCCACAGTTTGCTGATGTCTGAGTTCATTCATTTTGTTCATGACCCTGGAATGTGGAAACAGGATTTTAGCCTCCTAGACAGTTTCAGAAGAAAATGCATTGTGAGGCATGTTTTTTGATTACAAGGTGACTCCTGCATATGATAAAGGCATTCTGAGAAGATGCATTTTATGTTAGACATACCACAAAATAATAATTTTCTGTGTCTACCAACAAGAGCCAAGCACAAATACAGCAATCCCCGGGATTGGGCCCCTCACTCTTGGCCAGGACTTCCAAACTCCCCTCTGGAGCCTGAGGTAGATTCATAGGTCTGGGGACAGGCACTGGATTTTAGAAGCCACTTTCTGCTGCCTACTCTTTATGTCAAGCAAGGACAGGAAATGAGGCATTCTCCCAGGGTGGCTCCTGAGTCTGGAGGAAAGTCTGGGTTGGTAAGCAGCACAGAGATCTGCTGAAATGCCATGTCTTCCCAGGAGCTTTTTGGATTTTCAAGGTCAAGCGTCCCTCTTCCTTTGTGTGTTTTTCCCTAGGGGTTTCTTTATAGCTGCCTTGGAGTTGTTATTACACCTTGGGTATGGTAAGTTGGCAGTGCTCACGGTTGCCTTTGGCTACCAGTTAGTCAGGGCTTGGGGTCAGACACAGACTTAACTCATCTTTGTGTGTGCCATGACACTGAGCACCATGCCTTCTACATGGTGGGTACTCACCACTTAATTAATAGAGCTGAATTTAATTTCTAAATAATTTCTAGGCATACCTTTAACATTTCAGGGCTGGGAGAAGAGCATCATTGAAGGCCCATAGACTACATGCCAAAATATTTAATTTACTCCGCCTGCCTTGCGTTCTTACCCATGGCCCTATAGCCTACTCATTGGGAGTCACTCATGTGATCTGGGGGCAATGCCTTCCCCTGGGCCAGCCCTGTTATCCTCAGCCTAGGGGGTTGCACAGCCTCCCAGGACACAGTAGGGTGGAAACTGTGTCCTAGCTCAGGATTTCTGGGCTGTCCTGGGTAACCTGGGATGACCAGTGATTCAGCTTCCTAGGGAGACAGATGGAGATGGAGACCTTTTCCTTATGCCTCACTTGTCTGACTCAGCATTTCTGGGTAGTTCTAAGGGCCTCCTAGAACCACATCACTTAAGTAGAAGGAAAGAATACAGATATCTGAGGAACTGGTCTGCTAGACATCTACTGTGGACAATGGGGGACAACCAGCCTAAAGACAAGCAGGCACTCTTTCTCTGCTCTCCTAGGGCAGAGGTGGCAATCATATCCCTCCCCAAAGCTCCCCTCCCCCCAGCTGTCAATCATTCTTACCCTTGCTTTCTCTGGCCTAGGGGTTCTGTTCAGCTCACACTGTCTGCTTCTGTAATCCTGGTTCATTCAAGTATTTTCTGAGATTTCTAAAATTTTTTGGCCCAGAGAAGAAAAATCAAGCATCTTTTGTGGCAGAGTTTGTGAGATCTGGGTTCCCGGGGCCAGACCCCTCTTAACCGGATCCAAAGGCAGGATCAGAACCCAGAAACTGCACCTGGAAGATATTATGTGTGTCTTCCCAATGAATCTGCCCATGGAACCATTCATTCTTGTTGAAACTTTCTGCTATGGTTGGTGTCTACCAGCGTTCAGATGTTCCTGCAGAGCTTGCTAAAATACTGCTGCTGGATTGCACCTCCAGAATTTCTCATTCTGTGGTCTAAGATGAAACCTGGAAATTCACATGTCTGACAAGTTCCCAGGTGATGCTACTTCTCTGGGGTCCACATTTGAGAACCACTGGCATCTATGATTGAACAGTCAGCGGAGCCCCCCAAAATAGACATGATTCTCATAATTCTACAGACATGCAATGGGTTACCCTCGCTGGCACTGGCCCTAAGATATTGTTAGAAACTTGATCTTTAGTAGCTGGGAAAGGAAGGAAAACATTTAAAGCTGCAAGCAATTTCCAGTCTCTAAGGGTGGGGACATGAATTTACCTCAGAGGCAAATTGTTGTTTTTGGTCTGGGAAAACCACTTGAGTCTGCCATTTATTTACAGAAATGTAAATCAAATATTCACCCACTGTTCTAGAGGGAAATGTGAAGTCAATATTAACCCGAACACAGATGTTTTAGACCGAGAAGTTAAGTGTTCTATTTGATAACATAAATTTTGGGGAAGGAATGAGCCAAACTTCTGTCTGGGAGACATAGTTGTCTGCGAGGGAGGGGGGTGCATGTTCCGGCATTTCTAGGCCTGTCTGACTTTCAGGGCCCTTTGCTGTTAGCTGTTGCCTATTCTTGTAGCTTTGTGTGTGCATCTCTCTGTGTGGAGTTGTTTTCTAGAACTCCAGAGCTGAGGCCTGCGGACTGAGGAAGGAAGGACATCCCCAAAACAGCAGCTCAGCCAGGCAGTTGGTATGTCCCCCACACAGTGATATCTGTCAGAATAACTCATCACGTAAGGAGGCTTAAATATTATTTTCTGATGTAGTTTTTCTTCTGGTGGATTTGCTTTAGTGGAGAGAAATTTTCTCACCGTCAGTCTAACTGGGAATAGGCTGATGTTCAGCTGTGAAAAATAAGGAGGGAAGGGAGGGTACTCCGAGTAAGAGAAGAAACTTTCCTTTCAGGGCCTGAGGGCAGCTGGGGACAGTGAGTCCCTTAGAGGTCCATGTGATGGAGGAGGGGAAGCAGCATGAACAGGAAGCCAGCCTGGGGGAATCACACAGACTGAGCGACAGGGTCCTGAAAGACAGGCCGGGGACCCTGAAACTCACCACTTCCAGTCCAAGGCTACACTCTCCTCTCATAACTAAGTTTTTGGTGAAATGTTTAAAGTCAGAGTTTAGTCTCTGTTGTGACATGAGGATTTTAGGGAAGAATGTCTTACCGGCTTAGAACTAAGTGGCCGAGGAGAGGACAGGGCTCATGTCCAAGGCCAGTTCTCAAGGAGAGTGCCCTTCCTGCAGTATGAGGGTCTCCCAAGGATTATTGCAGCTGTCGAGCAGAGAAACACAAGGGGATGGGCCATGCATAGAACCACACCCCTGGAGGTGGTGAGGATGAGCAAATGCCCCATGGGCAAGTTGGAGTTCAAGACAACCATGATTTTGAAGTCGTGATATGATGAAACTGGATATTTGGGTCACGAGTGGAGTATAGTTGGCTGGTTTGGTTAAACACGAGAGACGATTTGGCATTGTATGTGAACAGCCATCTTAAAGATATGATACAAGTGGAAAGAGTTCCTCTTCTTTATAGGATAAGGTAATTCATGTCTTCATGACAAGTGAATACATCCAAAGCTACATCTGCAAAATAACTCTATCTGTCAATCTTAAATAAGAAATTAAGTTTGATTGTATGAGCTTCCAAAACTCCCTCTAATTAGGCAACCTGATTTCCATCAGCTCTATTAATCTCCCATGGCACATATACAAAAACCCTAAACATAGAAGGAAATAAAACCAAGTTAGAGCAACATAAAAGGTTGAGTAGGTGCAGGAGGTCACTACAGAAAATCAATTCTCCTGTAATTTACTTGAGAGATCCAAAAATAACAATCAAATATCAATTTGGGAACAGATCCTTCCCTGCTGTATCATGGCTCCCAGTGACCAGTAGACTGACCAAGGCTATCCAGAAGGTAGGACATCTTGGCTTAGCCAAAGTAAGCATACTTGTGCAGAAAACCAAAGCAATTTGAGAAGAAGAAGCAAACATGTAACACATGCTGATTCAGTGAAAAGGCAAATTTGTGTCTAGCACATCAAAGAGTTGGATCAAGGACAGCACAGTGCAGACACCAGAGCTTTGGTGGTGACCACCAACAATTGGGAGGAAAATGGCTTATGTGGAAAACAGTCATTTAATGCTTAACAAGAGGTGGAAGTCTATTTTCTCTCTCTCTCTCTCTCTGTCTCTCTGTCTTTGATTTCCTCCTTCCCTCCTTCCCTCCCTCCTTCCCTCCCTCCTTCCCTCCCTCCTTCCCTCCCTCCTTCCCTCCCTCCCTTCCTTCCTCCCTTCCTCCCTTCCTCCCTTCCTTCCTTTCACAGCATTTTGCTCTGTAGCCCAGGCTGGAGTGCAGTGGTGCAATCATGGCTCACTATAGCCTCAATCTCCTTGGTTCAAGTGATCCTTCCCCCTTGGCCTCCTGAGCCGCTGGGACTGCAGGCATGCACCACTATGCCTGGCTAATTTTTAAAAATTTATTCTAGAGATGGTGTCTCCCTATGTTGCCCAGGCTGGCCTCAAACTCCTGGTCTCAAGCAATCCTTCTGTGTAGGCCTCCCAAAGTGTTGGAATTATAGGTATGTACCACCATGCTTAGTCTATAATCTGTTTTCTATTCAAGGAGTTTTGTGTATCCACTGGCTTCTTCATCATAACAATCTTAAAACAAATGAGGGTAAATGACACCACTATTTTAAGGAGTATGGAAGCTATTATTTTCTGTAATAATTACTCTTCACTCTAGGAATTATAGTAGCATTACATATGAAGCTTCATATGACTAAGTCCGGATCTCATGCACAGAACAGTTTACAAGGTTTATTGAGTTGCTTCTTATAGTATACTAATGTCTTACTAATACTATAGCATTAGTAATTATACTAAAGCTATAGTATTCTTAATGTCTGCTTATAAAAACTATTCCTGGCTGGGTGCAGTGGGTCACACCTGTAATCCCAGCACCTTGGGAGGCCAATGTGGGAGGATCTTTTGAGGTCAGCAGTTTAAGACCAACCTGGGCAATGTAGCGAGATCCAATCTCTTCAAAAACTTTAAAAAATTAGCTGAGTGTGTTGGTGCATGCCTGTCCCTGTGATTCAGGAGGCAGGGGTCGGGGGACCCCTTGAGCCCAGAAGTTTCAGGCTGCAGTGAGCTACACTTGCACCAGCCACTTCATTCCAGCCTGGGCAACAGAGTGAGACCTTGTCTCCAAAGAATAATTAATTAATTAAAAACATTTTTTCAAAAAATTTTTTAGACTGCGAAACAGTGTTTTAAAAAATTGCTTTAGCTCCTTAATGTGAAAAATAGAAAAACATTATATTATCTACTTAGGATATTTTAGGAACTAATTCGCATTGGACAGTATTTCTTGACTGAACAGTTTTTCCCTGCTTGCATAATTTCCTTGGGAAAATCTACTGGCGTGTAATTATCTTTCGACCACATTTTTCTAGCGGAGATTTCAGGGAGTTTTACCAATATTTTCCGATTCATCTCCTGGGCCTCCCTGTGCAGTAGGGATTATTCCTCTTCTTGAGCAATGGAGACAGTGAAGAACACACAAGTGAAGTGGTTGGCCCAGGCTCGCATGGTGAGTCAACCTGGAGTCAGGCACTGCTTGGGCTCAGGACTCCCAACCCAGGCTTATTGCCTATGCCAGCAAGACTGTTTCAGCTCTGGTGGCCATGGGCCATTCATGCTGTTGAGCCATTGTAGGTGTCAATGTTCTCTATGGGAAAGCTACTGTTGCTGTAACACCAAAGAGTGGCATGTTGTAGAAGTTCAGGAACACTTGGCTGGGCGCGGTGGTTCACGCCTGTAATCCCAGGGCTTTGGGAGGCTGAGGCAGGTGAATCACAAGGTCAGGAGTTCGAGACCAGCCTGGCCAACGTGGTGAAATCCCGTCTCTACTAAAAATACAAAAATTAGCTGGGCATGGTGGCGGGCACCTGTAATCCCAGCTAGTCGGGAGGCTGAGGCAGGAGAATCACTTGAACCTGGGAGACAGAGGTTGCAGTGAGCCAAGATTGCACCACTGCACCCTGGGCAACAGGGCGAGACTCTGTCTTAAACAAAAAAAAGAAAAAAGAAAAAGAAGAAGAAGTTCAGGAACACTCAAGAATTGAGGACAATGGAGCCTGTAGGACATTAGGCTTTGAGGATGATGGAGCCTGTAGGACATTAGGCTTCACTGGAACCTTTTGAACCAAGTTTTTGTCACACCCATTGTGCACTGCAAATGTGCTCTCCTTAGTTTGTAAGACCTTTGTATGCCAAAGGCTATCAAATAGTTGATTAGTTCACCCTTCATGCATCAGAATAGTTGTTCTGCAAGGCCCATTTTGATGCCAAAGCATTTGGGGTGACTTTTTAAAGCACGTTTTGAAAGACTTTTCCTTTCAAACTGTGAAAGTGACTAAACTGTTTTTTTAGAAAATATGAATGCAATTTGAATTCTAAATCAAGTCGACACAGATAATTCATTAAGTTTATACAGACACTCATGTTGAATACAGTTATCATGTGTTTGGCGATTTGATCTTCTATGGTATTAACCGAAACATTAGCTGTTTAATAATCTGAAAAGAACGTAGCCAAAAAGGGTGCCCAGGAACCTCAAAGTTGTATGGCCAATTTAATACCTTTCTAGAAGCGGCTACTGTGCACTTGCCTTTCAAGGTGCTGCACCCTGTGTTTGGAAGAATATAAAGCATGGTCTTTGCTTTCAGGGAGTTTACCTTTGAATGAGGGAGAAAGAAACTCACATAAAGGTAACAAAAGCTGTACTAGGTACAAAGTACTATAAAAGTATAGAGGCGGGAGAAATCATTGTATGGGAGAGAAGAAAGGCTTCCTGGTTCAGACTGCCTTTGAGCTGCCCCATGGTTGGAAGGCAACACTGGGAGAAGAGGGCCGGGGACTTATTCATGGGGGCAGCAGGAAACCGGAGTTAGTTCAGAAAACAGAGACTGGTCGGATGAGACCCAAGCCCTCGTTTTCCATCTTAGTAGCACTCCCCCAAAATGCTTATAAAGCATTAAGCAGAGATAATCAATCACAATGTACCAGCTATAAAGATCTGTGTGGTCTTTTTACTGCCCCCACATTACAATGAATGGATCAAAGAGCTTGCTACATGGCATTACAAAGGACAGACTGGCTGGCTGAAATTTAGAGCATGATGACCCCTCAGGCCCCTGGACACCAGTTGGCATTTAGGCGACTGGTGGTATGCTCTTGATCTCTACACCATGCCCCTGGATCCGAGTTTGCTTGCGGGTCTAAGAATTTGCCTTTGCCCCTGTATCTGGGAGTATTTTGTTAGTGTATAATGAAAGACTAACTATCAGTTTGTCTGGGATATTTGCTATCCCTGACCAGTATATTCTCTCTCCTGGTATGGATTTATTAATTGACTGTAGAGGATTTGTCATTATGGTGAATGAAATGTTTGTTAGTCAAAGGCTGTGCCTCCCCATAGGTACACAACACTTTCCATTGAGTGCTAGGAAAAAAATACTGGAAATTTCTGTTTCCATTTTAATGTAAAAATAAGAAAGAAGTAAAGCTTCGCTAACATATAATGGACAATCTCAGGGGTGTACAAGTCAGAGATTCTCATGTCACCTCTCCATGTTGGGTGGGAGGACAGAGATAGTCAAGGCATGACCCCATTGCTCTCATTGAGACTTGTTGCAGTTTACGTAAGTTACTTTACATGTTATGTGTCTATAATGTTGTTACCTCACATTATTATATTATATTATGTTATCAAGTTTAGGCTAAACAAAATGCACAAACAGCTTTTAAAAAATCCTGGAAAAAACTAATGAACAGAGGGTACTTCTAATAATGCAAGCCAAGTGGAAAGTATGAAAAAGGGTGGAGCAATCACCTTTGCTCAAGTCCTTCTGCCACACAATAAAGGTAAAAACACAACAGTCAATTCTGATCTAAGAAATTAGCCACAAAAATATACACTATATATAATTATATACACTAGGCCGGGCATGGTGGCTCATGCCTGTAATCCAATGACTTTGGGAGGCTGAGGTGGGTGGATCACTTGAGGTCAGGAATTCAAAACCAGCCTGGCCAACATGGCAAAACACCATCTCTACTACAAATACAAAAATTAGCCAGGCATGGTAGCACGTGCCTGTAATCCCAGCTACTTGGGAGGTTGAGGCAGGAGGATCATTGAACACAGGAGATGGAGGTTGCAATGAGCCCAGATCATGCCTTTGCACTCCAGCCTAGGCAACAGAGAGAGAGAGATCCTGTTTCAAAAAAAAATTATTATTATTATAATTATATACACTAAATATAATTACTAAAAAACCCTTTAGATAGGGATTTACAAGACCCATTGCTAAGGATGATCTGGCTCTAAGAGTATGTTGTGCCCTAAGATATCAGCTAATAATAGTAAGTAAGCATAATTTATAAATAAATATACACTTATAAGGACATAGGCTTAAATTTTGGGGATCATGGAGCAAGAGCATCTCCTTCTGTGTGTCAGGTATCTAATAAGATGGACTGTACCCTGGTGAGCATGATGTCATGGATATAGCGACACCTGTCTCTGTCTTTCTTCTCTATAGCAAACCACCCCACGGGCCTCTTCTCTGGGTCAACACTGCCAGATTCTAGTATTTTAGATTCCCTTTCCTAGAGTTCATGTTGAGCATCAGGATTCCGTGTTGCACTCTGTCTTTACTATCTTAGTCACACTCTGATTGTTCTGCTTTAGATCTAAAATACCTTTGGATTGTAAATAATACTTTGACAGATACAGGTTTAATCTATTATGTTTTGATTTTGCTGAGGTCTAAATAAGAGGGGACACTGTCACATGCCCCTCAAAGGGCACCTTCATTTATGTTTAATGAAGAACACCTCCAATAAAGATATTGGACAAACTAGAATGGAGAAATGGCTTCCTTTCCAAATTGGCTTTTCTCCAAACTATGGGATTCCATTTATATCGTAAGAACAAGTGACACGAACATGAAAGATGACGCATTGTAGTTTTACTAAAAGATGGTACAGGGTGACCTACCTCTAAAGTAAAGAGGATATAGATGTGTTTTCTTACTTCCTCAATGGAATTGTTGGGGCAAGTGGTTACAATTGAGTGACTTGTCCATAGGTGAGTCAGTCCTAATGGCTAATTTATACTATTGCAGAGTCTTTGTTTCTCTCTAGAATCCTTGGGAGGATTACAAACACTTAGCACTGCAAACACAAATATTCATTTTATGTGTCATAAATACTTATGATATTTTAATTGCTTTAAATCTCTTCTCTCTTTTCAGCCAAGGGCACTACCAACTCCTGGGGTTTAAAAAAGTCTTCTGATAACTTTAATGTGCTTTGTTATGTATTAACTTTGTAATGTAACCATCCAACTAGCACCAGAAAATAATAAAACAGCCAGACTATAGGAATTAGCTCATTTTTCCCAGGTTAGAAGTAAAAAGTCATACTGCAAGGTCAAGCTATCAATGAGATGGTGCAAACTAGAGAAGGTTAAGAGTGAGTAGTTAACAGTAAATAGGGAAAGCAATTAATGAAATAATGAAATCAAACCAAAGGTGAAATCAGTTTGTAAACCAATGCAAAGTGAGTTTTATTGTTTCCTGTACTGGATCTGAATGAGTTAATCTAGTTTACCAAGCCCGTTAATCTTTAGGAAGTAATGGATACCCTAAGAGAACATGGCTCACTGTCCCTCTGCACTTTGTGTCACCCTATAAGAATGCTAACATTCTTTTTGGTGCCTTGCTTGTCCACATTATGTAATGTTGCCTTTTCCCCTTAAATGTATTTGGCTTTTAAAGTCTCTAAAACTCTAGTTGGGAAGGTTAGCTAGTGGAGTCTCTGTCCACATACTTCTCAGGGCTTTCATCCAACCCTTGCCCTTCTGCAGGGTATAGCCAGTCCTAATTGCAGCCAGCCCAGCAACTCAGAAACCAGTTTAGGGGCCAGAGCCCTGCCTCTGGCAAGACTTGGAGGCCTGAGCCCCTTAGCATAATAAATATTTCTTTTTAAGTACTGTAAGTATCATAACAACAAGGCCAAATAGGTCCCCACGGGTAGCCTGCTAGCTCTCCATCACAGAGCAATGGGGCCAGGAAAGTGTCTTACCATACATTGGAGGAGGTTTCCTTCCATGGACAAGTAAAGAAAAGTGCAGAAAGAAGACTGAGTGGAAGTGACTAGATATTTTGGCAGGATTGAGGAGTGGTTTTTGCTTTTTTGGTTTTTTTTTTTTTTTTGGCTGTTAATGGAATTAGAATTGTTTTTCACATTATTGTTATAAGCAAGGTCAGCCATCAAAAGACCGAATGCAGCAGTATAGAATTCAAAAGAATGATCAAGCACCTGCCACGTGCCCATCCCAAATACAGGAGCCGGCAATCAAAGTGGGCACCAAGGGGCAGTTCTTAATGTCACCTGGCTAGAGGCCTCCACCTGCTTTAAACTGTATTGAAATGCTTGGAAAGATTCACTTTTCCTTTTTTTAAAATAAGAGAATCGAGGTGGGAGTGTTTGGGGGGTGTGTGCGTGTGCCGGGGCATATGCCTGTGCTCATGAATACACCCTCGTCTTTGCCAGTAGTGTGTTTGTCATCAAACTTGAAAGAAGTGCAAGTTTTAGCTGGAGGGAAAGCTTTTTATAGCAGAGTTACAAATCATTTCAAGGAGTGCTTTCCAGTTAAGAGCTGACAGCTCCTGCATGAAGTGACCACGCCAGGCGTGCCATTCAAGGAAGCTTGGAGACCAGTTTCATTTGTCATCTAAAGTGGAAGTGATGTGATATGTTCTTGGGGAAGCCATGTGAGCAAGCAAGAGGTAGTGTTTCTGTAATTTTCACTGTCTTTGGATGAAACCAGAAGGAGGTGTTAGTATGATATAATATATAATATTGAGGCTGAAGTGATTAAGCAGTTGTATGTGGAGCTACTGTTTAGGGCATAGTGGAAATGAAAATGATGTTTATTGTTGCACAGAAGGTGTCTGGCCACCAAGTTTCTGTTCAGTCAATGATCTATGTGCTGTTAGGACCCCCAGCCATAAGTTGTTTCCTCTGTGTGGCATACTTTGTAACTTTTTCCTGTCATATAATGAGAACTCCTAGCCCAGAGAGAGAAATCAGACACAGATCTCTTAAGCCGGAGATGGAAATCTATGGTACAGCAGAGTTAAAGCTAAAATTGAGAAAGTATAATAGAGGTCAACGAAGACACTCCTGAAAGTCCATTGAGAAAGATTCCTGTTTAAGTAAGAGATTAAGTCATCTAGTCTCTGAAGAAAGAAGGGACCTTTCAGTACACCAGACCCAAGGGTCATGAATAATAGAGGACACACCATGTCTAGACTAGATAAGAACTCATCTTGAATCCCCACTTTTAGCACCAGTTCCTGAGTGCAAAGGAGCTGGAGGCTGATATCAGAAACCACTGTGTTTCCATTCAAGTTCATTGGCTGTAACTATGTAAGCCTTGACTGTATGGAAGTCAGAATCCTGAAAAAATAGTTGTTTCTTATTTTTTAAAAAACACTTAAAATAATTGTTAAAATAACAAAAATATAGCGGTTGCCAAAAACATGTTGTCTTTATTGTTGTATCAATAACTTTTTATGGAAAATTGAATATTCAAAGGAGCTTATTTGTAGGAAAAACAAGTCATAAACAGCATTGGTTATAGGCAGAGACAGTTCCAGCAAGAAGGATTTGAATGCTGTTCTCCATCCCTTACTATAATTTCTTGCTGAGGAAGCCTCTATTATATTCAGGGATAGCCCAGGCTTGTCCTTCCATGGGACTTTGCCGTCATATCCTGCTCTTCCTCGGCTTTCTCTAGGGTGAAGCACAGGCCAAGGTCAGTTGTTTGTTTTCAGTGTAGCTGAGAACCTTCATTCTAATTGGAACTGTGATTTTCTCTTGCTTCTTTTCAACTGCGGCAATGTTAACTGATGCTTTCCTTGCTTAATTTCACTTACGTGTTAAAAAGTTAAAAAAAAAATCACTGGGAATATATACGCATTTAGACAGTAAAAATCTCAGAAATTATTGCATTCATATTTTTGAAAAACATTACTTTCTTCCTTGCTTTATTCTGTTATGTATGTATTTTAACATGCAATATATATATATCTATTTAATTTGCACATAGCTTTAATGTATCCATATACATCTTGAATAATTAAGGAATGGGTATGATTCTCATGACAGAGTTTAGGGTCTATGTCCTAAGTTTTATCATATGCAAATACCTGAATCAGTAGACTTTCACTGATCATCCCAGCCAAAATCTTATTGTACAAAACAGGCAAAACCAAATAAGCAGCATCCTGTGTAGCCCTCTGCCTTAGTGAGGCTTATTTCTGTCTGGGAATGCAACATGCTATAATGGCTTCACCAGATGGGACACTTCACACTGTCAGCACCCCCTTCCACCCCAATATGCCACTGTGTAGGAGAGAAAGCCTTTCAGTGGATGAGGATAAAATGAGGACAGTGTCCTTTTTGAATTAAAAATATAGCACTCATGAAAACCACAGGAAGAAAGTTTAGTTCAATAATTTGAAAGTGAGGGTGAATTTAGGTGCCTCATTAATTACCAGAAGCAGAATCTGGGACACCCTGGTTATTTCCTTTCCTCATCCTAAAGCAAAGTGGCTTATACTCTCACCACACTGCTCTCTTTCTACCACCTGCTCTGTTAATTTCACTGACTTACACTTTTGGAAAATTAAAATCCAAATCAAAGCTCTTGTTATTAAAGTCTCACGATTCGCCATGCAAGCCTGTCATGGCAATGCCCACGAATGGCCCACACAGCGCCAAAGCCGTTCATTTCCTTCCCATGTTCCCCTTTCTCTGACAAAGAATGCTAACTCTGTAAATAAATGAAGGCAGGCAGCATTTAGGCCCAGGACTGCTGTCCTTTTTTAACATTTAGCGACATGGAATTTAAAATACTTGTTGATGGCAAAGATTGAGACAGAGCCACCTTTTCCCTACCGCACAGTCCCTTTCCACCACCCAATGTCGCTGCCTCAATAATTGTATTTTTTTTCTTTTTGTTAAATCTGTTTTTAACCTCCATCCCCTTACTGTATTCTTTTTTGTCTGTGCTTTTCGTGGTATTTAAATACAATCACTGCTGAGTTCATCTTCCCCTAAAGCAATCCTTCTTTTTAGCTATTGGCCAAAATGAGGGCTGGGACTACCTGGGGGTACTGCTCAGATGTTCAACACATGTAGGGGCTGCAAAAAGCATTTCCTCAATGCATTTCCTTTATGTTAATGCACTTCAAACTCTAATAATAACATTTCATTTAGGGGAAAAGTAAATTGTTCTCTGTCAATGAGGCAGATCATTACTTTTCCATTTGCTGTCGTGGATATGTGTGCTGTCTCTTCATAACTTACATGCTACGAACACACCAATCAATGAGAGGCGACGTGAGTTATTTTTCTAATAAACAGCACACAATATTGTGCTGATCCAGGGACGGTACGTCACCCAAACCCCCAATGACCAATAACACAAATTTGTAAAGTTCCCTGCTGCTTTAGAAATATGGTTTATAATCTCTCTTTTCCTCTGTGAAACCAAATTATTTATTTCAGTTGAACTCCTAGGCATTTCATGTTTAGACTCTTTGTGAAGAAGCAGCAAAACATTGTGGTTAAGAATTTGGGTTTGGAGTCGGAAAGGTCTAGATGAGCATCCAGGCTCTGTTGTGACCAGCCAAGTGGCCTTCTGTACCCTATATGTTCTCTTGGAGTCTCAGTGTCCCCTTCTGAAAGTGAAGATTGACAATCAAACCTGCCTGACAGAAGTTGTCTTTTAGAATATTGAATTAGGTAACAAAGACTATATAAGTTGTGTAGTGCTTGGCACCTAATCAGGACTCTTCAAAAGGTAACTTCTTACTATAGTTGGTGTGATTTAATCTTAGGGCATGGTGGGCAGGATCCATCTACAGAGGATGTAGGATGTAGTCACCCACTTAACATTATGATAACCTCCTGCGAATATTTCATCTCCACTCCTGGGCTTCTGTGACACCACGCCGTTGGCTATTCCCCTACTTCTCTGGACTCAGTGCCACATCTTCCTCTCCCGGCTGTTAAATGACATCTTTGAAGCATCTTCTACCTTTTCCACTAAACCAACCCACAGTCGAACCCTGTGGACCTGTCCTCTGAAATCTACCGTCTTCTCTCCACATCTACAGCTGCTGTTGCAGTCCAGGCCACCAGTATCTGTCACCCAGGTCACTGCACTTGCCTCCCTACAGACTTTCTTGTATTCGTTCTCTGTCTTCAGCTCCTTTGCTGCAGAACATAGTAGTCTGTTAAAACTGAAATTTGAATGCGTTATTCCCAGCCAAATTTCTGCTTCACGCCCTTCTTTAGCCTTGTTCTTAGATCAAGGTTGCCGCCATGATCTGTGCTGTGAGGCCTGGCCCTTCCTGCTGTCCGTTTCACATTGAATCCTCCCTTTTGCATTTCAGCCGTGCTGGCCTCCAGCTCCTAGCAACCAGGGAGACTTGATGAAGCAACGGTTTATTTTTCTTTCTGCATATACTTTAATATTTATAACCGGGAGAGAAGAATTCAAAACTTCCTTTTCCTTCCTAAGGGCATGAAGAGGTTTAGTGGGTTCTTATTTTCCATGGGCTTTTGGAGAGTTTCACATAAAATGTCAAAAACAAGCCCAAATATATTATTATGACTTGAACTAGGCCCAGACAACTTTGGTATTTCCAGTAGGACTGAAATTATTAAACCAATAGCCATTCCCTTAGCATGTGTGAACTTCCATTTCTAGGCCAAAGTCTAGCTAGAAAAGTGCTGACATTTTGAAACGTTATGTAGCAGAAGAGGGCAGTGGAATGTTTTGTAACCTCAAAAGATGTTTAGTTTGGGATTCAATGCCAGGTGTCATGGTAAGTTAGACAGGTGACAGTGAGGTATCCAAGGTGGATACATAACTCACAGGGTGACCAGGAGCTCAAAAGCAGCATTGGAAGTGAGGTCCCAGGCTCTTGAGCATGAATCTGTTTTATGGTAATTTCTAGGTGACAGCCCAGCAAAGCCCTCCTCCTCTGTCTCCACTATTATTCTGATACTTCCACTCTGGTCATTGCTGGGGAGTGCTCAGAGATAAGCCAAGAAGAGGACAAGGACTGTAATTGTAATAGAGGGATGCTGAGAACACCTGTCAGAGGGCACCCAGCTACACACAAAAACCTCTATACTCTGATAGCTGCCCAGGATGAGAAGTCCTGGTTCTTATGGTGCATATAGGTGTCTTCTGGAATATATAGCCAATACTGCAGTTTTCCCATCTCTGCCACTTCCTGAGTGGCAAGTTGTTGGAGACATGGCAGGGTGGTTGGCATGTGTGATGCTGTGTAGCTGGGCTCTCAGTAATTCCTTCTTTGTCTTCATCTAAACTTCACAGGCAAAAGTGAACAAGCTGTTGGACTTGTTACTGTTTTCAATTTTGGTCAATTTATTTCAACCATCGAAGCCTTAAAGCTTGGAGCATTCCTGCTAATACCAATATCCCTTGGCCTTATATTGTCATGGGAATTTTATGGAGATTTTTGGAGGTTAAGGGAGATCTTCTAAGACCCTCTGGATCAGGTTAGTCCCCTCTGCTATGCCCTTCATGGCACTTGCTTTTTCTCCATTTACAAAATTTACCCCACCTATAATAATTGGTTTACTATCCTCATCCCTGCCAGACTGGAAGTGCCTTGTGGATGCAGGAATCTTGCTTATCTTATTCACTGTGGTTTCCCCTATGTTGGACCTATAGTAAGTGCTAAATAAGTTTTTTTTTTTTTCTTAAAGAATGGATGAATGAAAGTAATCCAAAACCAGAGAATATGTCATAAAATGAAACTCCCAAAATATTAGTGTGGAATCTAAAAAGATAAAAAGTTTACTGCTGCATTTCAACTAGGGCAAGTTTTAGTACCTTCTGACACTAATCTAATAATAAGAATGTAGAATAATTCAAAAATAATTGATAAGCTGAACTTCATTAAGTTTAAAAACTTCTGCTCTGTGGAAGACACTGACAAGACAATGAAAAGACAAGCCAAAGACTGGGAGGAAATATTTGCAAGAGACTTATCTGATAAGGGATTGTTATCCAAAACATACCAAAAACTCCTAAAACTCAACAATAAGAAAACAAACGACCAGATTTAAAAATGTGCCGAACGCTTTAACAAAGAAGATGTACAGATGGCAAATAAGCATATGAAAAGATTTTCCACACTATATGTAATACAAATTAAAACAACAATGAGATTCCACTGCATGTCTATTCAAATGGCCAAAATTCAGAACGTTGACAATACCAAATGCTGGCAAGGCGGTAAAACAACAGGAACTCTCTTTCATTGCTGACGGGATTTTGAAATGGTATAGCCACTTTGGAAGACAGTTTGGCAGTTTCTTATAAAACTAAAGCTACTCTTACTATATGATCCAGCAATCCTTGGAATTAACCCAAAGGAGTTTAAAACTCATGATCATGTACAAACTCACATATGGGTGCAGGTTTGGAGTTATTCATAATTGTCAAAATGTGGAAGCAATCAAGATGTCTGTTGGGGTGAATGGATAAATAAAACTGTGGTACATCCAGACAACAGAATATTATTCATCACAAAAGGAAGAGCTACCCAGCCATGAGAGGACATAGAGGAAACTTAAACCTATATTATTAAGTGAAAGAAGCCAATTGGAAAGGGCTACATACTGTATGATTCCAACTATATGACATTCTGGTAAAGGAAAACCAGTGGTTGTCAGGGGTTTGAGGGGAAGGAGGAAAAAATAGGAGGTACACAGAAAATTTTTAGGGCAGTGAGGTATGACACTACAATGGTGGATACGTGTCCTTATACACTTGTCCAAACCCATAGAATGTGTAACACCAAGAGTGAACCCTGATGTAAACTATGGTCTCTGGGTGAGAATGATGTGTCAATGCAGCAGGTAGATCAATTGTAACAAGTGTACCATTCTGGTAGGGCAGCTGTCCCCAACTTTTTTGGCACCAGGGACCAGTTTGTGGGGGAGAGAATTTTTCCACAGACAGGTGGTTTGGGGGATGGTTTTGGGGTGAAACTGTTCCATCTCAGATCATCAGACATTAGATTCTGATAAAGAGTGTGCAACCTTGATCCCTCACATGTGCAATTCACAATAGGGTTCACTCCTATGAGAATCTAATGCCAGTGCTGATCTGGCAGGAAGTGGAGCTCAGGCAGTGATGCTGGCTGGCCCACTGCTCACCTCCTGCTGTGCAGTCCAGTTCCTAACAGGCCACAGACTGGTACCGGTCTTCTGTGGCCTGAGGGTTGCGGACCCCTGTGATAGGGGATGTTGATAATAGTGGAGTCTACACATATGTAGGGGCAGCAGCGACATGAGAAACTCTTTACTTTCCTCTGAATTTTGCTGTGAATGTACAACTGCTTTTAAAAAGTTAAGTCTTAAAAAACAAAACAAAATAAAAAACAAGCAAACGAAAAAGCCAGCTAACATGTAGAGAATGCTAACTGTGTTTAGGGTGATGTTCTAGCATTTTTATATACCCTAAATTATATCATCCTCACCACAGCCTTAGGAAGTAGGGACTATTATCGCCAACTTACAGTTGAGGAAACTGAAGTTCAGAGAAGTTGGAGACTTGTGCAATTCATAAAACTGGCAAGGAGCTGGTTCACACCCAGTTGTTTTCTTAACTCTATTGTTTTAGAGAACTGAAAGCAGATGCTAAGATAAAGGAAGCAATGGGAGAAATATGTTCTGGGGCCTGCTCTGTCCAAGGCCCTGAGAGGGACCCAGAAGCCATTGTATGAAATTCTATCCCAACCTTGAAGGAGTTACCAGGAGTTGAGCAGCATTTAAAAAGCACAATAAAAACGCAGAGCAATAACACAGTGTCAATGCAGTAGGTAGAGCAATTGGTCGGGAGACCAAGCAAGACTAATTGTGATATGAATTGTCCTCATGCTAAATACCAGGGTGCAGAGAATGGAGGGAGAGTCAGCTGAGACCTGGGACAGCCCAGCAAGGTTTCATGGAAAGCAACTGACCTGAACTTAGCCCAGAAAAATGGGCACAGGGGATGTGAGTGGATGGCTGGAGGGGATGTAAGAATTATGAGGGATGATGTGAGCAAATAAGTCATGTTGAAATTTTTCTTAAGTGGATTCAAAATAACCAACAAAATATTGTCCTTAAGCCCAGATTTTTATCCACCTCTGAAAAAAATGTGAGATTTTTGGTCGTTTAGTAGCTTTTTCCCCAACATTTGTTTCTCCAGCTATAAAAATGAAGATATCACTTTCCATATTCCTCCCCCATAGAGACGTTGAAAGGGTTAAAGTATTCTGTAAAGCTTTGAGGGCCTCCTTAAAGAAGTTATGCAAAACAAAATTATAATCATCATTTTTTTTTGTTGGTTTTTATTATCTTTATTGTAAAACTGCCCCAGGGGAAGCATCACTTTTAGTGTGGTCACAGTCTGCTCAAACACTTAACCATCTCATTGTGACCCACCTGACTGGAAAGGCGCAGCAGATCCTTGGCCTCCACACACCCTTCTTCCCGCAATCCCTACTGTTTCAGAGGCTTTCCAGAGGCCAAGGCCGGAGCCTGGGGCTGGGACTAACTCATAAATAGGTTTATTTTTCATTTGGCACATACAATGTAATAAAAAATGAATTCCTTACTGGTATTTAAATATTGGTAAATTTCAGATAAAAATCTAGAATTCTGGCTTCCCTTCTGTAGAAGATCTGACATCCGTGGGCCTGCAGGTTGCACCTGCCACAGCAGGAATCAGCCAGTTCACTGGACGTGTGCTCACCCCTTGACTATACCCCATGTGGCCTTCATCCTCATGGCGGGTAACTGCCAGTCCTGAGAAAGATCCATCAGCTTCTTTCAGCTACATCTGTCTATTTTCCAGCCAAAACGCTGACTGGTCTACATTGAGCTGCCTATAATGGCTACACCAGTGAGTAGGGTGCTAGGGCTGGGCCAAGCAGAAAAGAGGTGGCAGGACTAGTTGAGTCGATGGAGACTGAGCCAGAGGGAGAAGGAAGGGATTTGACTTCAGAGTCTGAAGCCAAAGGCCAGGTTCAGGGAGTCAGGTATCAGGCTTCTCCCAGTGGGGAATGGGAGCCAAGAGCAAAAGTTCTGGAGCCAATTCCACCAGCCCTGAGGATCTGCCAGGGCATGCCCTTTAGTGACACTGTTTATTTCTATTAGATAATTCATATTTGTACATTATAAACATTGGAGAAATTACGTACATATGTGTCCTTGCATACATATGCACCTACGCCCAGATCTAAGCCCACCACCAGCAATTGCAACATAATAGTTGTGGTTTGGGGTGGGGGGGAGTATTTTCTGAAAGCTCTGGGCATTGGGCAATGTACAGCCAGGGTTGAGAACTACTGCTCTCAGTGAGCTGATCTTCCTCGTGACACCTTATCTCCATTCATTCATCTCAGTCTGACCTCATAAACTGAACATTCTTTAAATTATTCAGTTCCTTCTACACAAAAACCCAATCTTTGGAGGCTCCTGTCTTCCTCTTTCAGTTTCCTAACGTATGTCTGGGTGGATGATGGAGGCTTACTGTGTCTCAGATCCGGGTGGTTGGGTCCTCTGGATGACATCATTTGTCCTATTGGTCATTTGCAGCTCAAGCTGGTCCCTAGTGGAACATGATTTGGCCATCCTTGATGTGATTAGGGCCTGACAGCCTGCCTGGCTGACTTAGCCCCAGTCTGGCTCATGCAAGTGCCATGCACCTGTCAGAACCAATGTGACACTGTCCAGCTGTCCCCTCTGGCCCAGGATATCAACCTAGAGGAGTCTGCTATGCTGGATACCACCCCAACACAAGGGCCTTGAAGCAGTCCCACTGGCCTTTGAGTACCCCTCAGGGCCTATGCCAATCTGTCCATAACATGATAAATAATCTTGGCTCTCTGGGCACTACCATGTTGGATTGCTAGTTTACATTGATGGAGCCTTGACTGGTGGGTGTGGAGGCAGCCTTCAAGAGGGTCACCTCCTATAGTTTTATTAAATTGTAATGAATATACTCTGCCTTCTGTTTTCCCCAGAATCACTACCCCTCCCTCTGGTTGTCTGCCCCTGCCTTTTTCTCCGTTTCTTCTACCAGATATTGTGTGGCTAGAAGAGGCAAATTTACCTCTACTTCCCTTCTGCATCCATTGGGATTCCCATGTTGTATCTTGTCCCCTTGGCAGATGGGAACTTTGCAGATAAGGAGACCTAACTCAGGAAGAATTTATGATTGTCCTCATTACAAATTAACTTCCACAAATTCTTCTTTCACATGTTCTTGGCTATTCTTATCCACTTACTCTTCCAGTTGCAGAATCTAGAAGACTTACAATTCTGGAGTACAGTTCTTTCTGTTAGACCTGTTACCCTTTGAGGCAACAGGTAGTCACTTAGAGTGGCCCAATTCTGTAAGATAAACTCCACTGTGACAGTATTGGGGACATCTGTAAGAGCTCCTTGAATGTCATAGCTGCTATAAAAGAATCTCATATTTGGCTTAGAAGAAAAGGATATGATAGTCACCAGAGCTGTTCAAGATGTTCTGGCTTTCTGTCTTTCTGGATGGAAGAAATCACATCTTCACCTGCTGGGAATTAGCTGTGGTCATGAGACTTGCTTTGGCCAAGGAGATACAAAGGCTGATTCTGGCCAGCCATTAGGAGCCACTTTGAGCTTCACCATTGCCTTGGTGTACCCTTCCAATATCTTAGGCAATGTTCCAGGTGGAGGCTGCTCTACCAGCTGGGATCCTGGCTGGGATCCTGGATGGAGAACATCACTCAGCAGAACTCCGCATGACCCTCAGTAGACGGGTGGCATGAGTGAGAAATAAACCTTAGTCTTTTGAAGCTTCTGAGATTTGATATAGTTTGTTACAGCTGAGCCTATCCTGAATGAAGAGAAGAATAAGAAGCATGGCATTTGGTATTTGTGCATATGCAACCAGGAACAAGTACCACAGCCTTCACCCAACTCAATCCTTTTTTAAAAATTTACTGTCCCTCTTTTAAAATTATTTTATACATATTAAAAACAGATAAGTCCAAATTCACTCTTTTTTTTTTTTTTTTTTTGAGATAAGGTCTCACTCTGTTGCCCAGGCTGGAGTGCAGTGGTGCAAGCATGGCTTACTGCAGCCATGAACTCCTGGGCTCAAGTGGTTCTCCTACCTCAGGCTCCTAAGTAGCTGGGACTACAGGTGTGCACCACCGTGTCTGGCTAACTTTTTAAATTTTTAGTAGAGACAAGGTCTCCCTATATTACCCAGACTGGTCTGAAATTCCTGAGCTCAAGTGATCTTCCTGCCTCACACCTATAATCCCAGCACTTTGGGACGCCTCCCAAAGTGCTGGGATTATAGATGTGAGCTACTGTGCCCAGCCTTCAAAATCACTCTTAACAGAAAATTGAACTCTTTTGCATTGTTGATGGAAATGTCATTGGTACAGCCATTAAGGAAAACAGTATGGAGTTTCCTTCAAAAATTAAAAAATAGAACTACCATATGATCCAACCATCCTACTTCTGAATATATGTCCGAAGAAATGAAATCAGTATTTCAATTCATGTTCATTGCAGCATTATTCATAACAGCCAAGATATAGAAACAACCTAAGTGTCCATTTACAGATAAATGGATAAAGAAAACATGATATGTATATATATATATATGTGTGTATACATATGTATACATATGTATGCACATATATATACATATATACATATATATGCACATATATACATATATACATATATATGCACATATATACATACATATATACATATATATGCACATATATATACACACACACACACACACATATATATATGATGGAATATTATTCAACCATAAAAAGAAATAGCCTGCTATTGGTTGACATCACGGACAAACATGGAGAGCATGATACTGAGTGAAGTCAGTGAGACATGGAAAGACTGCATGATCTCACTCATATGTGGAAAAGACAGTAGAAATAGAGAGTAGAATGGTGGTTGCCAGGGGCTAGTGGTGAGGACAATGGAGAGGTGTTGGTCAACAGGTACAAAGTTTCAGTTATAAGATGAATAAGTTCTGGAAGTCTAATGGTGGCTATAATTAATAATACTGTATATTTAGCTGAAGTTTGAAAGATTTGAAGTGTCCTCAAGACACACGCACACACACACACAAAGGGTAACTGTGGGTGGTGATGGACATGTTAATTAACTTGATTGTGGTAATCATTACACTATACATAGGTATCGCAAATCATCATGTTATAACCTTGAATACATATGATTTTTAGTTGTTGGTTAAACATTTTAAAATAAAAAAAAAACCAAAATCACTCATCAATTGAAGAAATAGTCTAAAACAAGGACTGTGGAAAATGAACAACTGCCACAGAGAAAGCGATGCTCTGCGCCCTCCCCTCCTGCTCCGTGCTTGCCTCCACACTTCCTAAGAAACACGGAGCAAGGAGTGCTCCAGGCACAGACGCAGCTTCCCCTGGCCAGCACCCATCAAGATCCTGTCCAGCCTCTCGCCCTGCCCTCTCAGACCCTCTTGACCATTGTAGGGAAAAGCCTGAGGGAATCTTAGTCATTCTGTTTTTGGAATGTGGAATTGAGAGCTAGCTGATCCCAAGCACGCAGCCCTCTGCGCCTTCTCACTGGGGCCTCACGTTGTTTTCTAGCCAAACAGCGCACAGGGATTTTTAAGCCCCCCTCCTCTATCACAAAGCTTGCGATTCCTTTAAAGAACTGCAAAGCAAAGCATCTTTCCAGTTAAAAAGCCCAAACTGAAATGTGATGGCATCTAAATGTCTTTAACTATCCCCAATTATTAGCCCTTTTCATGCCAGGCACTCCTATCTGCCTCTATGCCTAGAAAGAAGCTGCCTGCTACTTCATCCCCAGGTTTCTTTTCTTTTTCTTTTTCTTTCTTTCTTTTTTTTTGAGTCAGAGTCTTGCTCTGTTGCCCAGGCTGGAGAGCAGTGGTGCGATCTCGGCTCACTGCAAGCTCCGCCTCCCGGGTTCATGCCATTCTCCTGCCTCAGCCTCCCAAGTAGCTGGGACTACAGGCACCTGCCACCACACCCGGCTAACTTTTTTGTATTTTTTAGTAGAGATGGGGTTTCACTGTGTTAGCCAGAATGGTCTTGATCTCCTGACCTCGTGATCCGCCCACCTCGGCCTCCCAACAGTTTTCTTATTTTTAAGGGATTTATCTTTTGGTCACTCTATATTATTAGATTGGTGCGAAAGTTATTGTGATTTTTGCCATTAAAAGTAATGTACTTTTGTACCAACCTAAAATAAATATTATTTATTTATTCCAAACTTACTTAAAAGAGGACTCAAGGAGGACAAGAAAGATGTGTTTGTATTTCAGATAAAAAAGGAAATATATGAGGCTGGGCACAGTGGCTTGTGCCTGTATTCCCAGCATGTTGGGAGTCTGAGGTGGGAGGATTACTTGAGCTTAGGAGTTTGAGACCAGCCTGGGCAATATAGGGAGACCTCATCTCTACAAAAAGTAAAAAAAAAAAAAAAAAAAAAAAATTTCTTTTAAACTCTTAAGCCCAGGGGTACATGTGCATGTTTGTTACATAGGTAAATGTGTGTCATGGAGGTTTGTTGTACAGATTATTTCATCACCGAGGTATTAAGTCTAGTACCCATTAATTATTTTTCTCATCCTCTCCCACCTCCCACCCCCAACTCTCCAATAGGCCCCAGTATGTGTTGTTCCCCTTTATCAGCCATGTGTTCTTATCATTCAGTTCCCACTTATAAGTGAGAACAAGCGGTAGTTGGTTTTCTCTTCCTGTGTTAGTTTGCTAAGGGTAACTTCTTCCAGCTCCATTCATGTCCCTGTAAAAGACAAGATCTTGTTCAAAAAGTACAAAAATTAGCTGGGTGTGGTCGCACGTGCCTGTAGTCCCAGCTACTCAGGAGGCTGAGGTGGGAGGATCACTTGAGTCCAGGAGCTCAGAGCTGCAGTGAGCCCTTATGGCGCCACTGCACTTTAGCCTGGGCCACAGAGCAAGACCTTGTCAAAAGTAAGGAAGAAAGGAAGGAAGGAGGGAAGGAAGGAATGAAGGAAGGAAGGAAGGGAATATATGAAAGGCTGAGCAAAGTAGCCCTCAGCCAGAATGAAAAAGTGACATGAATGTACACCATGAAATCTTTTCCTCTTGCTGGATGTGGGCCAAAACTTGATTTTCCTAAAAATGTCTTTAAAGTGTCATAGTAGCCATAGAATTAAATAAAATTAGTTCAGGAAAAGAACAACTATTTCTTATAGTGAGACTAAAGACAATTTCCCCAGGGCTCCTCATAGAAAGGAGACAGAATAAAAAAATGACAGTAGGCCGCGTGCAGTGGCTCATGCTGGCCTGTAATCCCAGCACTTTGGGAGGCCAAGGCAGGCGGATCACCTGAGGTCAGGATTTCGAGCCCAGCCTGGCCAACATGGTGAAACCCTGTCACTACTAAAAAAATACACAAAAATTAGCTGGGTGTAGTGGTGTGCACCTCTAATCCCAGCTACCCGGAAGGCTGAGGCAGGACAATTGCTTGAACCCAGGAGAAGGAGGTTGCAGTGAGCCAAGATCGTGCCACTGCACTCCAGCCTGGGTGACAGAGTGAGATTCCGTCTCAAAAAAAAAAAAAGACAGTATCCTTTTTCTATACATGTGACAGATTTCACAGAGTGGACACTTATATTTCTCTTAATATAGAATGATATCACCTGTGATTTCACTCTGGTAAAACACTGTGGATAGTATGCCTATCCAGGAACTCAACTCCCAAATCAGCTGGCTCGATGCAACAATGAAATTCGAAGTACCTGTAAGGGAGAGATTAGCCCTCCATGAATTCCTGTTTATGTGGCCAAGCTTCTGAAAGGCGTAGGGCAACAATGGATATGCAAGTATCCCTGTTAACTAAACATGAACTACAGATATATGTGGCTAGTGAAGTGCAGAGCCGTATGTTCTTCGTAGCCAGCCTGCTTCATACGAACAATACAATGGGATTGGGGTGAGGGGCAGTTCATGAAAGAAATCTAACTGACTGGTTAAAAACAAGCAAACAAAAAAAAAAACGAAGTCTTTCTTAGTGCTGGTGGTCACATAAGCTAGTATAATATTGTTGTTGGGCATTTTGTTAATAGATAGACATACGTCTTTGATTTTGCAATTCTATTTCTAGATTGTCACCTGAGGAATTATTTAAGAGTGTGTGCAAATATTAATGATAACGATATTTGTCCTAAAAGAATGAAAACACTGTAAATGTCCACCTCTAAATTGTGGTACCTGCATGTAATGGAATACGATTCCACTATTAAATATGATGTCTTAGATGAATACACATGGGCATGGTCAGTGTTCACTATACATTGCTAAGTTTTATATAAAACAGTTTACCAGAGAATACAAGTATAATAATAGTACTAGTGTGTTGTTATGCTTGTGCAATAGTTATTTTTAATATCATATTTTTTTCCTTCTACATATTGCTTTCCACAAAGCCTTTTGAGTCCCATTCCTTTTTTCTTTAACAGCATCAGATCCCATATATATCTAGTCCCTTTCAATTATCAAGTATTCTCCAGTTTAAATTTCCAATCTCAATCCAACTCCAATGTCATCACCTGCCCCCTGGGTGTCAGCTTGAGACATTTCGAAGGTGAAGGGAGGGCGTGCTTTGCTTCTTAAGGGGAGGAGACAAGAGAGAGCTTCTTTTTCCTTGATGATTTGGCCATGGTCACAGTCGTCTTCTTACTGGAGTCTTTGCTGCTCTGGCTAAAATACGCTGACAGCACTGCCCTCTACGGGGTGGGTATCCAAATGCAGACCCTTCCAGAGCCCCTAGCAGAGGCTCACTACGCCTGCCAACTGCACACTTCTCTGATGTGGTAGATCCACCCTTCCACTCCCTGTCAATTCCCACCATGCTCAATCACATGGGCTTTCCTCCTGGATCCCCTTCTAAGTGGGGCAAGATGAGCTCTACTCAGGTCCCTTTGGCGGTTTCCCTGTGAGCACACAGGAGGCACAGGCCTTCAGGACATGCCAGTGCCACTGTGCAGATGCAAGTGGCCCCACTGACATCCCCTCTTGGTACCCTGCTCTCTCTTTTATGTTCATTTCCTTTTCCAATTAGGCAGAGTCAGGCAAGCCAGTCCTCCACCTGAATAGACATCCAATTGGAGCACAGGCCAGTCATTCCTTGTTGCAAATACTCCCAAGCTGCTTCAGTAATTCTCTTGGGAGCTGCCTCACTTGACTTTGAAGAGGAAAGTGCATGACCACCTCACCAGCCAAAAAGACACACACAAAATTATTCTTACTGTAAATCTAAATAACTTACAAAGCCAACAATCTCAATACTTCTCCCTTCCTCTGCTTACACAGGCTCTGAAGGAAGGAGCATTGGGATGGTGCCTGGCCATGGGGGTGAGGATTCTGTCACCTCTCACTAAGTCTTGGGATAAGGAGTCTAGTCTCAGGGATTGACTATTTGTCTCATTAGGGGATCTTAGTGCTTTTTTTTTTTTTTTTTTTTTTTTTTTAATTTCAACATTGGAGCTTTAGGTAAATTTCAGGAAAAAAAATTGGAAAAAGTTTCAAATATCTTATAAATAGAAACATACCTATACACAGCCCCAGAAAGAGTTCTGAAGCTATACATCAAAGTGTTAACATTTCCATAGTAAAATATAAGTTTTATAATTTTTTGCCTCTTTGTGGCCTACATGTTTTAATTTTTCTATCCAAAACCTGTTTTGGTTTTATAATGAAGGGGATACACAAACATAATTAAAAAAAAAAAAAAAACTATTCATCCCGAAAGGTAAAAGGATAAATAAGTTGTAGTATATCTATCCAATCAAATACTACTAAGTAATAAAATGGAGCAAATTACTAATAGAAGCAACAACATAAATCAATCAAAATACATTATGCTGAGAAAAAAATCTGACACAAAGGAGTTCATCATTTGTATGACTTTATTTGTATGAGATTCTAGACCAGATAAAGCTCATCTGTAGTGATAAAAATCATATCAGTGATTGCATAGATGGGAGGGTCGGGAAGACTGACTGCAAGGGGGTCAAGGAAGCTTTCTGGAGTAATGGAAATGTTCATGTTTTTATTGTGGTTAATTGGGGTAGACACTTGTCTAAACTCATTAAATTGTATACTTAAAATTGAGTGCATTTTTAAAATTTTACTTTAAGTTCTGGGATACATGTGCAGAATGTGCAGGTTTGTCACATAGGTATACATGTGCCATGGTGGTTTGCTGCACCTATCAATCCATCACCAGGTTTTAAGCCCCACATGCATCAGGTATTTGTCCTAATGTTCTCCCTCCCCTTTCCCCCCATCCTCTGACAGGCCCCGGTGTGTGATGTTCCCCTCCCTGTGTCCATGTGCTCTCACTGTTTACCTCCCACTTATGAGTGAGAACATGCAGTGTTTGGTTTTCCGCTCCTGTGTTAGTTTGCTGAGAATGATGGCTTCCAGCTTCATCCATGTCCCTGCAAAGGACATGATCATTCTTTTTTATGGCTTCATAGTATTCCATGGTGTATATGTGCTACATTTTTTTTTATCCAGTCTATCATTGATGGACATTTGGGTTGGTTTCAAGTCTTTGCTATTGTAAATAGTGTTGCAATAAACATACGTGTGCATATGTCTTTATAGTAGAATGATTTATAATCCTTTGGGTATATACCCAGTAATGGGATTGCTGGGTCAAATGGTATGAGTGCATTTTATCATATGTAAATTACACTTCAGTAAAGTTGATGTTTAGAAAAAGTTTTGGTTTTGTTTTATTTTTGGGAAATCAGCGAGATTTCAGAGCTAAAACTATGAAACTCTTAGAAGAAAACATGGGATAAATCTTTATCATCTTAGCTTTGGCAATGTTTTCTTAGATATGACATCAAAAGCATAAGGAACAAAAGAAGGATAGATAAGTTGGATTTCATCTAAATTAAAAATTTTATGCATTGAAGGATACTATCAAGAGAGGGAAAAGACAATCCATTGAATGGAGGAAAATATTTGTGAATTTTATATATGATAGGGTCTATTATTCAGAATACGTAAAGAGCATTTACAAGTCAATATCAAAAAGTCAAACCAGCCAATTAAAAAGTGGTCAAAAAACTTGAAAAGACATTTTACCAAAGAAGTTATCCAAACGGCCAAAAAGCACATGAAAAGGCATTCAAAATTGTCAGTCATTAGGGAAATGCAAATCGAAACCACAATGAGCTACCATTTCACACACAGTAGGATGGCTGTATGAGTACAAAAAGGAAAAGAAGTATTGGGGAGGATGTAGAGAGACTGGAACTCTCATACGTTGCTGGTAGAAATGTAAAATGGCACAGCTGCTGTGGAAAAGCTTAGTGATTCCTCAAAAAGTTAAACATAAAATTACCACAAGACACACGCAATTTCTCTCCTGGGTATATGCACAAAAGAACTGAAAGCAGAAGTTCAAGTCAAAACTTGTACACAAATGTTCACAGCATATTATTTACAAAAGCCAAAAGGTGGAAACAATTCAAATGTTCATCAACAGATTAACAGAGACAAAATGTGATATATTCCTACAATGGAATATTATTCAGCCATAAAAAGTGAAGTTCCGATCCATGCTACAACATGAATGAAGCTTGCAGACACTATGCAAAATGAAAGAAGCCAGATACGAAAGGCCAAATATTGTGTGATTTCATTTATACGAAACATCTAGACTAGATAAATCCATAGAGACTTGATGCAGACTGGTGGTTGCCAAAGGCTGGGGGGCAGGGGAGTGACTACTTAATGCACAAGTTTTTTGGAGAGTTGATGAAAATGTTCTGGTGATAGTGGTAATGGCTGTACAACACTGTGAAGGTACTTAATGCCACCGAATTGTGCACTTTAAAAGGTTTGCATTAAAAGTGCACCTTGTGATTAAAATGGTAAATTTCAAGTTAGGTGTGTTTTATCACAACAAAAAAATAGTCAAATGTTACGGTGAAACTATCACATATGTTTCACCCCTCCTGTTATCATGTGAAAGAACTTCCTCAGCGTTATACTGCTGGCTTCCCAGGCTTGGTTCAGTCCCTTCCTGAGGAAGGTGTTTCTCAGGGCACTCTCCACCATGGACCTGCTCCTGCTCAGCACGCCCTGTGACTGGCTAAGTCAGCCTCATTCGGGGAGAAGTCTCAGCAAGACCATTTGTCCTATATCTAAACCATGTCACCCAGACTTGTTTTTATTAATAACAAAGCTAGCACATTGGTCTCATCTGGATTCTTCATCTGTCTGTCTACATTTCTGATGTGAAGTTGAAGTTGGGTGGGAAGAGGAATATTCTTCATTGAAATCTCCCCCTGACCACTCTTCCTTGGCACTCAAACCCCAGGAGACAGAGAGTTTTAAACTGTAATGCATGGCCACAATTAACCTCTAAACTGCTTAAAGTATGTGCAAGGAAACCCTCACCTGGGCCATTTTAAAAAGGATCAAGCCAGGAAAAAAAAAAAAAAAAAAAAGAACATCTATCTTTGAGCACTGAAACTTCCTGGAGTCCAAGCTAAACTTATAAAATGTGGTTTGTATAATCAAATACATCAGGCTACTCCAAGTGATTTATTAATTATAAACTAGTTAAAACTATGGAGACATTTAGAAACAAACATTTTAATCTCCTTATCATTCCATGTTTTTCTTCATTCCTCTCTCTATTTTCCTCCTTTACAATGTGTCACCCTTATTTGAAGAGTATGACTTCAGGGTGTTAATATAGGACTGTGAAGGCAAAATAGCATTTAGAAATGAGAAATAAGTTATCTGCTTTTCTGCAGAGAATTGCTAAAACAAAAAGAAAACAAACAAAAATAAGTTCTTCTTAATCAGTAAATATGGTATCACACTTCTAATGTTGAAAACTTATTGGAATTCACCAGTGTATTTCAAAACAAACCAAAAAACAAAAACAAAAAGAAAAAACACTCACATTTTATAAAACTATTGCCTGATTGGATGCTTTTAAAATTCTTAGTTTCACACCAAATGGCCTATAGAAAACTTGAAAAGAAATTGTATAAATAGTGTAAAGAAGAGTTAAAGAGTTCCCTTATCTTCATGGGAAGATAAGATTTGAAGAAAGAAAAGTATGATTGTCAATAAAATAAATGCCTTGAAACATCTGAAGAGCTTTTGCTGAGGGAATAATGTACTATAGTCTTTGTTTCTTGGGTCATCATTATTTAATTTCTCCTAGAAAAGCAATGGCTGCTTTACACTGAGAATCACTAAATATAAGAGTGAATTCTCAACAGTGGCTGGAGAGTTTGAGAACAGATGGTTGGTGTCAGAGGGACATCACATTCTGATGGCTTGGTGCAGGCTTGTTGAAGGCATGGATGAAGCAGATTGGTTGACTTCCTTTCTGTCCTCTAATTCTGTCAAGAATGTTACCAGCTGCTAAAGGGGTGCCCAGCGGGCTGAAAGAAGAGAGTAAGAAGGCAGCCTAACTGCCCCCAGAAAATTTTATTTTGTTTTCTTATATTAACAATTCTGGTTGCTATGACTATGTTCTTTACACCTGGGGATTTTTAGGACTCCTATCTGTAATCCACATGAGCTCTAATTTTATATTCTATAGTGAACTGTGCCCTCTTTCTAAGACAGGACTGTGATTCCACATTCTTGTTGTAGATACAATGTGTATGAAAGTGTTAGTAACAAATGGGCCATACACACTGATATCAATCGGATTCTTATGCCTCACATTAAGTATGACAAGCTGTGTCCCTAGACCTCACTGAAATAAAAGTGGAAAAACCCAAATTCATATGGTTAGGAAAGATATCATTTGTCCCTGTACAAGTTATTTTTTTTAAGAACCATAAAGTCTATCAAAATTAGTGATGACCATAGCCTTCTGTGCAGGAATTCCTCTTTTAGGTATGTATCCTGGAGAATAATCCATATGTTTATACAACAGGGTTTATTGAAGTATTATCTGTTACTCTGATGAATTGACAGCAAACTTAACAAAATGAAATGGTAATTTTTCTGTGGTATAGTCATCCCATAAAATATTACACAATAATGGCTGGGCGCGGTGGCTCACACCTGTAATCACAACACACTGGGAGACTGAGGTGGGTGGATCACCTGAGGTCAAGAGTTTGAGACCAGCCTGACCAATATCATGAAACACCATCTTTACTAAAAATATAAAAATTAGCTGGGCATGGTGGCGTGCACGTGTAGTCCCAGTTACTCAGGAGGCTAAGACAATTGCTTGAACCCAGGAGGCAGAGGTTGCAGTGAGCCGAGATCGCGCCACTGCACTCCAGCCTGGGTGACAGAGCGAGACTCCCTCTCAAAATAAACAAACAAACAAACAAAAATTACTCAATAATGATAAAGATGGAGGTAGAGCTACATATTTGGACATAAAAGATATATTAGATATATTGCTAAATGAAAAAGCAAGTTTCACAAAGACACGAAGAGCATGATTCCACTTGTGTAAAAAACAGAAAATAAAACCAAACTATATAGCAAGATTCAGACTTAAGAATGTTTGAAAACTCCCAATGTGCCCATCACTGTAACAATGACTTTATATATGCTATCTCATTGGAAACCCACAATTGCTTCTTAGAAAGTGAACTATTATTATCCACATTAGAGATGAAGAAAGTGAGGCACAGAGGTTAAGTAGTATACCTCCAAGGGGAATAATGTAAGTAAGTGAAAATACATAGAAAGAGTCCAAGATAGGGCTTAGTGCGGTGGTTCACACCTGTAATCCAAGCACTTTGGGAGGCTGAGGCGGGTGGATCATGAGGTCAGGAGTTCAAGACCAGCCTGGCCAAGATGGTGAAACCTCATCTGTACTAAAAATACAAAAAAATTAGCCAGACGCTGTGGCAGGTGCCTGTAATCCCAGCTACTCAGGAGGCTGAGGCAGGAGAATCGCTTGAATCCAGGGGGCTGAGGTTGCAGTGAGCCGAGATCGTACCAGTACACTCCAGCCTGGGTGACAGAGTGAGACTCCATCTCAAAAAAAAACCAAAAAAACAAAAAAACAAAAAAAAAAAACACTTTGGGAGGCCGAGATGGGCAGATCACCTGGTTGGGAGTTCGAGACTAACCTGACCAACATGGTGAAACCCTGTTTCTACTAAAAATACAAAAAATTAGCCGGGTGTGGTGGTGCATGCCTGTAATCCCAGCTACTCAGGAGGCCAAGGCAGGAGAATCGCTTGAACCCGGGAGGCGGAGGTTGCAGTGAGCTGAGATTGCGCCATTGCACTCCAGCCTGGGGAAAAAGAGCAAAAACTCCATCTAAAAAAAAAAAAGAAAGAAAAAGTCCAAGACAGGATATATTAGTACATTCTTGCACTGCTATAAAGAACTACCTGAGACTGGGTAATTTATAAAGAAAGTGGGTTTAATTGGATCATGGTTCTGCAGGCTCTCCAAGAAGCATGGCTGGGGGCCTCAGGAAACTTACAATCATGGCAGAAAGTGAAAGCAGGCACCTCATATGGCCAGAGCAGGAGGAAGAGAGAGAAGAGGGAGGTGCTATGCACTTTTGAACAACCAGATTTCATGAGAACTTGCTCACTATTATAAGAGCAGCAGAAGGGACCTCTGCCCCCATGATCCAATCACTTCCTACGAAACTCCTCTTCCAACATTGGGGATTACAGTTTGACATGAGATTTGGGTGAAGACACAAATCCAAACAATCTCATGTGTATACAGACAACTGATAATAGAATTTTCTTCCGGAGAGAGAATGGGATTGGATAGGATTCGGTGGTGGCTGTATTCTATATATGTATATGTATTGATGGCTTACACAACAAATATTTCTCACAGTTCTGGAGGCTGGGAGGTCCCAGATCAAGGTGCCAGCAGATTTGGTGTCTGGTGAAGACCCTCTTCCTGTCTTGTAGCTGTCTTCTTGCTATGTGCTCATTGGTCTTTCCTTGGTATATGTGTATGGGGAGAGAGATGGCTCTGATTTCTTCCTCTTCTAATAAGAACACTAATCTCAACATGGGGACTCCATCCTCAAGATCTCATCTAAACCTATTACCTCCAAAATGCCCTGCCTGCAAATATAATCAGTTACATTAGGGATTAGGCTTTCAACATGAATTTGAGGGGAGATAAACATTTTAGTCTACAAACTCACACACAATTTACTTTCTTTTAAAGTAAGAAGAAATAAAAATAGAAAGAAAACAAATAAAAAGAAAAATGACTATTGGCCAAGCAGGTAGCTCAAGCCTATAATCCCAGCACTTTGGGAGGCTGAATTGAGCTGGTTGCTTGAGCCCAGGAGTTCAAGACCAGCCTAGGCAACCTAGCAAGAACCGATCTCTACAAAACAAAACAAAACAAAACACTCACAAAAATTAGCTGAGCATGGTGTCACACTCTTGTGGTCCCAGCTACTCAGAAGGCTGAGGTAGAACGATTGCTTGAGCCCAGACAATGAAGGTTGCAGTGAGCCATGATCACACCACTGCACTCCAGCCTGGGTGACAGAGCAAAACTCCGTCTCAAAAAATAAATTTAAAAAAAAGTGACTATTCTTCTTTGTTTTAATTTTCCATTGACCTGAAAGTTTCCCTCTGATCCATGTCTATAATGCTCTCCTAAAGCTCTGCTAGAATCTTTTGGCCATATCTTTTGGCCAACTCTTGCTTCCTCTGGTCACACCAGCCTCAGCAATGGTGAAAAGTTAAGGATCCACTAACAGTCACGGGGATAGTACAAATATTACTCTGCTCCCCCAGGCTCTGACCAAAAGATGTGAGGAATTCAAAGACCAGGAATAAACTCATTGATCTGGTATTTTCAGGCCCCACTTTGCAGAGTCACTGAGACTCCCCTCAAGTCTACATCATTTCCCTGGCAGAGTCCTTGGTAGCCCACAGAAATGGTCCTTTACGGCTGTCTTACTTCCCTGCCTGAACTAAGCCATGTTATCTTGCATGCCATGACTTCGTTCAGCATTCACCTAGTGACTCTCGTTGGTTCCAAGTCTACAGATCATCAATGAAAGAATTCTCTCTGCTACCAGTGTTGACCTTTTAAATTTTCGTGGTGTATGCATGCAGGCTATTCAAAGGAAATTGTAGCACCTTCTCTTGCAATAGCCCTGCTCTGGAGCACATTGTGTCAAATTCTCTCCAGAAGAACCACAGGACATTTTAAAGAAACTAACTAAAGTGTTTCCTTTATGCTCACCTCTAACCAGGATCCAAATACAGCATCCACAAAACGAACCTAGAGATTATTCTACCCTGAGGTGTCTTCCCTGTCTACTTGGGCACTCTGCTCTCAAGTTAGGGGAAGACTTTGTCAACTTTATTTAGGAGTCTACATTTGAGTGTCCAAGAACCCCACCTTAATTTATTTTCATTAATTCTCCAAGAAGGCCTATCAGAGCCACATACAGAATTATCGCGATACACGACTTTGGATCCCAAGTTTCCAGAATTGGATGTGCCAATTAGGCTTCCCACTCTTCTTGGTTTCCTGATGCCTATACAACACTTTCCTAAGCATCAAGTTGAGAAAACAGGAAATGGTCTGGCATGTGTGTATTCCTTAATCTCTTGAAAGATTTTTAAAATTGGGATGCACTTTTTTAATTATACATTTAATCTTGACAGAGATAAAATTTAGAAAAACACATTTATGAATGTAAACCAAAAATAAAAACCTAAGTCCCCCAACCAACTGAATGCACTCCCTCTTGGCTAAAGGGACTGCAAACAAACCTGAAAAACTGCATTTCAGGCTGTGATGGGAAGGGAAGGGAGAATGAACACATCTTGTTATACCCCCTCCCTTTTGGAGTTTAGGCACAACTGACCAGCATTGACATTAAAATGGAGATCATAAGACTGACAGAATGGACTCTGTGGCAATAAGGTATCAAATTCCAACCTGACTGACATGACAGATAGCAGATTCTGAAGGAAATACTAATATTTTATCTCAAATATATTTCTTTGACATGTTTTGAAATGGCCCTGCAAAGCCAACTTTCATGAAGGAAATTTGTATCTGCAGAGAATCTCCATTAATGCAGCCAGGGCTTTCCTGGATTTAAGAGAGTCTAACACCTTTTAAGATTCAAACGGAAACATTTGCCATTATTTATTCTCTCTAAAGTTACTACCTGGAGGCTTCATCTACATAACTAAAACTTTGGCTTTCACAACCCCCTTATCTTAACTCAAACACTCCCTTTTACTGGCTTCAGCCTTTAGACAAAGCTTAACTCTTTCAATCAATCGCCAACCATAAAATGTTTGAATCCACCTATGACCTGTGTATTAGTCTGTTCCCACATTGCTACAAAGAACTACCTGAGATTGGATAATTTAGTAAGAAAAGAGGTTTAATTGACTCACAGTTCTGCAAGCTGTACAGGAAGCATTGCTGGGAGGCCTCAGGAAACTTACAATCATGATGGAAGGTGAAGGGGAAGCAAGCATATCTTACCATGATGGAACAGGAGAGAGAGAGAGAGTAAAGTGCTACACACTTTAAACAACCAGATCTCATGAGAACTCCATCACTAGAAAAGCAAGCGGGAAGTCCGCCCCCATGATTCAATCACTTCCCACCAGGCCCCTTCTTCGATACGTGGGGATTACAATTCAACATGAGATATGGGTGGGAACACAGAGCCAAACCATATCAACCTGTAAGCCCCCACTTTAGGATATCCTGTCTTTTTAGGTTGAACCAATGTACACCTTCCATGTATTGATTTATGATTTTACCTACAATTCCTGTCTCCCTACAATGTATAAAAGCAAAGTGTAATCCGACCACCTTGGGCACACTTTCTTAGGACCTCTTGAGACTGTTTCCAGGGCCATGGTCCCTCATATTGAATCAGAATAAAACTCTTTAGCTATTTTACAGAGTTTGCTTTTTTTCTGTCAACATATAAATATTCCATGAAGATAAAAAACAATATTTTTGCCTTCTCCTACCAGTTCAAAGTTACCACCAGTTACATATGTTGTACATACATGTAAACACATTAACACAATACACACATAGGCAAATACAAAATGCTAAAATGAATTTACAAATATATGGAAAATAGGTCTATCCACAGAGTAGTAATCAACTGCATTATACTGGGCATAATGAATATGCATTTCTAGGAACAAAGATAATTTGCATTATTACTTATTTTCCACCATAAATAATTTTAAAATAGCCCAAAGACCAAAAAAAAAAAAAAAAGGTAAAGATAATCTGGATGGGTCCATTAGACAGAACTCCAGCAGTTTCTGGGTTCATTTTAAAGTCTTTCACAATGTTTTTCTATATTTATTTCTTTGTATATTTTAGTGTTTTAGCTCTCTTGCCTAAAAATTCCCTTAACAATGACGAGCATCTTATATCTTAGGAGCAGCTGGACAGTTGAGGAGAGAAAAATAGTTATCATGTCTGATTTTAGAACATTTTTTTACAATGTTAAAGATGTGGAAATGGAAACAAAGGAAAGGATTCCTGGGTGCCTTTCAGTGAAATGCCAAGCATTGCCTAGCGAACCCTCCTCTGGGAATTATCTCATTTTATAATAATGTTCAACTTTCACTTAACTATTAGCAAATATTGTACAGGCGAAGTTAACATCTAGAAGGTTGATCATAATGGAAAGAATTCCTGTCTACAGCAATTCAAATGATTCCTGTTCATAGCTATTCAAATGAATTTGTCCAGTAGAGAATATAAGCCTTTGTAAATCACATTCTCACTTGAAGCAGTTTTAACATCTTATTGGTTCCATTATTAATTTATAGGTTAACTGAAAGTCTTTGACACATGTTCATTTTATATTTATATGAGAGTTATGATTCTAGTGCTTTGAAAACTATTCCTTTGTGATATCCTCTAATTAAACAGTTTGGAGCTATAAACATATGGCCATCTCAGGAAGCTCACTAAATATCTCAGAGCTTTCTCCTACTCCCTCTTCAAATACATTAAAACTTAGTCTACAGAAGTCTTATTTCAAAGGATCCAGTGTTGCTTCTAAGCACCTCCTGGAGAGCTAAGTGGAGAATCTGGAAAATCTACTAGCCTATTTTCTGTTGTCCTTTCTTCTGTCGCTATGGCTCAGTATCATTCTTGAATATAATTGGTCCTGCCCAGTCTGATGCAATTTCCTGCTACCTTTGAGATGCCACTGTTGGTCTTACTCAGTAATTGCTCAGTATACAGTGAGGGTAAGGAAAAGAAGAGATCCTGGCTTCTGGTGTTAACAGTTTTTCAAACACAGTGCTGCAGCAGATCAGGGTTTGAACAGGTCACAATTGTTCTTCAGGGGAGGACAACTCCATTTCCTGCAAAACGGACTCCAAAAACAAACAAACAAACAAACAAACCATTTGCCAAAGGAGAATGTGGGTTCTGGCTCCCTGAACCCACATTCAGAGGGCCCAGGAGTATGTTCCTAAGCAGATCTTCTGGAAGAAGGTCAGTGTTCTGGGAAAGGGCCGTTTGTGTATATTGAAAGTGTAGCTAGTTGGATGCCCAGTACAATTCTCTCTTACTGATATATTTAAAAACTAGGAAGTCTACTGGCTGCATTTTAGGAAATTTCATCTAGAGATCTGTGACTTGTCAAGATCAGTCTGTTAGAGGCGTGTGAACCAGAGCAACTCCATCTTAAACAGCAGCTGGATAAAATGAGGCTGAAACCTACGAGGCTGCATTCCCAGATGGTTAAGGCATTGTTAAGCCACAGGACGAGATAGGAGGTCAGCACAAAATACAGGTCATAAAGACCTTGCTGATAAAACAGGTTTTAGTAAAGGAGCCAGCCAAAACCCACTAAAACCAAAATGGTGATGAGAGTGATCTCTAGTCATCCTCACTGCTACACTCCCACCAGTGCCATGACAGAGTACAAATGCCATGGCAATGTCAGTAATTTACTCTATATGGTTTAACAAGGGGAGGCATAAATAATTCACTCATTGTTTAGCATATCATGAAGAAATAACCATAAAAATGGGCAACTATCAGCCCTCGAGGCTACTCTGTCTATGGAGTAGCCATTCTTTCATTCCTTTACTTTCTTAATAAACTTGCTTTCACTTTGCACTGTGGACTTGCCCTGAATTCTTTCTTGCACAAGATCCAAGAACCCTCTCTTGGGGTCTGGATCAGGACCCTTTTCCTGTAACATCTTTCTGGTGACCACAGAAGGGACTATACTGTGGAAAACCCAGACCCAAAGGCTAACTTTGGGTAAGTGGTGGGGTCCAGTAACATCTTTCTCGTGAACCACAAAAGGGACAATACTGAGGAGACCTCCTGTCCCAAAGGAAATAGACTGCAGCACTGATTGGATGACTTTGGGCAAGTGGTGGGGTACCCATGTAAAGGATGGGATTGGGTTAGAGGCCCAAACTGGGGGAGTTAGAGTTCTCTCCTAAGACAGAGTGGGTTAGAGGCCCCTTCTTAATAAAAGGCAAGGACGCTTGACCAACCTTGGGTTAGAGGCCGTACTTGGGAGGGTTAGAGTCCCTTCAAAGATTTAGGAGGTTAGAGGCTCCTCTCGGGTAAAGTCCCCCTTGGCTAAGAACAGGTTTGGCACTATGGGGGGTTAACTGCTATTGTCTTTGGATTAATCTTCCTTGCACTCTTTGCTGATGGCTGTGGGTGACAGGGTTAGGCATATACAGGATCGTGGGATATTGGGAGTTTTTTCCTCCCTAAAAGGGGAAACTTGAGAGCTGATGGGAGTGCAGGAAAAGATCCCTTTGCTACTGACAAGCAGCTGCCTGAACTTTTCATTGTCAGCTTCAATGAGTAGGTCTTTTCTCTGGCCTCCCTAAGCTCTTCACCTTCCCTACCCTGCCACAGGAAGTACCTTCCTTCTCTACTTTTCCTTTCCTGTATTTTCCTCTTGCCCAGAGGCCATGTGTTGAAACTCCAAGTCAAAGGTTGGATTAAAAATGACAGGGCCCATCTGGGGGCAAATTTAAGCCTTGACAGTTTAATAATGGGTGCTAAGCAGAGTGGATAATATCTATGTTTCAACATACATATTTTGCTCTGACCATAATGAAAAAAAAATAATTTTCCTTTATGATGTGGCTTGGCCCCAGGGTGATGGTTTCGCAAGCCCGATCACTAGGGCCACCCAGGGAAAGGGAACCCAGAAGCCTGGCATGCCAGCAAAAGGGTAAAATTTCTTACCAGTCAGGTTTCTGGTTTCTCTCTCTCTGTGCAAATGGTTGAATGAATGGAAAAAAAAAATCAGTGTTTATCTCCTCTGTAAAAGTTTGGATTAATGCGAAAAAGAATTCTAAGGCTAGTCTTAAGCTGGTGTGTTTTGTGCTATGAATTCCTTTTTCTGTGTCAAGGGGTACTTTAGGATAAAACATGAGCTTAGAGTACCTGTAAGCCCGCTTTTCAAGATGACCTAGCAGGCTGGTCAGTAACAAACTTGGTTGCAGATCCCTGAAACAAACAAAAAAACTGGATGAAGTCTCCACCTTCTTTTATGTCCTTGGGAGCTTGACCTTTTAACCATGTGGCAGTACTTTCTCTAGGTCTCTGCCTTCCAAGGAACAGGAATTTTAGGGTTCAAGTCATAGTTAACTGTAAAAATCACATTAAATAGTTAAAAGCCTTTGCAAGCTCAAAAGTAACTATTCTAGACTACCTCCTGGAAAGAAAATGGAGACTGCCCTGTGCTGTAGTTTGGTTGCTAAAGTTTTGCACTTTCACAGTGGTGGTCTGGGTTCGATTCCTCACCCAGGAATTAAGTTATTTCTGGTTGAATATATACATGACCTTGTCTACTCTCTTCTCCTCCTTGGACTGTCTTAAATTTTCCTTCTCTAAGCACCTGGGAGGTTACCTTTGATAAAGTTCAAAAACCAGAAATATTGGCTGTTTGGCATAAGAAATTCTAAAAGAACTTTTATTAAAGAGTGCTATGGTTAAAAATCAGTTTAATTAAAAGCAGATATTGAAGCTCTTAGAGCCTGAGCTCCTTGGGAAAAACAGGAGGCACCAGAGACTCCTTTCCTGGCTCTGCTTTTCCAAGGGCTCCACCCTAAAGCCAGTAATCCAATTAAGAAACTTAAAAACTGACAAATAAAAAATCTTGCAATTACTGCAGTAATCTTCTTCTGTCTTTCTGTGTAGCTATATATGTATTGTGGGTAATGTTTATGTAAAAGGGCTGTAATTAATTGGCTTAAACAAAAATAAACACTTAAATATCTTGAAAGTAAAATAAAAAATGTAATACCTTTTAGTTTATGTAACTTTAGTAATCTTTGGGAAATAAAAACAGCTTCAAAAAGTATTGATAAAAACATTTAGACTAAATTATGTAGGTCAGATATTAAGTTTGCTAAATGCTTTAAGGTCATAAACTGCCTCTTTAGCTTTTAAAAAAATTTACCTACCTTAAAGCCATTAGATTCTAGATAAGTTCTGGGGATATGTGGAATTAGCCATGCCCCCAGCTATACAAGAAGATTACAAAGAAAGAGATTTTATATAAGAAAGGATCTTGTATGGTGAATTCTCGTCCTAAAGTAAAATGACTGGTTGTTTAAATGGAGAGATGCTTAGGGCAAGTCAGAAAGTCCAAGAATGTCTCAGATGGTCTGTGTAAGTCATGAAAAGATTTGTGAAAGGGAATTTATGCAAGAAACGTTATACAATTCAAAGATTGTTAGGCCTCCTAAATGCTTCATGAAATGCCACTATGACTCTTACTGAACAACTTGACTGCTTTACAGCTACATAAGGACTGGGGACATGTGGAGCTAGCCACACCCCTTAACTATGCTGGGGACTCAGCTCTTATCTGCACTTTTGCCTGGTGTGTCCTAGGCTAGGCTCCACACCTAGTACACAATTAAAATCTCGAATTTACCAAGGTTTTCACCAAAAATAAAAGTTGCTAAGGGTTAACATTATAATATGTAAGTGAAACTACTAAAGAAACAATTTTACATGGAAGGTGTGTAAAGAAAGTAAAATGTGTTTTTGGTGAAAGATTATAAGAAGTCATGGAAATGTGGATTTTTTTCTGCCTAAAGTGTTAAAGGATTGTTTTAAGTAAGAAAAAATATCTAAAGGTTTAAACAAGTTGTGGAAGGTTTATAAAAATTAATTGTAAGAGATTCTGTATGTGAACATATTGGCTAAAGTTAAAAGGGTATTATTCATTTTTTCTGTGAATTAGACATTAGAATAAAAGCACAATAGGGCCAGGAGCGGTGGCTCATGCCTGTAATCCCAGCTCTTTGGGAGGCTGAGGTGGGTGGATCACCTAAGGTCAGGAGTTCAAGACCAGCCTGACCAAGATGGTGAAACCACATCTCTACTAAAAAATACAAAAATTAGCTGGGCATGGCGGTGTGCACCTGTAGTCCCAGCTACTTGGGAGGCTGAGACAGGAGACTCGCTTGAACCCGGGAGGTGGAGGTTACAGTGATCTGAGATCGCACCACTGCACTCCAGCCTGGGGTTACAGAGTGAGACTTCATCTCAAAAAAAAAAAAGCACAGTAGATTTTTCTTAGAGCAGTGATCTGCTCTTTCACACACACAAAAATGTAAATGGCTATAAAAGGTTTATAAGAATCATACCTTATGGTTGAACATTAAAATTGGGTAAATATGTCCATAAGGTTTTATTGAAAATTGTGTTTAACATTAATAGTACATTAATGTATAGGTGAAATTATGCTTATTTGGTATAAGGGTCATACAGGAAGCATTATCAAATATAAAATGGTGTTTTGCTTTCTTTGGGCTATATTTGCATAAGTATGTTATTGGTATATGTTTTAAAGTTTTAGGGAACTCCTATAATTCTAATGACTTAGTGTATGTTATTAATAATTATAATTGCTGTGTAAAATTTTGTGCACCACAGAAGTAATCAAATTTCCTTATCAATTGTGGCTTTAATAGTGGCTGTCCTAAAACTTTTTATCATCCACAGACAATTGTTGCCTTCTTTTAATTCTCTTTAGAAGGTGGTTTATAATCAACTATAGAACTCTAGCAGGTGTTCTTAAATGCAAGTTTCTATTAACTTTGGAAATTGTAACATTAGAATAGAGGAAACAACTTTCAGAACTCTCATGAAGAGCTGGAATGTTCATGAATACCAAATAGAATGTTCATGAATACCAAACAGGAGTTAACTGAATTAACTGAACCAATCAAAAACTGAAGTAATCTTTTTAACTTTGCTTAAAACACTGCTGA